>NC_000009.12:42891556-43222167 GCF_000001405.40 Homo sapiens | reverse complement strand
GAATTCTTGAATTTGAAAACAATTGGGGTTCCTAAACAGAGAATATGGAATATTATTGGGGATGATGTCTTTAATAATACATTTCAAGATAGGAGAAACTTTTTCTATATAGTTGACTTTAATAAAAGCCTAGGGCAAAACTTTCAATATATTAACAGTATTTATGAGGCAGTTAAGAATTTGGGTCATCTCCGTCTCCACTAAAAATACAAAAAGTTAGCCAGGTGTGGTGGCGGGCGCCTGTAGTCCCTGCTACTTGGGAGGCTGAGGCAGGAGAATGGTGTGAACCCGGGAGGTGGAGGTTGCAGTGAGCCGAGATCATGCCACTGCACTTTAGCCTGGGCAACAGAGAGAGACTGCGTATCAAAAAAAAAAAAAAAAAAAAAGAACTTGGGTCATCTCAATTAAACATAGAATTTAAGATTACATTGAAAATTCAGTACAGAGTATTTTGCCTTCATCTGTTGTTTGAGTCTCCCTTCTTTCAGCCATCCTTCCATCAGAAATAGAATACCAAGTTAAACTTCTTAATTAGAATCAGGAATCAGGACTCTTTGGCTGCTGATTGAAGGAAGAACTGTCCTTAAATCCAGAGTGGGCCGGGCATGGTGGCTCATGCCTGTAATCCTAGCACTTTGGGAGGCCAAGGCAGATGGATCACCTGAGGTCAGGAGTTAAAGAGCAGCATGACCAACATGGTGAAACCCCATCTCTACTGAAAATACAAAAATTAGCCGGGTGTGGTGGTGTGTGCCTATAGTCCCAGATACTTCGGAGGCTGAGATAGGAGAATTGCTTGAACCTGGGAGGTGGAGGTTATGTGAGCCAAGATCACACCACTGCACTCTAGCCTGGGCAACAGGGCGAGACTCCATCTCAAAAAAAAAAAAAAAAAAAATCCAGAGTGGTTGGTAGTCAAGACAAAAAGCTAGATTATTTTTGTTAGTCTGGGAACTAAAAAAAATAGTTGTAACTTTGAAGCCTTTTTATGAATCAACATGAAGATTGAGGGATCTCAAACAGAAAGGGCATCCTGGTGGCAAAGGTTAATCATTACCAGACTGCAAGAGTAGTTTCAATGGCAAGAAAGCAGCAACAGAATCAATGAAAACAAAGCAATGATTAGAATGCCCTTTCCCCTTCTCCTCCTGACTTGTAGACACTGATTGTCTTCCTTGGACTTAGGGAACCCCTTAGGTTCTTGAAAAATTCAATGATGAGGCTATAGTAGATGGTCCCCAGGACACAGCACAAGATTTTTTGATAAACTGGACATTTTGAGACCCAAATAACTAATTAGAAAAATCAAACATGTGAAACTACTTTATCCTATGCATAGGGGTTATACTGGAAATAAAATGTACAACATTGGAATCCTGAAGGAGAAAAGTCCTAAAAGTTTCAATATCAAGAATCCTGCACCTGCTGCTACTTATCTAGCCTTTTGCTTGATTTCTGGCTGATGAACTTGCACAACTCTTGAAAAGTTAAAAACTTGAAAATTTGTGACTTGAAAACTACTTGAACCAAACTATGAAATCTCACCTGATATATAAGATGCAATTGTTACAATTATTTTAAACTTCAATTTACTGTTTTGCTCTATCAAAAGAAAGTTTCAACTCTGCTAGTTGAGTACACACATCCTAAACAAGTTTCTGAGAATGCTTCTGTCTAGTTTTTATGGGAAGATATTTCCTTTTTCACCTTAGGCCTCAATGCGCTCCAAATGTGCACTTCCAGATACTACAAAAACAGTGTTTCAAACCTGCTCTATGAAAGGGAATGTTCAACTCTGTGACTTGAATGCAAACATCACAGAGATGTTTCTGAGAATGCTTCTGTCTAGATTTTATAGGAAGATATTCCCGTTTCCAACGAAATCCTCAAAGCTATCCAAATATCCACTTGCAGATTCTACAAAAAGAGTGTTTCAAAACTGCTCTATCAAAAGAAAGGTTCAACTCTGTCAGTTGAGTACACACATCACAAACAAGTTTATGAGAATGTTTCTGTCTAGTTTTTATGGGAAGATATTTCCTTTTTCACGATAGGCCACAAAGCGCTCCAAATGTCCAGTTGCAGATACTACAAAATCAGTGTTTCAAACCTGCTCTATGAAAGGGAATGTTCCACTCTGTGACTTGAATGCAAAGATCACAAAGAAGTTTCTGATAATGCTTCTGTGTAGATTTTATATGAAGATATTCCTGTTTCCAACGAAACTCTCCAAGCTATCCAAATATTCACTTGCAGATTCCACAAAGAGAGTGTTTCAAAACTGCTCTTTCAAATGAAAGGTTCAACTCTGTTAGTTGAGTACACACATCACAAACTGGTTTATGAGGATGCTTCTGTCTAGTGTTTATGGGAAGATATTTCCTTTTTCACCATAGGCCTCAAACCTCTCCAAATGTGCCCTTCCAGATACTACAAAAAGAGTGTGTCAAACCTGCTCTATGAAAGGGAATATTCAACTCTGTGACTTGAATGCAAACATCACAGACATGTTTCTGAGAATGCTTCTGTCTAGATTTTATAGGAAGATATTCCTGTTTCCAGGAAATCCTCAAAGCTATCCAAATATCCACTTGCAGATTCTACAAAAAGAGTGTTTCAAAACTGCTCTATCATAAGAAAGGTTCAACTCTGTTATTTGAGTACACACATCACAAACTAGTTTCTGAGAATGCTTCTGTCTAGTTTTTATGGGAAGATATTTCCTTTTTCACCATAGGCCTCAAAGCGATCCAAATGTCCTCTTCCAGATACTACAAAAAGTGTTTCAAACCTGCTCTGTGGAAGGGAATGTTCAATTCTGTGACTTGAACGCATACATCCCAAAGATGTTTCTGAGAATGCTTCTGTCTAGATTTTATATGAAGATACTCCCGTTTCCAACGAAATCCTCAAAGCTATCCAAATATCGACTTGCAGATTCTACAAAAAGAGTGTTTCAAAACTGCTCTATGAAAAGAAAGATTCAACTCTATTAGTTGAGTACACACATCACAAACTTGTTCCTGAGAATGCTTCTGTGTAGTTTTTATGGGAAGATGTTTTGTTTTTCACCATAGGCCACAAAGCGCTCCAAATGTCCAGTTCCACATACTACAAAAAGTGTGTTTCAAACCTGCTCTATGAAAGATAATGTTCAACTCTGTGACTTAAATGCAAATATCACAGAGATGTTTCTGAGTATACTTCTGTCTAGATTTTATATGAAGATATTCCCGTTTCCAACGAAATCCTCAAAGCTATCCAAATATCCACTTGCAGATTCTACAAAAAGAGTGTTTCAAAACTGCTGTATGAAAAGAAAGGTTAAATTCTGTGAGTTGAGTACACACATCACAAACAAGTTTATGAGAATGCTTCTGTCTAGTTTTTATGGGAAGATATTTGCTTTTTCACCATAGGCCTCAAAGTGATCAAAACGTCCACTTCCACATACTACAAAAAGAGTGTTTCAAACCTGCTCTATGAACTGGAATGTTCAACTCTGTGACTTGAATGCAAACATCCTAAAGATGTTTCTGAGAATGCTTCTGTCTAGATTTTATATGAAGATATTCCCGTTTCCAACGAAATCCTCAAAGCTATCCAAATATGCACTTGCAGATTCTACAAAAAGAGTGTTTCAAAACTGCTCTATCAAAACAAAGGTTCAAATCTGTCAGTTGAGTACACACATCACAAACTAGTTTCTGGGAGTGCTTCTGTCCACTTTTTATGGGAAGACATTTCGTTTTCAAAAGATAGGTTCAACCAAAAGATAGGTTCAACTCTGTGAGTTGAATGCACACATCACAAAGAAGTTTCTCAGAATCTTTCTGTGTAGTTTTTATGTGAACATATTTGATTTTGCACAGCAGGCCTCAAAATGCTCCAAATATCCACCTGCAGATTCTGCAAAAAGAGGTATTCAAAACTGCTCAATCAAAAGATAGGTTCAACTCTGTGAGTGGAATGCATACATCAGAAAGAAGTTTCTCTGAATGGTTCTGTGTAGTTCTATTTGAAGATAATTCCTTTTCCACGATAGGGCACAAAGGGCTCTAAATATCCACTTGCAGAATCTACAAAAACAGAGATTCAAAACTGCTCATTGAGAAGATAAGTTCAACTCAGTGAGTTGACTGTACACATCACGAAGAAGTTTCTTAGAATGCTTCTGTGTAGTTTTTATTGAAGATATTTCCTTTTCCACCATAGGGTGCAAAGGGCTCCAAATATCCACTTGCAGATTATAGAAAAGAGAGACTCTAAACTGCTCAATCAAAAGATAGGTTCAACTCTGTGAGTTGAATGCCCACATCACAAAGAAGTTTCTCAGAATGCTTCTGAGTAGTTTTTATGTGAAGATGTTTCCTTTTCCACAATAGGCGGCAAAGTTCTCCAAATATCCACTTGCAGATTCTACAAAAACGGTGTTTCAAAACTGCGCAATGAAAAGAAAGATTCAACTCAGTGAGATGAATGCACACATCACAAAGAAGTTTCTCAGAATCCTTCTGTGTTGTTTTTATGTGAAGATATTTCCTTTGCACTATAGGCCTCAATGGGCTCCAAATATCCACTTCCATATTCTACAAAAAGAGTGTTTCAAAACTGCTCAATCATGAGATAGATTCAACCCTGTGAGATGAATGCACACGTCACGAAGTAGTTTCTCAGAATACTTCTGTGTAATTTTTATGTGAAGATATTTGCTTTTCCCCAGTAGGCCTCAAAGGGCTCCAAATATCCACCTGCAGATTTTGCAAAAAGAGAGATTCAAAACTGCTCAATCAAAAGATATGTTCAACTCTGTGAGTTGAATGCATACATCACAAAGAAGTTTGTCTGAATGCTTCTTTGTAGTTTTTATTTCAAGATATTTCCTTTTGCACCACAGGGTTCAAAGGGCTCCAAATATCCACTTGCAGATTCTACAAAAAGAGAGATTCAAAACTGCTCAATGAGAAGATAAGATCAACTCTGTGAGTTGAATGCATACCTCACAAGGAAGTTTCTCAGAATGCTTCTGTGTAGTTTTTATGTGAAGATATTTCCTTTTCCACAATAGGCCTCCAATCTCTCCAAACATCCACATACAGGTTCTGCAAAAAGAGAGATTCAAAACTGCTCAATCAAAAGATAGGTTCAACTCTGTGACTTGAATGCACACATCGCAAAGAAGTTTCTCAGAATCTTTCTGTGTAGTTCTTATGTGAACATATTTGATTTTCCACAGTAAGCCTCAAAAGGCTCCAAATATCCACCTGCAGAATCTGCAAAAAGAGGGATTCAAAACTGCTCAATCAAAAGATAGGATCAACTCTGTGAGTTGAATGTATACATCACAAAGAAGTTTCTCTGAATGATTCTGTGTAGTTTTATTTGCAGATATTTCCTTTTCCACAATACGGTGAAAGGGCTCCAAACATCCACTTCCAGATTCTACAAAACAGAGATTGAAAACTACTCAATGAGAAGATAAGTTCAACTCATTCAGTTGAATGCACACATCACGAAGAAGTTTCTTAGAATCCTTCTGTGTAGTTTTTATTGAAGATATTTCCTTTTCAACCATAGGGTGCAAAGGGCTCCAAATATCCACTTGCAGATTCTAGAAAAAGAGTGACTCTAAGTTGCTCAATCAAAAGATAGGTTCAACTCTGTGAGTTGAATGCCCATATCACAAAGAAGTTTCTCAGAGTGCTTCTGAGTAGTTTTTATGTGAAGATATTTCCTTTTCCACAATAGGCCTCAAAGTTCTCCAAATATCCACTTGCAGATTCTACAAAAAGAGTGTTTCAAAACTGCTCAATCAAAAGAAAGGTTCAACTCTGTGAGATGAATGCACACATCACAAAGAAGTTTCTCAGAATGCTTCTGTGTAGTTTTTATGTGAAGCTATTTCCTTTTCCACCATAGGCCTCAAAGCTCTCCCAACATCCACTTGCAGATTCTGCAAAAAGAGAGATTCAAAACTGCTAATTGAAAGACGGGTTGAACTCTGTGAGTTGAATGCACACAGCCAAAGAAGTTTCTCAGAATGCTTCTCTGTAGTTTTTATGTGAACATATTTGATTTTCCACAGTAGGCCTCACAGCACTCCAAATATCCACTTGCAGATTCTACAAAAAGAGAGATTCAAAACTGTTCAATCAAAAGATAGGTTCAACTCTGTGAGTTGAACGCATACATCATGAAGAAGTTTCTGAGAATGCTTCTGTGTAGTTTTTATTTGAAGATATTTCCTTTTCCACCATAAGCTGCAGAGGGCTCCAAATATCCACTTGCAGATTCAACAGAAAGAATGTTTCAAAACTGCTCAATCAAAAGAAAGTTTCAACTCTGTGAGATGAATGCACACATCACAAAGAAGTTTCTCAGAATGCTTCTGTGTAGTTCTTATTTGAAGATATTTGGTTTTCCACTGTAGGCCTCAAAGCGCTCCAAATATCCACTTGAAGATCCTACAAAAAGAGTGTTTCAAAACTGCTCAATCATAAGCTAGGTTCAACCCTGTGAGATGAATGCACACATCACAAAGCAGTTTCTCTGAGTGATTCTGTGTAGTTTTTATTTGAAGATATTTCCTTTTCCACCATAGGGCGCAAAGGGCTCCAAATATCCACTTGAAGATTCTACCAAAAGATAAATTCAAAACTGCTCAATGAGAAGATAAGTTCAACTCTGTGAGTTGAATGCACACCTCACAAAGTAGTTTCTCACAATGCTTCTGCATAGTTTTTATGTGAAGATATTTGCTTTTCCACTGTAGGCCTCAAAGCGCTCAAAATATCCACCTTCAGATTGTGCAAACAGAGAGATTCAAAACTGCTCAATCAAAAGATAGGTTCAACTCTGTGAGTTGAATGCACATATCATGAAGAAGTTTCTCTGAATGCTTCTGTGTAGTTTTTATTTCAAGATATTTCCTTTTCCACCATAGGGCGCAAAGGTCTTCAAATATCCACTTGCAGATTCTACAAAAAGAGAGATTGAAAACTCCTCAAAGAGAAGATAATTTCAACTCTGTGAGTTGAATGCACACCTCACAAAGTAGTTTCTCAGAATGCTTCTGTGTAGTTTTTATGTGAAGATATTTCCTTTTCCACAATAGGCCTCAAAGCTTTCCAAACATACACTTGTAGTTTCTGCAAAAAGAGAGATTCAAAACTGCTCAATCAAAACGTAGTTTCAACTCTGTGAGTTGAATGCAAACATCACAATGGTGTTTCTCAGAATGCTTCTGAGTAGTTTTTATGTGAAGAAATTTCCTTTTCCACAATAGGCCTCAAAGGGCTCCAAATATCCACTTGCAGATTCCACGAAGAGAGTGTTTAAAAACTGCTCAATCAAAAGAAAGTTTCAACTCTGTGAGATGAATGAACACATCACAAAGGAGTTTCTCAGATTGCTTCCTTCTAGATTTTATGTGAAGATATTTCCTTTTCTATCATAGGCCACAAAGCGCTCCAAATGTCCACTTGCCGATTCTACAAAAAGGGTGTTTCCAAACTACACAATCAAAAGAAAGGTTCAACTCTGTTAGATGAACGTACACATCATAAAAAAGATTCTCAGAATTCTTCTTTTTGTGTGTGAAGATATTTCCTTTTCCAACTTAAGCCTCAAGGTGCTTGAAATGTCCCCTTGCAGATTCTCCAAAAAGAGTATTTGAAAACTGGTTCTCCTAAAGAAAGTTGGAACTCCAGGAGATGAATGCAGACATCACAGAGAACTTTCTCAGAATGCTTCTATCTACTTTTTATGTGAAGATATTTCCTTTTCCACCATAGGCCTCAAAGCGCTGCCAAATGTCCACTTGCAGATTCTACAAAAAGTTTCCAATCTGCTCAATCAAAAGAAAGGTTTAACTCTGTGAGATTAATGCACACATCACAAAAGTTTCTCAGATTGCTTCTGTCTAGATTTTAGGTGAAGATATTTCCTTTTCTACTATTGGCTGCCAAGAGTTCCAAATGTCCACTTGCAGATTCTACAAAAAGAGTTTTCCAAACTACTCAATCAAAAGAAACGTTCAACTCTGTGAGATTAACACACTCATCACAAAGAAGTTTCTCAGAATTCTTCTGTCTAATTTTTATGTGAAGATATTTCCTGTTCCACCATAGGCCTCAAGACACTCTAAATGTCCGCTTGCAGATTCTACAAAAAGAGAGTTTCAAAACTGCTCAATCAAAAGAAAGGGTGCTCTCTGTGAGATGAATGCATATATCACAAACAAGTTTCTCATATTGCTTCTGTCTAGATTATATGTGAAGATATTTACTTTTCTACCATAGACTGCAAAGCGCTCCAAATGTCCACTTGCAGACTCTACAAGAAAGAGTGGTACCAAACTGCTCAATCGAAAGAACAGTTCCACTCTGTGAGAAGAACGCACACATCACAAAGAAGTTTGTCAGAATTCTTCTTTCTAGTTTTTATGTGAAGATATTTCCTTTTCCACCATAAGCCTCAAGTGTTCCAAATGTCCACTTGCAGATTCTACAAAAAGAGAGTTTCAAAACTGCTGAATCAAAAGAAAGTTTAAACTCTGTGAGATGAATGCACCCATCACTAAGAAGTTTCTCCGATTTCTTCTCTCTAGATTTTATGTGAAGGTATTACTTTTTCTACCATAGGTCGCAAAGCGCTTCAAATGTCCATTTGCAGATTCTACAAAAAAGAGTGTTTCCAAACTCCTCAATCAAAAGAAAGGTTCAAGTCTGTGAGATGAACGCACACATTCCCAAGAAGTTTGTCAGAATTATTCTGTCTAGTTTTTATGTGAAGATATTACCTTTTCCACCATAGGCCTCAAAGCACTCCAAATGTCCACTTGCAGATTCTACGAAAAGAGAGTTTCAAAACCGCTCAATCCAAAGAAAGGTTTAACTCTGTGAGATGAATGCACACATCACAAAGAAGTTTCTCAGATTGTTTCTGTCTAGATTTTATGTGAAGATATTTCTGTTTCAACCGTAGGCCGCAAAGAGTTGCAAATGTCCACTTGCAGATTCTACAAAAAGAGTGTTTCCAAACTGCTCAATCAAAAGAAAATTTCAGCTTTGTGAGATGAATGCACACATCACAAAGAAGATTATCAGAATTCTTCCGTCTAGTTTTTATGTGAAGATATTTCCTTTTCCACCATAGGCCTCTAAGTGCTCCAAATGTCCGCTTTGAGATTCTACAAAAAGAGTGTTTCCAAACTGCTCAATCAAAAGAAAGGTTTAACTCTGTGAGATGAATGCACACATCACAAAGAAGTTTCTCAGATGGCTTCTGTCTAGATTTTATGTGAAGATATTTCCTTTTCCACCACATGCCACAAAGTTCTCCAAATGTCCACTTGCATATTCTACAGAAAGAGTGTCTCCAAACTGTTCAATCAAAAGATAGGTTCAAATCTGTGAGATGAATGCACACGTCCCAAAGTAGTTTCTCAGAATTCTTCTGTCTAGTTTTTATGTGCAGATATTTCCTTTCCACTGTTGGCCTCAAAGAGTTCCAAATATCCACTTGCGGATTCTACAAAAGGAGAGCTTCAAGACTGCTCAATCAAAAGAACAGTTTGACTCCATGAGATGAATGCACACATCACAAAGAAGTTTCTCAGATTTCTTCTGTCTAGACTTTATGTGAAGATATTTCCTTTTCTACTACAGGCCGCAAAGCACTCCAAATGTGCACTTGCAGATTCTATAAAAGAGTGTTTCCAACCTGCTGTATCAAAAGAAAGTTTCAACTATGGGAGATGAAAGCACGCATCACAAAGAAGTTTTTCAGAATTCTTCTGTCTAGTTTTTATGTGAAGAGATTTTCTTTTCTACCACAGGCCTAAAAGGGCTCCAAATGTCCACTTGCAGATACTACAAAAAGAGAGTTTCAAAACTGCTCAATAAAAAGAAAGGTTTAACTCTGTGAGATGAATGCACACATCACAAAGAAGTTTGTCAGATTGCTTCCGTCTAGATTTTATGTGAAGATATTTCCTTTTCTACCATAGGCCGCAAAGCGCTAAAATTGTCCACATGTAGATTCTACAAAAAGAGTATTTCCAAACAGCCCAATGAAAGGAAACTTTCAACTCTGTGTGATGAACGCACGCATCACAAAGTGATTTCACAGTATTCTTCTGTCTAGTTTTTATGTGAAGATATTTCCTTTTCCACCACAGTTCTCAAAGAGCTTCAAATGTCCACTTGCAGATTGTTCAAAAAGTGTGTTTCCAAACTGATCGATCAAAAAAAGTTTAACTCTGTGAGATGAACGCACACGTCACATAGATGTTTCTCAGATTTCTTCTGTCTAGTTTTTATGTGAATGTATTTCATTTTCCACGGCAGGCCTCAAGGGGCTTGAAATGTCCACTTGCAGATTCCACAAAAAGAGCAATAAATAACTGGCCCATCAAAAGAAAGGTTCAAATCTGGGAGATGAACGCACATATCAGAAAGTAGTTTCTCATATTGATTCTATCTAGTTTTTATGTGAATATATTTCCTTTTCCACCATAGGTCTCAAACCGCTCCAAATGTTCACTTGCAGAATCTACAAAAAGAGAGTTTCAAAACTGCTCAATCAAAAGAAAGGTTTAACTCTGTGAGAAGAGCGTGCACATCACAAAGAAGTTTCCCAGATTGCTTCTGTGTAGATTTTATGTCAAGATATTTCCTTTTTTACCATTGGCTGCAAAGTGCTCCAAATGTCCACTTGCAGATTCTACAAAAACAGTGTTTTCAAACGGCTCAATAAAAAGAAAGGTTCAACTCTGTGAGATGAACGCACACATCACAAAGAAGTTTCTCAGAATTCTTCTGTCTAGTTTTTATGTGAAGATATTTCCTTTTCCACCAAGGGCCTGAAAGAGCTCCAAATGCCCAATTTCAGATTCAACAAAAAGAGAGATTCAGAACTACTCAATCAAAGGAAAGTTTTAACTCTGTGAGATAAATGCACACATCAAAAAGAAGTTTCTCAGATTGCTTCTGTCTAGATTTAATGTGAAGATATTTCCTTTTCTACCATAGGCCGCAAAGTGCACCAAATGTCCACTTGCAGATTCTACAAAAAGAGTGTTTCCAAACTGCTCAATCAAAAGAAAGGTTCAACTCTGTGAGAGGAATGCACACATCACAAAGAAGTTTCTCAGAATTCTTCTGTCTAGTTTTTATATGAAGATATTTCCTTTTCCACCATAGGCCTCAAAGCGCTCCAAATGTCAACTTGCAGATTCAACAAAAAGAGATTTTCAAAACTGCTCTAAAAAAAGAAAGATTTAACTCTGTGAGATGAATGCACACATCAGAAAGAAGTTTCTCAGATTGCTTCTGTCTAGATTTTATATGAAGATATTCCCTGTTCTACAATAGGCTGCAAAGCGCTCCTAATTTCCACTTGCCGATTCTATAAATAGAGTGTTTCCAAACTGCTCAATCAATAGAAAGGATCAACTCTGTGAAATTAATGCACACATCACAAAGAAGTTTCTCAGATTGCTTCTGTCTAGATTTTATGTGAAGATATTTCTTTTTTCTACCATAGGCCTCGAAGCGCTCCAAATATCCACTTGCACATTCTACAGAAAGAGTGTTTTCAGACAGCTCAATCCAAACAAAAATTCACCTCTGTGAGATGAACGCACAAATCAGAAAGAAGTTTCTCAAAATGCTTCTGTCTAGTTTTTATGTGAAGATATTTCCTTTTCCACCATAGGCCTCAAAGAACTCCAAATGTCTATTTGCAGATTCTACAAAAAGAGAGTTTCAAAACTGCTCCATCAAAAGAAAGGTTTTACTCTGTGAAATGAATGCACACATCACAAAGAAGTTTCTCAGATTGCTTCTGTCTAGTTTTTATGTGAAGATATTTCCTTTTCCACCACAGGCCTCAAAGTGCTCCAAATGTCCACTTGCAGATTCTACAAAAAGAGAGATTGAAAACTGCTCAATCAAAAGAAAGTTTTAACTCTGTGAGATGAAAGGACACATCACAAAGAAGTATCTCAGATTGCTTCTGTTTAGATTTTATGTGAAGACATTTTCTATTCTAACATAGGCTGCAAAGAGCTCTAAATATCCACTTGCAGATCCTTCAAAAACAGTATTTCCATACTGCTCAATGAAAAGAATGATTCAACACTGCAAGATGGAGGCACGCATCACAAGGAAGGTTCTCAGAATTCTTCGGTCTGGTTTTTATGTGAAGATAATTGCCTTTTCCAACATAGGCTTCAAAGGCCTCCAAATGTCAACTTGCAGATTCTCCAAAAAGAGACTTTCAAAATCGCTCAAAAAATGTTTAATTCTGTGAGATAAATGCACACGTCACAAAGAAGTTTCTCAAATTTCATCTTTCTAGATTTTATCTGAAGATATTTCCTTTTCCAGCGTAGGCCTCAAAGTGCTCCAACTGTCCACTTGCAGATTCTACAAAAAGAGAGTTTCAAAACTGCTCAATCAAAAGAAAGGTTTACCTCTTTGAGATGAGTACACACATAACAAAGAAGTTTCTAAGATTGCTTCTGTCTAGATTTTATGTGAAGATATTTCCTTTTCTACTATAGGCCACAAAGTGCTCAACATATCCACTTGCAGATTCTACAAAAAAAAAATTTTCCAAACTGCTCAATCAAAAGAAAAGTTCAACTCTGTGAGATGAACGCACACATTTCAAAGAAGTTTCTCAGAATTCTTCTGTCTAGCTTTTATGTGAAGATATTTCATTTTCCACCCTAGGCCTCAAGGCGCTCGAAATGTCCACATGCATATTCCACAAAAAGAGTATTTCAAAACTGGTCCATCAAAGGAAAGGTACAGCTCTGTTGAATGAATGCACCCATTGCAAAGAATTTTCTCAGATTGCTTCTGTCTAGATTTTATGTGAATATATTCCCTTTTCTACCATAGGCTGCAAAGCGTTCCAAATGTCCACTTACAGATACTACAAAAAGAGTGTTTTCAAACTGCTCAATCAAAAGAAAGGTTCAACTCTGTGAGATGAACCCAAACATCCAAAGAAGTTTCTCAGAATTCTTCTGTCTAGTTGTTACGTGAAGATGTTTCCTTTTCCAACATAGAAGTTTCTCAGATTGCTTCTCTCTAGATTTTATGTGAAGATATTTCTTTTTCCACCGTAGGCCTCAATGCACTCCAAATGTCAACTTGCAGATTCTACAAAAAGAGAGTTTCAAAACTGCTCAAAAAAGAAAGATTTAACTCTGTGAGATGAATGCACACATCAGAAAGAAGTTTCTCAGATTGCTTCTGTCTAGATTTTATGTGAAGACATTTCCTGTTCTACCATAGTCGCAAAGCGCTCCAAATTTCCACTTGCCGATTCCACAAAAAGAGGGTCTCCAAACTGCTCAATGAAAAGAAAGTTGCAACTCTGTGAGATGAAAGGACACATCACAAGGAAGTTTCTCAGATTGCTTCTGTCTAGATTTTATATGAAGATATTTCTTTTTTCTAACATAGGCTGCAAAGCGTTCCAAATGTCCACCTGCAGATTTTTACAAAAAGAGTGTTTCCAAACTGCTCAATCAAAAGAAAAGTTCAACTCTGTGAGATGAACGCACACATCACAAATACGTTTCTCAGAATTCTTCTGTCTTGTTTTTATGTGAAGATATTTCCTTTTCCACCATAGGCCTCAAAGCCCTCCAAATGTCCACTTACAGATTCTACAAAAAGAGAGTTTCAAAACTGCTCAATCAAAAGAAAGGTTTTACTGTGTGAGATGAATGCATACATTGTAAAGAAGTTTCTCAGATTGTTTCTTTCTAGATTTTATCTGAGGATATTTCCTTTTCCACCATATGCCTCAAAGTACTCCAAATGTCCACTTTCAGATTCTATAAAAAGAGAGTTTCAAAACTTCTCAATGAAAGGAAAGGTTTAACTCTGTGAGATGAATGCACACATTTACAAAGAAGTTTCTCAGATTTCTTCTGTCTAGATTTTATGTGAAGATATTTCCTTTTCTAAAATAGGCCGCAAAGCGCTCCAAATGTCCACTTGCAGATTCTACAAAAAGAGTATTTCCAATGTGCTCAATCAAAAGAAAGGTTCAACCCTGTTAGATGAATGCACACATGACAAAGCAGTTTCTCAGATTACTTCTGTCTAGATTTTATGTGAAGATATTCCTTTTTTCTACCATAGGCTGCAAAGAGCTCCAAATGTCCACTTGCAAATTCTAGAAAAAGAGTGTTTTCAAACTGCTCCATCCAAACAAAAGTTCAACTCTGTGAGATGAATGCACACATCACAAAGAAGTTTCTCAGAATTCTTCTGTCTAGTTTTTATGTGAAGATATTTCCTTTTCCACCGTAGGCCTCAAAGCACTCCAAATGTTCACTTCCAGATTCTACAAAAAGAGTGTTTCCAAACTGCTCAATCAAAAGAGGTTTAAATCTGTGAGATGAATGCGCACATCACAAAGAAGTTTCTTAGATTGCTTCTGTCTAGATTTTATGTGAGGATATTTCCTTTTCTACCATAGGCTGCAAAGCGCTTCAAATGTCCACTTGCAGATACTACAAAAATAGTGTTTCCAAACAGCTCAATCAAATGAAAGTATCAACTCTGTGAGATGAACCCACACATCACAAACTGCTTTCTCAGAATTCTTCTGTCTAGTTTTTATGGGAAGATAGTTCCTTTTCCACCATAGGCCTCAAAGCTTTCCAAATGTCCACTTGCAGATCCTACTAAAAGAGAATTTCAAAACTGCTAAATCAAAAGAAAGTTTTAACTCTGTGAGAAGAATGCACACATCACAAAGTAGTTTCTCAGATTGCTCCTGTCTAGATTTTACATGAAGATATTACTTTCTCTACCATAGTCTGCAAAGCGCTACAAATGTCCACATTCAGATTCTACTAAAAGTGTTTTTGCAACTGCTCTATAAAAAGAAAGGTTCAACTCTGTGAGATGAAGGCACACATCACAAAGGAGTTTCTCAGAATTCTTCTGTCTATTTTTTATGTGAAGATATTTCCTTTTCCACCATAGGCCTCAAAGTGCTCCAAATGTCCACTTCCAGATTCTACAAAAAGAGTGTTTCCAAACTGCTCAATCAAAAGAAATGTTTAAATCTGTGAGATGAATGCACACATCACAAAGAAGTTTCTCAGATTGCTTCTTTCTAGATTTTAAGTGAAGATGTTTCCTTTTCTACCATACCCGCAAGGCACTCCAAATGTCCACTTGCAGATTCTACAAAAAGAGAGTTTCAAAACTGCTCAATAAAAGAAATCTTTAACGCTGTGAAATGAATGAACACATCAGAAAGAACTTTCTCAGGTTGCTTCTTTCTAGATTTTAAGTGAGGATATTTCCTTTTCTACCACAGCCCGCAAAGCACTCCAAATGTTCACTTGTAGATTCTACAAAAAGAGTGTTTCCAATCTGCTGAATCAAAAGAAAGTTTCAACTCTGTGAGATGAACGCACGGATCACAAAGAAATTTCTCAGATTCTTTCTGTCTAGATTTTATGTGAAGATATTTCCTTTTCTACCATAGGCCACAAAGAGCTCCAAATGTCCACTTGCAGAATCTACAAAAAGAGTTGTTTCCAAACTGTGCAATCAAAAGAAAGGTTCAACTCTGTGAGTTGAACACTCGCATCACAAAGAGGTTTCTAATAATTCTTCTGTCTAGTTTTTATGTGAAGATATTTCCTTTTCCACCATAGGTTGCAAAGCGCTCCAAATGTCCACTTGCAGATTCTACAGAAAGAATGTTTCCAACAGCTCAATCAAAAGAAACGTTCAACTCTGTGAGATGAATGCACACATCACACAGAAATTTCTCAGATTCCTTCTGTCTAGATTTTATGTGAAGATATTTCCTGTTCTTCCATAGACCACAAAGCCCTCTAAATGTCCACTTGCATATTCGACAAAAATAGTGGTTGCAAACTGCTTAATCAAAAGAAAGGTTCAACTGTGTGAGATTAATGCACGCATCACAAAGAAGTTTCTCAGAATTCTTCTGTCTGGTTTTTATGGGAAGATATTTCCTTTTCCACCATTGCACTCAAAGGGCTCCAAATGTCCACTTGCAGATTTTACAAAAACAGAGTTTCAATACTCCTCAATCAAAAGAAAGTTTTAACTCTCTGGGATGAATGCACATATCACAAAGATGCTTCTCAGATTGCTTCTGTCAAGATTTTATATGAAGATATTTCCTTTTCTACCATAGGGCGCAAAGCACTCCAAATGTCCAGTTGCAGATTCTACAAAAAGAGAGTTTCAAAACTGCTAAATCAAAAGAAACTTTTAATTCTGTGGGATGAATGCACACATCACAAAGAAGTTTCTCAGATTACTTCTGTCTAGATTTTATGTGAAGATATTTCCTTTTCTACCATTGGCCGCAAAGCTCTCCAAATGTCCACTTGCAGATTCTACAAAAAGAGTGTTTCCAAACTGCTCAATCTAAGGGAAGTTTCAACTCTGTGAGATGAACGCAGACATCTCAAAGAAGTTTCTCAGAATTCTTCTGTCTAGTTTTTATATGAAGATATTAACTTTTCCACCGCATGCATCAAATCGCTCCAAATGTCCACTTGCAGATTCTACAAAAAGAGAGTTTCAAATCTGCTCTATCAAAAGAAAGCTTTGCCTCTTTGAGATGAATGCACACATCACAAAGAAGTTTCTCAGATTGCTTCTGTCTACAATTTATGTGAAGATATTTCCTGTTGTAACATAGGCCTCAGAATGCTCCAAATGTCCACTTGCAGATTCTACCAAAAGAGTGTTTCCAAACTGCTCATTCAAAGAAATGTTCAACTTTCTAGATGAATGCACACATCATAAACAACTTTCTCAGAATTCTTCTTTCTAGTTTTTATGTGAAGATACTTCCTTTTGTACCGTAGACTTGAAGGCACTCGAAAGGTCCACTTGCAGATTCTACAAAAAGAGTATTTCAAAACTGGTCCTTCAAAGGAATGTTCAAATCTGGGGGTTGAATGCACACATCACAAAGTAGTTTCTCAGAATCCTTCTATGTACTTTTTATGCAAAGATATTTCATTTTTCACCATAGGCCTGAACGCCCTTCAAATGTCCACTTAGAGATTATACAAAAAGGGAGTTTTAAAACTGCTCTATCAAAAGAAAAGTTTCAATCCGTTAGATGAATGCACACATCACAAAGATGTTTCTAAAAATACTTCTATCTATTTTTTATGTGAAGATATTTCCTTTTCCACCATAGGCCTCAAAGCACTCCAAATGTCCACTTGTAGATTCTACAAAAAGAGTTTCAAGACTGCTCAATCAAAAGAAACGTTTAACTCTGTGAGATGAATGCACACATCATAAAGAAGGTTTTCAGATTACTTCTGTCTACATCTTATGTGAAGATATTTCCTTTTCCACCATAGGCTGCAAAGAGCTCCAAAGGTCCACTTGCAGATTCTTCAAAAAGAGTGTTTCCAAACTGCTCCATCAAAAGAAATGTTCAACTTCTTGAGCTGAGTGCACACATCACAAAGAAGTTTGTCAGAATTCTTCTGTCTAGTTTTTATGTGAAGATAATTCCTTTTCCACCATAGGCCTCAAAGCCTTCAAAGGGTCCATTTGCAGATTCTACAAAAAGAGAGTTTCCACAGTGCTCAGTCAAAAGAAAGGTTTACTCTGTGAGATGAATGCACACACCACAAAGAAGTTTGTCAGATTGCTTTTATCTAGATTTTATGTGAAGATATTTTCTTTTCTACCATAGGCCACAAAGCGCTCCAAATGTCCAGTTGCAAATTCTACAAAAAGAGTCTTTCCAAACTGCTCAATCAAAAGTAAAGTTCAACTCTGTGATATGAACGCACACATCACAAAGTAGTTTCTCAGAATTCTGCTGTCTAGTTTTTATGTGAAGATATTTCCTTTTCCATCATAGGCCTCATAGCGCTCCAAATGTCCACTTGCAGATTTTACAAAAAGGGAGTTTCAAGACAGCTCCATCAAAAGAAAGTTTTAACTCTGTGAGATGCATGCACACATCACAAAGAAGTTTCTCAGATTGCTTCTGTCTAGATTTTAGTTTAATATATATCCTTTTCTAACGTAGGCCGCAAAGTGCTCCAAATGTCCACTTGCAGATTCTACAAAAAGAGTGATTCCAAACTGGTTAATCAAAAGAAAGGTTCAATTCTGTGAGATGAATGCACACATCACAAAGAAGTTTCTCAGAATTATTCTGTCTAGTTTTTATCTGAAGACGTTTCTTTTGCACCATAGGCCTCAAAGCGCTCCAAATGTACACTTGCAGATTCTACAAAAAGAGAGTTTCAAAACTGCTTAATCAAAAGAAATGTTTAACTCTGTGAGATGAATGCACACATCATAAAGAAGTTTGTCAGACTGCTTTTATCTAGATTTTCTGTGAAGATATTTCCTTTTCTACCAGAGGTCGCAAAGCGCTCCAAATGTCCGCTTGCAGATTCTACAAAAAGAGTGCTTCCAAACTGCTCAATCGAAAGAAAGGTTCAACTCTGTGAGATGTAAGCACACATCACAAAGAAGTTTCTCAGAATTTTTCTGTCTAGTTTCTATGTGAAAATATTTACTTTTCCACCGTAGGCCTCAAAGCGCTCCAAATGTCCACTTGCAGATTTTACAATAAGAGAGTTTCAAGACAGCTCAATCAAAAGAAAGTTTTAACTCTGTGAGATGAATGCACACATCACAAAGAAGTTTCTCAGATTCATTCTGTCTAGATTTTATGGGAATATATTTCCTTTTCTAACATAGGCTGCAAAGCGCTCCAAATGTCCACTTGCAGATTCCACAAAAAGAGTGTTTCCAAACTGCTTAATCAAAAGAAAGGTTCAACTCTGTGAGATAAACGCATGCATCACAAAGAAGCTTCTCCAAATTCTTCTGTGTAGTTTTGATGTGAAAATATTTCCTTTTCCTCCACAGACCTCAAAGGGCTCCAAATGTTAACTTGCAGATTCTACAAAAAGAGAGATTCAAAACTGCTCAATCAAAACAAAGGCTTAACTCTGTGAGATCAGTGCACACATCACAAAGAAGTTTCTAAGAATGCTTCTGTCTAGTTTCTATGTGAAGATATTTCCTTTTCCACCATAAGCCTCAAAGCGCTCCAAATGTCCACTTCCACATTCAACAAAAGAGAGTTTCAAAACTGCTCAATCAAAAGTAAGAGTTAACTCTGTGAGATGAATGCACACATCCCAAGGAAGTTTCTCACATTGCTTCTGTCTAGATTTTATGTGAGGATATTTCCTTTTCTAACTTAGGCTGCAAAGCGCTTCAAATGCCCACTTACAGAATCTACAAAAATAGTGCTTCCATAATTCTTAATCAAAATAAAGGTTCAACTCTGTGAGATGAACGCACACATCACAAAGAAGTTTCTCAGAATTCTTCTCTCTAGTTTTTATGTGAAGATATTTCCTTTTCCACCATAGGCCTCAAAGCACTCCAAATGTTCACTTGCAGATTCTACAAAAAAAGAATTTCAAAACTGCTCAATCAAAAGAATGCGTTAACTCTGTGAGATGAATGCACACATCACAAAGAGGTTTCTCACATTGGTTCTGTCTAGATTTTATGTGAAGATATTTCCTTTTATAACATAGGCAACAAAGCACTCCAATAGGCCACTTGCAGATTCTACGAAAAGAGTGTCTGCAAACTGCTCAATCAAAAGGAAGTTTTAACTCTGTGAGAAGAACGCACACATCACAAAGAAGTTTCTCAGAATTCTTCTGTCTAGTTTTTATGTGAAGATATTTCCTTTCCCACTGTAGGCCTCAAAGCACTCAAAATGTCCACTTGCAGATTCTACAAAAAGAGAGCTTCAAAACTACTCAACCAAAAGAAAGGTTTAACTCTCTGAGATGAATGCACGTATCACAAAGAAGTTTCTGAGATTGCTTCTGTCTAGATTTTATGTGAAGATATTTCCTTTTCTACCATAGGCAACAAAGCACTCCAATAGTCCACTTGCAGATTCTACAAAAAGAATGTTTCTAAACTGCTCAATCAAAAGGAAGGTTCAACTTTGTGAGATAAACGCATACATCACAAAGGAGATTCTCAGAATTCTTCTGTCAAGTTTTTATGTGAAGATATTTCCTTTTCCACCATAGGCCTCAAAACGATCCAAAAGTCCACTTGAAGATGCTACAAAAAGAGAGTTTCAAAACTGCTCAGTCAAAAGAAAGGTTCAACACTGCGAGATGAATGCACACATCACAAAGAAGTTTCTCAGATTGCTTCTGTCTGGATTTTATGTGAAGGTATTTCCTTTCCTAGCATTGGCAGCAAAGCGATCCAAATGTCCACTTGCAGAATCTCCAAAAAGAGTGTTTCCAAACTGCTGAATCAAAAGAAAGTTTCAACTATTTGAGTTGAAGGCACACATCACAAAGAAGATTCTGAGAATACTTCTGTCTAGTTTTTATGTGAAGATATTTCCTTTTCCACTATAGGCCCAAAAGCGCTACAAAAGTCCACTAGCGGATTCTACAAAAAGAGTGTTTCAGAACTTCTCAATCAAAAGAAAGCTTTAACTCTGTGAGTTGAATGTACACATCACAAAGAAGTTTCTGAGAATGCTGCTGTCTAGATTTTATGTGAAGATATTCCCGTTTCCAAGGAGGGCCTCAAGGGGTACCTAATATCCACTTGCAGATTCTACTAAAGGAGTGTTTCAAAACGACTCTATGATAAGGTATGTTCCACTCTGTGAGTTGAAGGCAAACATCAAAAAGAAGTTTCTGAGAATGCTTCTCTCTAGTTTAGATCGGAAGATATTTCCTTTTCCACTATTGGCCTCAAAGTGTTCCAAGTGTCCACTTGCAGATTCTACAAAAAGAGTGTTTCAAAACTGTTCTATCAAAAGAAAGTTTCTACTCTGTGAAGTGAATGCACACATTACAAACAAGTTTCTGAGAATGCTTCTCTCTAGTTTTTATGTGAAGATATTCCCGTTTCCAACGAAGGCCTCAAAGCAGTCCAAATTTCCACTAGCATATACTACAAAAAGAGTGTTTGAAAACTGCCCCATGAAAATGAATATTCAACTCTGTGAGTAGAATGCAAACATCACAAAGAAGTTTCTGAGAATGCTTCTGCCTAGTTTTTATGTGAAGATATTTCCTTTCCCACCATAGGCCTCAAAGCGCTCCAAATGTCCACTTACAGATTCTACAAAAAGAGTGTTTCAAACCTGCTCTATCAAAAGAAAGGTTCAACTCAGTGAGTTGAATGCACACAGCACAAAGAAGTTTCTGAGAAATCTTCCGTCTAGTGATTATGTGAAGATATTCCCGTTTCCAACGAAGCCCTCTAACCGGTCCAATTAAACACTTGCAGATTCTACTAAAAGAGTGTTTCAAAACTGCTCTATGATAAGGTTTGTTCAACTCTGTGAGTTGAAGGCAAACATCACAAAGAAGTTTCTGAGAATGCTTCTGTCGTTTACATGGGAAGATATTTTCTTTTCCACTATAGGTATCAAATCGCTGAAATGTCCACTTGCAGAGTCTACAAAAAGACTGTTTTAAACCTGTTCTGTCAAAAGAAAGTTTCAACTCTGTGAGTTGAATGCACACAGCACAAAGAAGTTTCTGAGAAAGCTTCTGTCTAGTGTTTATGTGAAGATATTCCCGTTTCCAAGGAATGCCTCAAAGCGGTCCAAATATCCACTTGCAGATTCTACTAAAAGAGTGACTCAAAACTGCTCTATGGTAAAGTATTATCAGTTCTGTGAGTTGAATGCACACATCACAAAGACGTTTCTGAGAATGCTTCTGTCTAGTTTTTCCGTGAAGATATTTCCTTTTCCACTATAGGCCTCAAAGCGTTCCAAATGTCCACTTGCAGATTCTGCAAAAAGCAGATTCTACAAAAAGAGTGTTTCAAAACTGCCCTATCGAAAGAAATGTTCAACCCTGTGAGTTGAATGCACACATCAAAAAGAAGTTTCTGAGAATGTTTCTGTCTAGTTTTTATATGAAGATATTCCCGTTTCCAAGGAATGCCTCAAAGCGGTCCAAATATCCACTTGCAGATTCTACTAAAAGAGTGACTCAAAACTGCTCTATGGTAAAGTATTATCAGTTCTGTGAGTTGAATGCACACATCACAAAGACGTTTCTGAGAATGCTTCTGTCTAGTTTTTCCGTGAAGATATTTCCTTTTCCACTATAGGCCTCAAAGCGTTCCAAATGTCCACTTGCAGATTCTGCAAAAAGAGTGTTTCAAACCTGCTCTATCAAAAGAAAGGTTCAACTCTGTGAGTTGAATGCACACATCACAAAGAAGTTTCTGAGAATGCTTCTGTCTAGTTTTTCCGCGAAGATATTTCCTTTTACATCATAGGCCTCAAAGTTCTCCAAATGTCCCCTTGCAGATTATACAAAAAGAATGTTTCAAAACAGCTCTATCAAAAGAAACGTTCAACAATGTGAGTTGAATGCACACATCACAAAGAAGCTTCCGAGAATGCTTCTGTCTGGTTCTTATGTGAAGATATTTCTTTTTCCACAATAGGCATCAAAGCTCTCCAAATGTCCAGTTGCAGATTCTACAAAAAGAGTGTTTCAAAACTGATCTATCAAAAGAAAGGGTCAACTCTGTGAGTTGAATGCACACATCACAAAGAAGTTTCTGAGAATGCATCTGTCTAGTTTTTATGTGAAGACATTCCCGTTTCCAACGAAGGCCTCAAAGCAGTCCAAATATCCACTAGGAGATTCTACAACAACAATCTGTCAAAACTGCTCCATGAAAACGTGTGTGCAACTCTGTGAGTTGAATGCAAACATCACAAAGAAGTTTCTGAGAATGCTTCTGTCTAGTTTTTATGTGAAGATATTTCCTCTTCCACCATAGGCCTCAAAGCCTTCCAAAGGTCCACTTGCAGATTCTACAAAAAGAGTGTTTCAAACTTGGTCTATCAAAAGAAAGGTTCAACTCTGTGAATTGAATGTACACGTCAGAAAGAAGTTTCTGAGAATGCCTCTGTCTAGTGTTTATGTGAAGATATTCCCTTTTCCTACGAAGGCTTCAAATCGGTCCAAATATCTACTTGCAGGTTATACAAAAAGAGTGTTTCAAAACTGCTCTATGAAAAGGAAGGTTCAACTCTGTGAGTTGAATGCAAACATCACAAAGAAGTTTCTGAGAATGCTTCTATCTAGTTTTTATGTGAAGATATATCTGTTTCCACTGTAGGCCTCAAAGCTCTCCAAATGTCCACATGCAGATACTGCAAAAAGAGTGTTTCATATCTACTCTATCAAAAGAAAGGTTCAAGTCTGTGAGTTGAATGCACACATCACAAAGAAGTTTCTGAGAATGCTTCTGTCTAGATTTTATGTGAAGATATTTCCTTTACCACCATAGGCCTCAAAGCTCTCCAAATGTCCACTTGCAGATTCAACAAAAAGAGTGTTTCAAAACTGCCCTATCAAACGAAAGGTTCAACTCTGTGAGACGAATGCACACATCACAAAGAAGTTTCTGAGAATGCTTCTGTATAGTTTTAATGTGAAGATATTCCCGTTTCCAACGAAGGCCTCAAAGAAGTCCAAATATCCACTAGCAGATTCTGCAAAAAGAGTGCTTCAAAACTGCTCCATGAAAAGCCATGTTCAACTCTGTGAGCTGAATGCAAACATCACAAAGAAGTTTCTGAGAATGCTTTGTCTAGTTTTTATGTGAAGATATATCCTTTTCCACCATAGGCCTCAAAGCGCTCCAAGAGTCCACTTGCAGATTCTACAAAAAGAGTGTTTCAAACCTGTTCTATCAAAAGA
Organism: Homo sapiens; assembly: GCF_000001405.40. Taxonomy (NCBI): domain Eukaryota; kingdom Metazoa; phylum Chordata; class Mammalia; order Primates; family Hominidae; genus Homo; species Homo sapiens. The sequence continues at coordinate 43,198,352 of NC_000009.12, read as the reverse complement.
AAGGTTCAACTCTGTGAATTGAATGCACACATCACAAAGAAGTTTCAGAAAATGCTTCTGTCTAGTTTTTATGAGAAGATATTCCCGTTTCCAAGGAAGGACTCTAAGTGGTCCAAATATCCACTTGCAGATTCCACTAAAAGAGTGTTTCATAACTGCTCTATGATAAAGTATGTCCAGCTCTGTGAGTTGAATGCAGGCATCACAAAGAAGTTTCTGAAAATGTTTCTGTCTAGTTTTTATGTGAAGATACTTCCTTTTCCAACATAGGCCTCAAAGGGCTCCAAATGTCCACTTGCAGATTCTGCAAAAAGAGTGTTTCAAACCTGCTCTATCAAAAGAAAGGTTCAACTCTATGAGTTGAATGCACACATCACCTTCACAAATAAGTTTCTGAGAATGCTACTGTCTAGTTTTTATGCGAAGATATTTCCTTTTCCACCATATGCCTCAAAGCGCTCCAACTGTTCACTTGCAGATTCTACAAAAAGAGTGTTTGAAACCTGTTCTATCAAAAGAAAGGTTCAACTCTGTGAGTTGAATGCACACAGCCAAAGAAGTTTCGGAGAAAACTTCCGTCTAGTGTTTATGTGAAGATATTCCCGTTTCCAACGAATGCCTCAACGCATTCCAAATATCCACCTGTAAACTCTACAAAAAGAGTGTTTCAAAACTGTTCTATCAAAAGAAAGTTTCAACTCTATGAGTTGAATGTACACATCACAAGAAGTTTCTGAGGATGCTGCTGTCTAGTTTTTATGTGAAGATATTCCCATTTCCAACGAAGCCTTCAAAGCGATCCAAATATCCACTTGCAGATTCTACTAAAAGAGTGTTTCAAAACTGCTCTATCATAAGGTATGTTCAACTCCGTGAGTTGAAGGCAAACATCACAAAGAAGTTTCTGAGAATTCTTCTCTCTAGTTTTATGGGAAGATATTTGTTTTTCCACCATAGGCCTCAAAGCGCTCCAAATGTCCCCTTGCAGATTCTACAAAAAAAGTGTTTCAAACCTGCTCTATCAACAGAAAGGATCAACTCTGTGAGTTGAATGCACACAGAACAAAGAAGTTTCGGAGAAAGCTTCTGTCTAGTGATTATGTGAAGATATTCCCGTTTCCAACGAAGGCCTCAAAGCGGTCCAAATATCCACTTGCAGATTCTACTAAAAGAGTGTTTCAAAACTGCTCTATTATTAAGTATCTTCAAGTCTCTGAGTTGAATGCAAGCAGCACACAGAAGTTTCTGAGAATACTTCTGTCTAGTTTTTATGTGAAGATATTTCCTTTTCCACCATAGGCTTCAAAGCACTCCAAATGTCCACTTCCAGATTCTGCAAAGAGTGTTTCAAACCTGCTCTATCAAAAGAAAGGTTTAACTCTGTGAGTGGAATGCACACATCACAAAGATGTTTCTGAGAATTCTTCTGTCTATTTTTTATGTGAAGATATTTCCCTTTCCACCATTGACCTCAAAGCACTTTAAATGTCCAGTTACAGATTCTACAAAAGTGTGTTTCAAACCTGCTCTATGAAAAGTAAGGTTCAATTCTGTGATTTTAATCCACACAGGACAAAGAAGTTTCAGAGAAAGCTTCTGTCTAGTGATTATGTGAAGATATTCCCGTTTCCATCGAATGCCTCAAAGTGGTCCAAATATCCATTGCAGATTCTACAAAAAAAGTGTTTCAAAAGTGCTCTATGAAAAGGAAGTTTCAGCTCTGTGAGTTGAATGCAAACATCACAAAGAAGTTTCTGAGAATGCTTCTGTCTAGTTTTTATGTGAAGATATTTTTTTCCACCACAGGCCTCAAAGCTCTCCAAATGTCCATTTGCACATTCTATAAAATGAGTGTTTCAAACCTGCTCTTTGAAAAGAAAGTTTCAACTCTGTGAGTTGAATGCACTCATCACAAAGAAGATTATGAGAATGCTTCTGTTGAATGTTTATGTGAAGATATTCCCGTTTCCAACGAAGACCTCTAAGAGGTCCAAATATTCACTTGCAGATTCTACTAAAAGAGTTTTTCAAAGCTGCTCTATGATAAAATGTGTCCAATTCTGTGAGTTGAATACAAATATTACAAATAATTTCTGAGAATGCTTCTGTCTAGTTTTTTTGTGAAGATATTTCCTTTTCAACCACAGGCCTCAAAGCGCTTCAAATGTCCACTTGTAGATTCTGCAAAAAGAGTGTTTCAAAACTGCTCTATCAAAAGAAAGGTTCATCTCTGTGAGTTGAATGCACACATCATACAGAAGTTTCTGAGAATGCTGCTGTCTAGTTTTTATGTGAAGATATTCCCGTTTGCAACGAAGGCCTCAAAGCGTTCCAAATATCCACTTGCAGATTCTACTAAAAGAGTGTTTCAAAACTGCTCTATAAGATATCTCCCACTCCGTGAGTTGAAGGCAAACATCACAAAGAAGTTTCTGAATGCTTCTCTCTTGTTTTTATGGGAAGATATTTCTTTTTCCACCATAGGCCTCAAAGTGCTCCAAATGTCCATTGCAGATGCTACAGAAAGAGTGTCTCAAACCTGCTCTATCAAAAGAAAGCTTCAACTCTGTCAGTTGAATGCACACATCAGAAAGAAGATTCTGAGAGTGCTTCTGACTAGTTTTTATGTGAAGATATTTCCTTTTCCACCATAGGCCCCAAAGGGTTCCAAATGTCCACTTGCATATTCTGCAAAAAGAGTGCTTCAAACTTGCTCTATCAAAAGAAAGGTTCAACTCTGTGAGTTGAAGGCACAGATCACAAACAAGTTACTGAGAATGCTTCTGTCTAGTTTTTATGTAATGATATTCCCGTCTCCAATGAAGGCCTCAAAGCAGTCCAAATATCCACAAGCAGATTCTACAAAAAAAGTGTTTCAAAACTGCACCATGAAAAGGTATGTTCAACTGTTTGAGTTGAATGCAAACATCACAAAGAAGTTTCTGATATTGCTTCTGTCTAGTTTTTATGTGAAGATACCTCATTTTCCACATAGGCCTCAAAGCTCTCCAAATGTCCACTTTCAGATTCTAGAAAAACTGTTTCAAACCTGCTCTATCAAAAGAAAGGTTCAACTCTGTGAGTTGAATGCACACATCACAAAGAAGTTTCTGAGAATGCTTCTGTCTAGTTTTCATGTGAAGATATTTCCTTTTCCACCATAAGCCTCAAAGTTCAGAAATGTCCACTTGCAGATTCTACAAAAAGAGTGTTTCAAAACTGCCCTATCGAAAGAAATGTTCAACCCTGTGAGTTGAATGCACACATCAAAAAGAAGTTTCTGAGAATGTTTCTGTCTAGTTTTTATATGAAGATATTCCCGTTTCCAAGGAATGCCTCAAAGCGGTCCAAATATCCACTTGCAGATTCTACTAAAAGAGTGACTCAAAACTGCTCTATCTGTGAGTTGAAGGCACAGATCACAAACAAGTTACTGAGAATGCTTCTGTCTAGTTTTTATGTAATGATATTCCCGTCTCCAATGAAGGCCTCAAAGCAGTCCAAATATCCACAAGCAGATTCTACAAAAAAAGTGTTTCAAAACTGCACCATGAAAAGGTATGTTCAACTGTTTGAGTTGAATGCAAACATCACAAAGAAGTTTCTGATATTGCTTCTGTCTAGTTTTTATGTGAAGATACCTCATTTTCCACATAGGCCTCAAAGCTCTCCAAATGTCCACTTTCAGATTCTAGAAAAACTGTTTCAAACCTGCTCTATCAAAAGAAAGGTTCAACTCTGTGAGTTGAATGCACACATCACAAAGAAGTTTCTGAGAATGCTTCTGTCTAGTTTTCATGTGAAGATATTTCCTTTTCCACCATAAGCCTCAAAGTTCAGAAATGTCCACTTGCAGATTCTACAAAAAGAGTGTTTCAAAACTGCCCTATCGAAAGAAATGTTCAACCCTGTGAGTTGAATGCACACATCAAAAAGAAGTTTCTGAGAATGTTTCTGTCTAGTTTTTATATGAAGATATTCCCGTTTCCAACGAATGCCTCAAAACAGTCCAAATATCCACTAGCAGATTCTACAAAAAGAGTGTTTCAAAACTGCTCTATGATAAATTATGTTCAACTCTGTGAGTAGTTGAATGCAAACATCACAAAGAAGTTTCTGAGAATGCTTCTGTCCAGTGTTTATGTGAAGATATACCCCATTCCAACAAAGGCCTCAAAGCTCTCCAAATTTCCACTTGCAGGATCTACAAAAAGAGTGTTTCAAAACTGCTCTATGAAGTGGTATGTTCAACTCTGTGAGTTGAATGCAAACATCACAAAGAAGTTTCTGAGAATACTTCTGCCTAGTTTTTATGGGAAGATATTTCCTTTTCCACCATAGGCCACAAAGCGCTCCAAATATCCACCTGCAGATTCTACAAAAAGAGTGCTTCAAACCTGCTCTATCAAAAGAAAGGTTCAATTCTGTGAGTTGAAGGCACACATCACAAAGAAGTTTGTGAGAATGCTTCTGTCTAGTGTTTATGTGAAGATATTCCCATTTCAAACGAAGGCCTCAAAGCAGTACAAATATCCACTTGCAGATACTACAAAAAGAGTGTTTCAAAATTGATCTATCAAAAGAAATTTTCAACTCTGTTAGTTGAATGTACACATCACAAAAAGTTTCTTAGAATGCTGCTGTTTAGTTTTTATGTGAAGATATTCCCATTTCCAGCGAAGGCCTCAATGCGGTCCAAATATCCACTTGCAGATTCTTCTAAAAGAGTGTTTAAAAACTGCTCTATCAAAAGAAAGTTTCAACTCGGTGAGCTGAATGTACACATCACAAACAAGTTTCTGAGAATGATGCTGTCTAGTTTTTATTTGAAGATATTCCTGTTTCCAATGAAGGCCTCAAGGCGTTCCAAATATCCACTTGCAGATTCTACTAAAAGAGTGTTTCAAAACAGCTCTATGATAAGATATGTTCAACTCTGTGAGTTGAATGCAAACATCACAAAGAAATTTCTGAGAAAGCTTCTAGCTAATTTTTATGGGAAGATATTTCCTTTTCCACCATAGGCCTCAAAACACTTTAAATGTCCAGTTACAGATTGTACAAAAAGTGTGTTTCAAACCTGCTGTATGAAAAGTAAGGTTCAACTCTGTGATTTTAATGCACACAGCACAAAGAAGTTTCAGAGAACCCTTGTCTAGTGATTATGTGAAGATATTCCCGTTTCCATCGAATGCCTCAAAGCGGTCCAAATATCCCCTTCAGATTCTACTAAAGGAGTGCATCAAAAGTGATCTATGAAAAGGAAGTTTCTACTCTGTGAATTAAATGCAAATATCAAAAAGAAGTTTCTGAGAGTGCTTCTGTCTAGTTTTTAAGTGAAGATATTTCCTTTTCCACCATAGGCCACAAAGCTCTCCAAATGTCCACTTGGAGATTCTACAAAACGAGTGTTTCCAACCTGCTCTATCAAAAGAAAGGTTCAGATCTGTGAGCTGAATGCACACATCACAAAGAAGTTTCTGAGAATGCCTCTGTCTAGTACTTATGTGAAGATATTCCCGTTTCCAACAAAGGCCTCAAAACTGTCCAAATATCCACTTGCAGATTTTACAAAGAGTGTTTCAAAAGGCTCTATGAAATGGTATGTTCAACTCTGTGAGTGGAATGTGAACATCACAAAGAAGATTCTGAGAATTCTTCTGTCTCATTTTTATATAAAGATATTTCCTTTTCCACAATAGACCTCAAAGCTCTCCAAATGTCCACTTGCAGATTCTACAAAAAGAGTGTTTCAATCCTGCTCTATCAAAAGAAAGGTTCATCTCTGTGAGTTGAATGCACACATCACAAAGAAGTTTCTGAGAATACTTCTGTCTAGTGTTCATGTGAATATCTTCCTGCTTCCAATGAAGGCCTCAAAGTGGTCCAAATATCCTCTTGCTGATTCTAAAAAAAGAGTGTTTCAAACATGCCCTATCAAAAGAAAGGTTCAACTCTGTGCGTTGAATGTACACATTACAAAGAAGTTTCTGAGAATGCTCCTGTCTAGTTTTTATGTGAAGATATTCTCATTTCCAACGAAGGCCTCAAAGCATTCCAAATATTCACTTGCAGATTCTACTAAAGAGTGTTTCAAAACTGCTTTATCATAAGATATGTTCAACTCTGTGAGTTGAATGCAAACATCACAAAGAAGTTTCTGGGAATACTTCTGTCTAGTTTTTATGTGAACATATTTCCTTTTCCACCATAGGCCTCAAAGTGCTCCAAAGGTTCACTTACGGATTCTACAAAAACAGTGTTTCAAACCTGCTCTGTCAAAAGAAAGGTTCAACACTGTGAGTTGAATGCACACAACACAAAGAAGTTTCTGAGAATGCTTCTGTTTAATTTTTATATAAGGATATTCCCATTTCCAATGAAGGCCACTAAATGGTCAAAATATCCACTTGTAGACTCTACTAAAAGAGTGTATCAAAACTGCTCTATGATAAAGTATGTCCAACTCTGTGAGTGGAATGCTAACATCACAAGTTTCTGAGAATGTTTCTGTCTAGTTTTTATGTGAAGATATTTCCTTTTCCACTATAGGTCTCAAAGCGCTTCAAATGTCCATTTGCAGATTCGGCAAAAAGAGTGTTTCAAACCTGCCCTATCAAAAGAAAGATTCAACTCTGTGAGTTGAATTCGCACGTCACAAAGAAGTTTCTGAGAATGCTTCTGTCTAGTGATTATGTGAAGATATCCCATTTCCAATGAATGCCTCGAAGCAGTCCAAATATGCAGTTGCAGATTCTACAAGAAGAGTGTTTCAAAACTGCTCTATCAAAAGAAAGGTTCAACTCTGTGAGTTGAATGTACACATCACAAAGAAGTTCCTGAGAATGCTTCTCTCTAGTTTTTATGTGAAGATGTACCCGTTTCCAACGAAGGCCTCAAGGCTTTCCATATATCCACTTGCAGATTCTACTAAAAGAGTGTTTCAAAACTGCTCTATGATAAGGTATGTTCAACTCTGTGCGTTGAAGGCAAACATCACAAAGAAGTTTCTGAGAATGCCTCTTTCTATTTTTTATGGGAAGATATTTATTTTTCCACCATAGGCCTCAAAGCACTTCAAATGTCCACTTGCAGATTCTGCAAAAAGAGTGTTTCAAACCTGCCCTATCAAAAGAAAGGTTCAACTCTGTGAGTTGAATTCGCACGTCACAAAGAAGTTTCTCAGAATTCTTCTGTCTAGTTTTTATCTGAAGATACTTCCTTTTCCACCATAGACCTCAAACTGCTCCAAATATACACTTGCAGATTCTACAAAAAGAGAGTTTCAAAAGTGCTCAATCAAAAGAAATGTTTAACTCTGTGAGATGAATGCACACATCATAAAGTACTTTGTCAGACTGCTTTTATCTAGATTTTCTGTGAAGATATTTCCTTTTCTACGAGAGGTCACAAAGTGCTCCAAATGTCCACTTGCATATTCTACAAAAAGAGTGCTTCCAAACTGCTCAATCAAAAGAAAGGTTCAACTCTTTGAGATGTATGCACAAGTCACAAAGAAGTTTCTCAGAATTTTTCTGTCTAGTTTTTATGTGAAAATATTTACTTTTCCACCATAGGCCTCAAAGCGCTCCAAATGTCCACTTGCAGATTTTACAAAAAGAGAGTTTCAAGACAGCTCAATCAAAAGAAAGTTTTAACTCTGTGAGATGAATGCACACATCACAAAGAAGTTTCTCAGATTCATTCTATCTAGATTTTATGGGAATATATTTCCTTTTCTAACATAGGCTGCAAAGCGCTCCAAATGTCCACTTGCAGATTCCACAAAAAGAGTGTTTCCAAACTGCTTAATCAAAAGAAAGGTTCAACTCTGTGAGATAAACGCATGCATCACAAAGAAGTTTCTCCAAATTCTTCTGTGTAGTTTTGATGTGAAAATATTTCCTTTTCCTCCACAGGCCTCAAAGCGCTCCAAATGTTAACTTGCAGATTCTACAAAAAGAGAGATTCAAAACTGCTCAATAAAAACAAAGGCTTAACTCTTTGAGATCTGTGCACACATCACAAAGAAGTTTCTAAAAATGCTTCTGTCTAGTTTTTATGTGAAGATATTTCGTTTTCCACCGTAGGCCTCAAAGCGCTCCAAATGTCCACTTGCACATTCAACAAAAAGAGAGTTTCAAAACTGCTCAATCAAAAGTAAGAGTTAACCCTGTGAGATGAATGCACACATCCCAAAGAAGTTTCTCAGATTGCTCCTGTCTAGATTTTATGTGGAGCTATTTCCTTCTCTAACATAGGCTGCAAAGCACTCCAAATGCTCACTTAGAGAATCTACAAAAAGAGTGTTTCAAAAATTCTCAATCAAAAGAAATGTTCAACTCTGTGAGATGAATGCACACATCACAGAGAAGTTTCTTAGAATTCTTCTGTCTAGTCTTTATGTGAAAATATTCCCTTTCCCACTGTAGGCCTCAAAGCACTCAAAATGTCCACTTGCAGATTCTACAAAAAGAGAGCTTCAGAACTACTCAATGAAAAGAAAGGTTTAACTCTGTGAGATGAATGCACATATCACAAAGAAGTTTCTGAGATTGCTTCTGTCTAGATTTTATGTGAAGATACTTCCTTTTCTACCAGAGGCACTAAAGCACTCCAAAAGTCCACTTGCAGATTCTACAAAAAGAACGTTTCTAAATTGCTCAATCAAAGGGAAGGTTCAACTTTGTGAGATAAACGCATACATCACAAAGGAGATTCTCAGAATTCTTCTGTCTAGTTTTTATGTGAAGATATTTCCTTTTCCACCATAGGCCTCAAAACGATCCAAATGTCCACTTGCAAATTCTACAAAAAGAGTGTTTCAAAACTGCTCAGTCAAAAGAAAGGTTGAAATCTGTGAGATGAATGCACACATGCCAAAGAAGTTTCTCAGATTCCTTCTGCCTAGATTTTTTGTGAAGATATTACCTTTTCTACCATAGTCTGCATAGTGCAGCAAATGTCCACTTGCAGAATCTCCAAAAAGAGTGTTTCCAAACTGCTGTATCAAAAGAAAGTTTCAACTCTTTGAGATGAAGGCACACATCACAAAGAAGTTTCTCAGAATTCTTCTGTCTAGTTTTTCTGTGAAGATATTTCCTTTTCCACTATAAGCCCAAAAGCGCTACAAATGTCCACTTGCGGATTCTACAAAAAGAGAGTTTCAAAACTTCTCAGTCAAAAGAAAGTTTTAACTCTGTGAGATGAATACACACATCACAAAGAAGTTTCTTAGATTGCTTCTGACTAGATTTTATGTGAAGATATTTCCTTTTCTACCATTGGCCGCAAAGTGCTCCAAATGTCCATTTGAAGATTCTACAAAAAGAGTGTTTCTAAACTGCTGAAGCAAAAGAAAGGTTCAAATCTGTGAGATAAACACACACATCATGAAGAAGTTTCTCAGAATTCTTGTCTAGTTTTTATGTGGAGTTATTTCCTTTTCCACCATAAGCCTCTAAGTGCTCCAAATTTCCACTACCACATTCTACAAAAAGAGAATTTGAAAACTGATCAATCAAAAGAAAGGTTTAACTCTGTGAGATGAATGCACAAAACACAAAGAAGTTTCTCAAATTGCTTCTGTCTAGATTTTATGTGAAGATATTTCCTTTTCTACCAAAGGCCGCAAAGTGCTCAAAATGTCTCCTTGCAGATTCTACAAAAAGATTGTTTCCAAACTGCTCAATCAAAACAAAGGTTCCACTCGGTGAGATGAACACGTGCATCACAAAGAAGTTTCTCAGAATTCTTCTGTCTAGTTATTATGTGAACATATTTCCTTTTCCACCATAGGCCACTAAGCGCTCCAAATGTCCACTTGCAGATTCTACAAAAAGAGTGTTTCCTAACTGCTCAATCAAAAGAAAGGTTCAACTCTGTGAGATGAACACACACATTACAAAGAAGTTTCTCAGAATTCTCCCGTCTACTTTTTATGTGAAGATATTTCCTTTTTCACCGTAGGCCTCAAAGTGCTGCAAATGTCCACTTACAGATTCTCCAAAAACAGAGTTTCAAAACTCCTCAATCAAAAGAAAGGTGTAACTCTTTGAGGTGAATGCATACATCACAAAGAAGATTCTGAGATTGCTTCTGTCTAGATTTTATGTGAAGATATTTCCTTTCCTGCCATAGGCCACAAAGCACTCCAAATGTCCATTTGCAGATTCTACAAAAAGTGTTTTCATAATGCTCAATTAAAAGATAGTTTCAATTTTGTGAGATGAGTGCACACATCAGAAAGAAGTTGCTCAAAATTCTTCTATCTAGTTTTTATGTGAAGTTATTTCATTTTCCAGCATAGGCCTCAAGGCACTTGAAATGTCCACTTCCAGATTCTACAAAAACGGCATTTCAAAACTGGTCCATCAAAAGAAAATTTCAAATTTGTGAGATGAATGCCCACATCACAGAGAAGTTTCTCAGAGTGCTTCTGTCTAGTTTTTATGTGCAGATATTTCTTTTTCCACCATTGGCCTCAAGGCACTTGAAATGACCACTTGCAGATTCTACAAAAAGAGTATTTCAAAACTGGTCCATCAAAAGAAAAGTGCAACTCTTGAGATGAATCTACACATCACAAAGAAGTTTCTAAGAATGCTTCTATCTAGTTTTTATGTGAAGATATTTCCTTTTCCACCATAGGCCCCAAAGTGCTCCAAAAGTCCACTTGAAGATGCTACAAAAAGAGAGTTTCAAAACTGCTCAATCAAAAGAAAGGTTCAACACTGCGAGATGAATGCACACATCACAAAGAAGTTTCTCAGATTGCTTCTGTCTAGATTTTATGTGAAGGTATTTCCTTTCCTAGCATTGGCAGCAAAGCGATCCAAATGTCCACTTGCAGATTCTACAAAAAGATTGTTTCAAAACTGCTCAATCAAAAGAAAGTTTCAGCTCTGTGAGATGTATGCCCGCATCACAATGAAGTTTCTCAAAATTCTTCTGTCTAGTTTTTATATGAAGATATTTCCTTTTCCACCTTAGGCCTCATGGCACTCGAAATGTCCACTTGTAGATTCTACAAAAAGCGTATTTCAAAACTGGTCCTTCAAAAGAAACATTCAACTCTAGGAGATGAATGCGCACATCACACAGAACATTCTGAGATTGTTTCTGTCTAGATTTTATGTGACGATATTTCCTTTTCTACCATAGGCTGCAAAGGGCTCCAAATGTCCACTTGCAGATTCTACAAAAAGAGTGGTTCCAAATTGTTCAATCAAAAGAAAGATTTAACTCTGTGAGATGATCGCATGCATCAAAAAGAAGTTTCTCAGAATTCTTCTGTCTAGTTTTTATGTGAATATATTTCCTTTTCCAACACAGGCCTCAAAGTGCTGCAAATGTCCACTTGCAGATTTTACAAAAAGAGAGTTTCAAAACTTCTCAATCAAAAGAAAGGTTTAACTCTGTGAGATGAATGCACACATCACAAAGAGGTTTCACAGATTGCTTCTGTGTAGATTTTATGTGAAGATATTTCCTTTTCTACCATAGGCCGCAAAGCACTCCAAATGTCCACTTGTAGTTTCTACAAAAAGAGTGTTTCCAAACTGCTGAATTAAAAGAAAGGTTCAACTCTGTGAGATGAACGCAAGCATCACAAAGAAGTTTCTCAGAATACTTCTGTCTAATTTTTATGTGAAGATATTTGATTTTCCATCATTGGCCTCAAGGAACTTGAAATGTCCACATGAAGATTCTACGAAAAGAGGATTTCAAAAATGCTCCAACAAAAGAATGGTTTATCTCTGGGAGATGAATGCACACACAACAAAGAAGTTTCTCAGAGTGCTTCTATCTAGTTTTTATGTGAAGATATTTCCTTTTCCACCATAGGAGTCAAAGCGCTAAAAATGTCCACCTGCAGATTATATAAAAAGAGAGTTTCAAAACTGCACAATCAGAAGGAAGGTTTAACTCTGTGAGATGAATGCATACATCACAAGGAAGTTTCTCTGATTGCTCCTGTCTAGATTTTATGTGAATATATTTCCTTTTCAACAGTAAGCTGCAAAGCACTACGAATGTCCACTTGCAGATTCTACAAAAACAGTGTTTCCATACGCTCGATCAAAAGAAAGGTTCAACTCTGTGAGATGAAAGAAGTTTCTCAGAATTCTTCTGTCTAGTTTTCATGTGAAGGTATTTCCTTTTCCACCATAGGCCTCAAGATGCTCCATATGTCCACTTGCAGATTCTACAAAAGGAGAGTTTCAAAACTGCTCAAACAAAAAAAAATGGTTCAACTCTGTGAGATGAAAGCACACATCACAAAGAAGTTTGTCAGATTGCCTCTGTCTACATTTTATATGAAGATATTTCTTTTTCTACAATAGGCTGCAAAGCACTCGAAATGTCCACCAGCAGATTCTACAAAAAGAGTGTTTCCAAACTGCTCAGTCAAAGAAAGTTTCAAATCTGTGAGATGAACGCACACATCACAAAGAAGTTTCTCAGAATTCTTCTGCCTAATTTTTATGTGAAGATATTTCCTTTTCCACCATAGGCCTCAAAGCACTCCAAATTCAACTCTGTGAGATGAACGCACCTATCACAAAGAAGTTTCCCAGAATTCTTCTGTCTAATTTTTATGTGAAGATATTTCCTTTTCTACTGTAGGCCTCAGAGCACTCCAAATGTCCACTTGCAGATTCTACAAAAAGAGAGATTCAAAACTGCTCAATCAAAAGAAAGGTTTAAGTGTGTAAGATGAATGCACACATCACAAAGATGTTCCTCAGATTGCTTCTGTCTAGCTTTTATGTGAAGATACTTCCTTTTCAACCATCGGCCTCAAAGTGCTCTAAATGTCCACTTGAAGATACTACAAAAAGATAGTTTCAATACTGCTCCATCAAAAGAAAGGCTTAATTCTGTGAGATAAAGGCACACATCTCAAAGAAGTTTCTCAGAATTCTTCTGTCTAGTTTTTATGTGAAGACATTTCATTTTCCACTGTAGGCATCAAGTCTCTTTAGATGTCCAATTGCAGATTCTACAAAAAAGAGTATTTCAAAGCGGGTCCATCAAAAGAAAGATTCAACTCTGGGAGATAAATGCACACATCACAAAGAAGTTTCTCATAATGCTTCTATCTAGTTTTTATGTGAAGATATTTCCTTTTCCACCATAGTCCTCAAAGTGCTCCAAATGTCCACTTGCAGATTCTACAAAAAGTGAGTTTCAAAACTGCTCAATGAAAAGAAAAATTTAACTCTGTGAGATGAATGCATACATCACAAAGAAGTTTCTCAGATTGCTTCATCTAGATTTAATGTGAAGATATTTCCTTTTCTACCATAGACAACAAAGTGCCCCAAATGTCCACTTGCAGATTCTACAAAAACAGTGTTTCTAAACTGCTGAATCAAAAGAAATGTCTAACTCTGTGAGATGAACGCACACATCACAACGTAATTTTTCAGAATTTCTCTGTCTAGTTTTTATTTGAAGGTATTACCTTTTCCACACTAGGCCTCAAAGCGCTCCAAATGTCCACTTGCAGATTCCACAAAAAGAGAGTTTCTAAACTGCTCTATCAAAAGAAACGTTTATCTCTGTGAGATGAATGCACACATCACAAAGAAGTATCTCAGACGGCTTCTGTCTAGATATTATGTAAAGATGTTTCCTTTTCTACCATAGGACACAAAGCACTCCAAATGTCCCCTTGCAGATTCTGGAAAAAGAGTGTTTCCGAACTGCTCAATCAAAAGAAAGTTTCAACTCTGTGAGATGAACGCACACATCACCAAGAAGTTTCTCAGAATTCTTCTGTCTAGTTTTTATGTGAAGATATTTCCTTTTCCACTATAGGCCTCAAAGCACTTCAAATGTCCACTTGCAGATTCTACAAAAAGAGAGTTTCAAAACAGCTCATTCAAAAGAAAGGTTTAACTCTCTGAGATGAATTCAGACATAACAAAGATGTTTCTCAGACTGATTCTGCCTAGATTTTATGTGAAGGTATTTCCATTTCTACCATAGGCTGCAAAACTCTTCAAATGTCCAATTGCAGCTTCTAAAAAAAGGGTGTTTCCAAACTGCTCAGTCAAAAGAAATGTTCAATTCTGTGAAATGAATGCAGGCATCACAAAGAAGTTTCTCAGATAGCTGCTGTCTAGATTTTATGTGAAGAAACTTCCTTTTCTACCACAGGCAGTGAAGCCCTCCAAATGTCCACTTGAAGATTCTTCAAAAAGAGAGTTTCAAAACTGCTCAATCAAAAGAAATGTTTAACTCTGAAAGATGAACACACACATCACAAAGAAGTTTCTCAGAATGCTTTTGTCCAGTTATTATGTAAAGATATTTCGTTAACCACCATATGCCTCAAAGCACTTCAAATGTCCACTTGCAGATTTTATAAAAGAGAGTTTCAAAACTGCTCTATGAAAAGAAAGATTCAACTCTGTGAGATGAATGCACACATCACAAAGAAGTTTGTCAGGTTGCTTCTGTCTAGATTTTATGTGAAGATATTTCCTTTTCTACCATAGCCCACAAAGTGCTCCAAATGTCCACTTGCAGAGTCTACAAAAAGAGTGTTCCCAAACTGCTCAATCAAAAGTAGGATTCAACTCTGTGAGATGAATGCACACATCACAAAAGAGTTTCTCAGAATTCTTCCATCTAGTTTTTATGTGAAGATATTTCCTTTTCCACCACAGGCCTTAAAGGGCTCCAAATGTCCACTTGCAGTTTGTACAAAAAGAGAGATTTAAAATTGCTCCATTAAAAGGAAGGTTTTACTCTGTGAGATGAATGCACACATCACAAAGATGTTTCTCAGATTTCTTCTGTCTAGATTTTATGTGAATATATTTCCTTTTCTACCATAGGCTGCAAAGCACTCCAAATGTCCACTTGAAGATTCTACAAAAAGAGTGTTTCCAAACTGCTCAATTAGAAGAAAGTTTCAACTCTGTGAGATGAACACACACATCATGAAGAAGTTTCCCAGAATTCTTCTGTCTGGTTTTTATGTGAAGATATTTCATTTTCCACCATAGGCCTCAAGGCATTCGAAATGTCCACTTGCAGATTCTACAAAAAGAGTATTTCAAAACTTGTCCATCAAAGAAAGTTTCAACTCTGGGACATGAATGCAAGCATCACAAAGAAGTTTCTGAGAATCCTTCTATCTCGTTTTCTTTGTGAAGATATTTCCTTTTCCAACATAGGCCTCAAATTCCTCCAAATGTCCACTTGCAGATTCTACAAAAAGAGAGTTTCAAAATTCCTCAATCAGTAGAAAGGTTTAACTCTGTGAGATGAATGCACACATCACAAAGAAGTTTCTCAGATTTCTTCTGTCTAGATTTTATTTGAAGTTATTTCCTTTTCTACCATAGGCCATGAAGCACACCATATGTCCACTTGCAGATTGTACAAAAAGCTTGTTTTGCAAACTGCTCAATCAAAAGAAAGATTCAACTCTGTGAGATAAAACCACACAACACAAAGAAATTTCACGTTATTGTTCTGTCTAGATTTTATGTGAAGATATTTCCTTTTACACCATAGGCCTCAAGGCGCTCGAAACGTCCACTTGCAGATTATACAAAAAGAGTATTTCAAAACTGGTCCATTCAAAGAAAGGTTTAACTGTGTGAGATGAATGCACGCATCACAAAGAAGTTTCTCAGGTTGCTTCTGTCTATATTTTATATGAAGATATTTCCTTTTCTAACATAGGCCGCAAAGCGCTCCAAATATCCACTTGCAGAATCTACAAAAGAGTTTCCAAACTGCTCAATCAAAAGAAATCTTCAACTCCATGAGATGAATGCACGCATCAGAAAGAAGTTTCTCAGAATTCTCTCTAGTTTTTATGTGAAGATATTAAGTTTTCCACCATAGGCCTCAAAGCGATCCAAGTGTCCACTTGCAGATACTACAATAAGAAAGTTTCAAAATTGCTCAATCAAAAGAAAGGGTTAACTGTGAGATGAATGCACACACCACAAAGTAGTTTCTCCGATTGCTTCTGTCTAGATTTTATGTGAAGATATTTTCTTTTCTATCATAGGCCGCAAAGTGCTCCAAGTGTCCGCTTGCAGATTCTACAATGAGGGTTTCCAAACTGCTCAATCAAAAGAAAGGTTCAACTCTGTGAGATGAACGCACGCATCACAAGGAGTTTCTCAGAAATCTTCTGTCTAGTTTTTATGTGAAGATATTTCCTTTTCCACCATAGGCCTCAAAGCGCTCCAATGTCCACTTGCAGATTCTCCAAAAAGAGTGTTTCTAAACAGCTCAATCAAAAGAAAGGTTCAACACTGTGAAATAACCGGACACATCACAAAGAAGTTTCTCAGAATTCTTCTGTCTAGTTTTTGTGTGAAGATATTTCCTTTTCCACCACAGGCCTCAAAGGGCTCCAAATGTCCACTTGCAGATTCTACAAAAGAGAGTCTCAAAAATGCTCAATCAAAAGAAAGTTTTAACACTGTGAGATGAATGCACACATCACAAAGAAGTTTCTCAGATTGCTTTTGTCTAGATTTTATGTGAAGATATTTCCTTTTCTACCATAGGCCACAAAGCACTCCAAATGTCCAGTTGCAGATTCTACAAAAATCATGTTTCCAAACTGCTCAATCAAAAGAAAGTTTCAACTCTGTGAGATGAACCCACATATCACAAAGACGTTTCTCAGAATTTTTCTGTCTAGTTTTTATATGAAGATATTTCATTTTCCACCGTAGGTCTCAAGGCACTCGAAATCTCCACTTGCAGATTCTACAAAAAGCGTATGTCAAAACTGATCCATGAATAGAAATGTTCAACTCTTGGAGATAAATGTACACATCACAAAGAAGTTTCTCAGATTGCTTCTGTCTAGATTTTATGTGAAGATATTTCATTTTCTACCAAAGGCCGCAAAGTGCTCCAAATGTCCACTTGCAGATTCTACAAAAAGGGCGTTTCCAACCTGGTCAACCAAAAGAAAAGTTCGCATCACAAAAAAGTTTCTCAGAATTTTTCTGTCTCGTTTTTATGTGAAGATATTTCCTTTTCCACCACAGGCCGCAAAGCACTCAAAATGTCCACTTGCAGACTCTACAAAAATAGAGTTTCCAAACTGCCCCATCAAAAGAAAGCTCTCACTCTGTGAGTTGAATGCACACATCAAAAAGACGTTTCTCAGATTGCTTCTATTAGATTTTATGTGAAGATATTTACTTTTCTACCATAGGCCACAACGTGCTCCAAATGTCAACTTGCAGAATCTACAAAAAGTGTGTTTCCAAACTGCTCTATCAAAATAAAGGTTCAACTCTGCGAGATGAACTCACACATCACAAAGGAGTTTCTCAGAATTCTTCTGTCTAGTTTTTATATGCAGATATTTTCTTTTCCACCATAGGCCTCAAGTGCTCTAGATGCCCACTTGCAGATTCTTCAAAAAGAGAGTTTCAAAACGACTCAATCTAAAGAAAGCTTTACCTCTATGAGATGAATGTACACATCACAAAGTAGTTTCTCAGATTGCTTCTGTCTACATTTTATGTGAAGATATTTTCTTTTCTACCATCGGCCACAAACCACTCCAAATATCCACTTGCAGATTCTACTAAAAGAGTGTTTCCAAACTGCTTAATCAAAACAAAGTTCAACTCTGTGAGATGAACGCACATATCACAAAGAAGTTTCTCAGAATTCTTCTGTCTGGTTTTTATATGAAGATATTCCCTTTTCCTCCATAGGCTTCAAAGCATTCCAAATGTCCACTTGCAGATTATACAAAACGAGAGTTTCAAAACTGCTCAATCAAAAGAAAGGTTTAACTCTGTGAGATGAATGCACACATCACAAAATAGTTTCTCAGATTGCTTCTGTCCAGATTTCATATGAAGTTATTTCCTTTCCTACCATAATCTGCAAAGTGTTCCAAATGTCCCCTTGTGGATGATACAAAAAGAGTGTTTCCAAACTGCTCAATCAAAAGAAAGGTTTAACTCTGTGAGATGAACACACGCATTCTCGAAGAAGTTTGTCAGAATTCTTCTGTCTAGCCTTAATGTGAAGATATTTCCTTTTCCACCATATGCCTCAAAGCACTCCAAATGTCCACTTGCAGATTCTACAAAAAGAGAGTTTCAAAACTGCTCAATCAAAAGAAAGGTTTAACTCTCTGAGATGAATGCAAACATCAGAAAGAAGTTTCTCAGATTGCTTCTGTCTAGATTTTACGAGAGGATAATTCCTTTTATGCCATAGGCCGCAAAGCGCTCCAAATGTCCACATGTATATTCCACAAAAAGAGTGTTTCCAAACTGCTCAAACAAAAGAAAGTTTCCACTCTGTGAGATGAACGCACACATCACAAATAATTTTCTCAGAATTATTCTGTCTAGTTTTTATGTGAAGATATTTGCTTTTCCACCATAGGTCTCAAAGTGCTCCAAATATCCACTTGGAGATTCTACAAAAATAGAGTTTCCAAACCGCCCCATCAGAAGAAAGCTCTCACTCTGTGAGTTGAATCCACACATCAAAAAGAAGTTTCTCAGATTTATTCTGTCTAGATTTTATGTGAAGATATTTCATTTTCTACCATAAGACACAAAGTGCACCAAATGTCCATTTGCAGATTCTACAAAAAGGGTGTTTCCAACCTGGTCAACCAAAAGAAAAGTTCAATTCTCTGAGATGAACGCACGCATCACAAAAAAGTTTCTCAGAATTCTTCTGTCTCGTTTTTGTGTGAAGATATTTCCTTTTCCACCATAGGCTTCAAAGCGCTCCAAAGGTCCACTTGCAGATTCTACAAAAAGAGAGTCTCAAAACTGCTCAATCAAAATAAATGTTTAACTCTGTGAGATGAATGCACAAATCACAGACAAGTTTCTGAGACTCTGTCTGGATTTTATGTGAAGATATTTCCTTTTATACAATAGGCTGCAAAGGACACCAAATATCCACTTGCAGATTCTACAAAAAGAGTGTTTCAAAACTGCTCAATCATAAGAAAAGTTCAACTCTGTGAGCTGAACGCACACATCACAAAACCTTTCTCAGAATTCTTCTGTCTAGTTTTTATGTGAAGATATTTCCTTTCCACCATAGGCCTCAAAGTGCTCCAAAATTCCACTTGCACATTTTACAAAAAGAGAGTTTCAAAAGTGCTCAATGAAAGGAATGGTTCAACTCTGTGAGATGAATGTGCACATCACAATGAAGTTTCTCAGATTGCTTCTGTTAGATTTTATGTGAAGATATTTCCTTTTCCACCATAGGCCTCAAAGCACTCCAAATGTCCACTTCCAGATTCTAAAAAAAGAGTGTTTCCAAACTCCTCAATTGAAAGAACGGTTCAACTCTGTCAGATGAACTCATGCATCACAAAGAAGTTTATCAGAATTCTTCTGTCTAGTTTTTATGTGAAGATAGTTTCTTTTCCACCATAGGCCTAAAAGTGCTCCAAATGTCCACTTGCAGATTCTACTAAAAGAGAGTTTCAAAACTCCTCCATCAAAAGAAATGTTTAACTCTGTTAGATGAAAGCACACATCACAAAGAAGTTTCTCAGATTGCTTCTGTTAGATTTTATGTGAAGATATTTCCTTTTCCACCATAGGCCTCAAAGCACTGCAAATGTCTACTTACAGATTCTACAAAAAGAGTGCTTCGAAACTGCTCAATCAAAAGAAAGGTTCAACTTTGAGAGATGAATGCACACATCTCAAAGAAGTTTGTCGGAATTCTTCTGTCTACTTTTAATGTGAAGATATTTCCTTTTCCACCATACGCCTCAAAGCTTTCCAAATGTCCACTTGCAGATTCTACAAAAAGATAGTTTCAAAACTTCTCAAGCAAAAGAAAAGTTTAACTTTGTGAGATGAATGCACGCATCAGAAAGAAGTTTCTCAGATTGCGTCTGTCGAGATTTTATGTGAAGATATATCATTTTCTACCATAGGTCACAAAGCGGAACAAATGTCCACTTGCCGATTCTACAAAAAAAAGTGTTTTCAAATGCTCAATCAAAAGAAAGGTTCAACTCTGTGAGACGAGTGCACTCATTTCAAAGAAGTTTGTCAGAATTCTTCTGTCTAGTTTTTATGTGAAGATATTTCCTTTTTCACCATAGGCCTCAAAGTGCTCCAAATGTCCACTTGAAGATTCTACAAAAACAGAGTTTCAAAACGGCTCAAACGAAAGGTTTAACTCTGTGAGATGAATGCACGCATCACAAAGAAGTTTCTCAGATTGCTTCTGTCTAGATATTATGTGAAGATACCTCATTTTCTACCATAGGCCAAAGAGCGTACCAAATGTTCACTTGCAGACACTACAAAAACAGAGTATCAAAACTGCTCAATCAAAAGAAAGGTTCAAATCTGTGAGATGAACGCACACATCACAAAATAGTTTCTCAGAATTCTTCTGTCTAGTTTTTTGCGAAGGTATTTCCTTTTCCACCATAGGCCACAAAACGCTCCATATGTCCCCTTGCAAATTCCTCAAAAAGAAAGTTTCAAAACTGCTCAATCAAAAGAAAGGTTTAACTCTGTGAGACGAATGCACACTTCACAAAGAAGCTTCACAGATTGCTTCCGTCTATATTTTATGTGAAGATATTTCCTTTCCTACCATAGGCAGCAAAGCACTCCAAATGTCCACTTGCAGACCCTTCAAAAAGAGTGTTTCAAAACTGCTCAAATAAAAGAAAGATTCAACTCTGTGAGATGAAAGCACAAAAAACAAAGAAGTTTCTCAAAATTTTTCTGTCTAGTTTTTATGTGAAGATATTTCATTTTCCACCATAGACCTTAATGCGCTCGAAATGTCCACTTGCAGATTCCACGAAAAGAGTATTTCAAAACTAGTCCATCAAAAGAAAGGTTCAAACTTGGGAGATGAATGCACACATCACAAAGAAGTTTCACAGAATGCTTCTATCTATTTTTTGTGTGAAGATATTTCCTATTCCACCATAGGCCTCAAAGCGCACCACATGTCCACTTGCAGATATTACAAAAAGAGAGTTTCAAAACTGCTGAATCAAAAGAAAGGTTAAACTCTATGAGATCAATGCACACATCAGAAAGAAGTTTCTCAGATTACTTCTGTCTAGATTTTATATGGAGATAGTTCCTTTTCAACCATAGGCTGCAAAACACACCAAATGTTCACTTGCAGATTCTGCAAAAAGAGTGTTTCCAGACTGCTCAATCATAAGGAAAGTTCAAATGAGATGAAAACACACTTCAAAAAGAAGTTTCTCAGAATTCTTCAGTCTAGATTTTATGTGAAGATATTTCCTTTTCCAACATAGGCCACAAAGTGGTCCAAATGTCCACTTGCACATTCTACAAAAAGAGAGTTTCAAAACTGCTCTATCAAAAGAAAGATTCCACTCTGTGAGATGAACGCAAACATCACAAAGAAGTCTGTCAGAATTCTTCTGTCTAGTTTTTATGTGAAGATATTTCCTTTTCTAGCATAGCCCGCAAAGCTCTCCAAATGTAAACTTGCAGTTTCTACAAAAATTGTGTTTCCAAACTGTTCAATCATAAATAAGGTTTAACTCTGTGAGATGAACGCACACATCACAAAGAAGTTTCTCAGAATTCTTCTATCTAGTTTTAATGTGAAGATATTTCCTTTTCCAGCATAGGTTGCAAAGCGCTCCAAATGTCCACTTACAGATTCTATAAAAAGAGAGTTTCAAAACTGCTCAATTAAAATAAAGGTTTAACTCTGTGAGATGAATGCACACATCACAAAATGTTTCTCAGATTGCTTCTGTCTAGATTTTATATGAACATATTATCTTATCTACCATAGGCCAAAAAGCGCTGCAAATCTCCACTTGCAGGTTCTACAAAAGAGTGTTTCCAAACTGCTCAACCAAAAGAAAGTTTCAACTCTATGGCATGAATATACACATCACAAAGAAGTTTCTCAGAATTCTTCTGTCTATTTTTTATGTGAAGATGTTTCCTTTTCCAACATAGGACTAAAAGCGCTACAAATGTCCAGTTGCAGATTCTACAAAAACAGTGTTTAAACTGCCCAATCAAAAGAAAGTTTCAACGTGTGATATGAACCCACACATCACAAAGAAGTTTCTCAGAATTCTTCTGTCTAGTTTTTATGTGAAGATATTTCCTTTACCACCATAGGCCTCAAAGCGCTCCAAATGTCCACTTGCAGATCCTACAAAAAGAGAGTTTCAAAACTGCTCAATCAAAAGAAAGGCTTAACTCTTTGAAATGAATGCACACATCACAAAAAGTTTCTCATAATGCTTCTGTCTAGATTTTATGTGAAGATATTTCCTTTTCAACCATAAGGCTCAATGCGTTCCAAATGTCCACTTGCAGATTCTACAAAAAGAGTGTTTCCAAACTGCTCAATCAAAAGAAAGTTTCAACTCTGTGAGATAAACGCACGTATAACGCAGGAGTTTCTCAGAATTCTTCTGTCTAGTTTTTATATCAAGATGTTTCGTTTTCCACCATAGGCCTCAAAGCACTCCAAATGTCCACTTGCAGATTATACATAAAGAGAGTTTCACAACTGCTCAAAGGAAATATTTACCTCTGTGAGATGAATGCACACATCACAAGAAAGTTTCTCTGATTGCTTCTGTCTAGATTTTATGTGAAGGTATTTCCTTTTCTAACATAGGCCGCAGAGCGCTCCAAATGTCCACTTGCAGATTCTACAAAAAAAGTGTTTCCAAACTGCTCAATCAAAAGAAAGGTTCAACTCTGTGAGATGAACGCACATATCAGAATGAAGTTTCTCAGAATTCTTCTGTCTAGTTTTTTTTGTGAAGATATTCCTTTTCCATCATAGTTCTCAAAGTGCTATAAATGTCCACTTGCAGATTCAACAAAAAGAGAGTTTCAAAACTGCTGAATCAAAAGAAAGGTTTAACTCTGTGAGATGAATGCACACATCACAAAAAAGTTTCTCAGGTTGCTTCTGTCTAGGTTTTATGTGAAGATATTTCCTTTTCTACCATAGGCTGTAAAGCACTCTAAATGTCCACTTGCAGATTCTACAGAAAGATTGTTTCCAAACTGCTCAATCAAAAGAAAGTTTCAACTCTGTGAGATGAATGCACAGATCACCAAGAAGTTTATCAGAATTCTTCTGTCTAGTTTTTATGGGAAGATGTTTCCTTTTCCACCATAGGCCTAAAAGCGCTCCAAATGTCCACTTGCAGATTTTACAAAAAGAGAGTTTCAAAACTGCTCAATCAAAAAAAAGTTTTAACACTGTGAGATAAATGCACACATCACAAAGAAGTTTCTCAGTATTCTTCTTTCTAGTTTTTATGTGAAGATATTTCTATTTCCACATTGGCCTCAAACCACTCCAAATGTACACTTCCAGATTCTACAAAACAGAGTTTCAAAAATGCTCAATCAAAAGCAATGTTTAACACTGTGAGAAGAATGCACATATCACAAAGAATTATCTCATATTGCTTCTGTCTACATTTTATGTGAAGGTATTTCCTTTTCTACCATAGGCCGCAAAGTGCTCTAAATCTCCATTAGCAGATTCTACAAAACGAGTGTTTCCAAACTACTCAATCAAAATAAAGTTTCAACTCAGTGAGATGAACACACACATCACAAAGAAGTTTGTCAGAAATCTTCTGTCTAGTTTTTATGTGAAGATATTTCCTTTTCCACCATAGACCTCAAAGTGCTCCAAATGTCCACTTGCAGATTCTACAAAAAGAGAGTTTCAAAACTGCTCAATCAAATGAAGTTTTAACTCTGTGAGTTGAATGCACACATTACAAAGAAGTTTCTCAGATTGCTACTGTCTAGATTTTATATGAAGATATTTCGTTTTCTTCCATAGGCCAAAAAGCACTCCGAATGTCCACTTGCAGATTCTACAAAAAGACTCTTTCCAAGCTGCTGAATCAAAAGTTTCAACTCTGTGAGATGAACACACACATCACAAAGAAGTTTGTCAGAATTCTTCTCTCTAGTTTTTATGTGAAGATAAATTCCTTTTCCACCGTAGGCCTCAAAGCGCTCCAAATGACAATTTGCAGATTCTACAAAAAGAGGGTTTCAACACTGCTCAATCAAAAGAAAGGCTCAATTCTGTGAGATGAACGCACACATCACAAAGAAGTTTGTCTGAATTCTTCTGTCTAGTTTTTATGTGAAGATATTTCCTTTTCCACCGTAGGCCTGAAAGTACTCCAAATGTCCACTTGCAGATACTACAAAAAGAGAGTTTCAATACTGCTCTATCAAAAAGAAGGTTTAACTCTGTGAGACGAATGCACATGTCACAAAGAAATTTCTCAGATTGCTTCTGTCTAGATTTAATGTGAAGATATTTCCTTTTCTACCATAGTCCGCAAAGCGCTCCAAATGTCCACTTGCACGTTCTACAAAAAGAGTGATTCCAAACTGCTCAATGAAAAGGAAGGTTCAACTCTGTGAGATGAATGCACACATCACAAAGAAGTTTCTCAGATTGCTTCTGTCTTGGTTTTATTTGAAGATATTTCCTTTTCTACCTTAGGCCCCAAAGCACTCCAAGTGTCCACTTGTAGATTTTACAAAAAGAGTGTTTCCAAACTGCTCAATCAAAAGGAAGTTTCAACTCTGTGAGATGAACGCACACATCACAAAGAAGTTTCTCAGAATTCTTCTGTCTAGTTTTTATGGGAAGATATTTCCTTTTCAAACATAGGCCTAAAAGTGCTCCAAATTTTCACTTGCAGATTCTACAAAAAGAGAGTTTCAAAACTGCTCAATCAAAAAAAACTTTTAACTCTGTGAGATGAAAGCACACATCACAAAGAAGTTTCTCAGATTGCTTTTGTCTAGATTTTATGTGAAGATGTTTCTTTTACTGCCATAGGCCTCAAAGCGCTCCAAATGTCCACTTGCAGGTTCTACAAAATAGAGTTTCAAGACAGCTCAATCAAAAGAAAAGTTTAACTCTGTGAAATGAATGTGCACATCACAAAGTAGTTTCTCAGATTGCTTCTGTCTGAATTCTATGTGAAGATATTTCCTTTTCTACCATAGGCCACAAAGTGCCCCAAATGTCCACTTGCAGATTCTACAAAAAGAGTGTTTCCAAACAGCTCAATCAAAAGAAAGGTTCCACTCTGTGAGATGAACGCACACATCACAAAGAAGTTTCTCAGTATTCTTCAATCTGGTTTTGATGTGAAGATATTTTCTTTTCCACATTGTCCTCAAACCGCTCCAAATGTACACTTCCAGATTCTACAAAAACAGAGTTTAAAAAATGCTCCTTCAAAAGAAATGTTTAAGTCTCTGAGATGAATGCACACATCACAAAGAATTTTCTCATATTGCTTGTGTCTAGATTTTATGTGCAGGTATTTCCTTTTCTACCACTGGCCGCAAAGCGCTCCAAATCTGCACTTGCAGATTCTGCAAAAGGAGTGCTTCCAAAATGTTCAATCAAAATGAAGGTTCAACTCAGTGAGATTAATGCACACATCACAAAGAAGTTTCTCAGAATTCTTCTGTCTAGTATTTATGTGAAGATATTTCCTTTTCCACCATAGGCCTAAAAGTGCTCCAAATGTCCACTTGCAGATTCTACAAAAAGAGAGTTTCAAAACTGCTCAACCAAACTAAAGTTTTCACTCTGTGAAATGAATGCACACATCACAAAGTAGTTTCTCAGACTGGCTCTGTCTGAATTTTATGTGAAGATATTTCTTTTTCTATCATAGGCCACAAAGTGCTCCAAATGTCCACTTGCAGACTCTACAAAAAGAGTGTTTCCAAACAGCTCAATCAAAAGAAAGTTTCAACTCTGTGAGATGAAAGCACACATCACAAAGAAGTTTGTCAGAATTCTTCTCTCTAGTTTTTATGTGAAGATAAATTCCTTTTCCACCGTAGGCTTCAAAGTGCTCCAAATGACCATTTGCAGATTCTACAAAAAGAGGGTTTAAACACTGCTCAATCAAAAGAAAGGCTCAATTCTGCGAGATGCACGCACATATCACAAAGAACTTTCTCAGAATTCTTCTGTCTTGTTTTTATGTGAAGATATTTCCTTTTAAACCATAGGCCTCAAGGCACTCGAAATGTCCACTTGAAGATTCTACAAACAGAGTATTTCAAAACTGGTCCTTCAAAAGAAAGATTCAACTCTGGGTGATGAATGCGCACATCACAAAATCTTTCTCAGAATGCTTCTATGTAGTTTTTATGTGAAGATATTTCCTTTTCCACCATAGGCCTCAAAGCGCTCCAAATGTCCACTTGCAGATTCTACAAAAAGACAGTTTCAAAACTGCTCAATCAAAAGAAATGTTTATCTCTGTGAGACGAATGTACACATCACAAAGTTGTTTCTCAGATTACTTCTGTCTAGATTTTATGTGAACATATTTCCTAGTCTACCATAGGCCGCAAAGTGCTCCAAATGTCCACTTGCAGAGTCTATAAAAAGAGGGTTTCCAAACTGCTCAATCAAAAGAAAGTTTCAACTCTGTGAGATGAACGTGCCCATCACAAAGTTTTTCGGAATTCTTCTGTCTACTTTTTATGGGAAGATATTTCCTTTTTCACCATAAGCCTCAAAGTGCTCGAAATGTCCACTTGCAGAGTCTACGAAAAGAGAGGTTCAAAACTGCTCAATCAAAAGAATGGCTTAACTCTGTGAGATGAATGCACATATCACAAAGAAGTTTCTCAGATTGCTTCTGTCTAGATATTATGTGAAGATAATTCCTTTTCTACCATAGGCCGCAAAGCGCTCCAAATGTCCACTTGCAGATTCTAAAAAAGAGTGTTTCCAAACTACTCAATCAACAGAAATGTTCAAATCTGTGACATGAATGCATACATCACAAAGAAGTTTCTCAGAAATCTTCTGTCTATTATGTGGAGATATTTTCTTTTCCACCAAATGCCTCAAAGTGCTCCAATTGTCCACTTGCAGATTCTACAAAAAGAGAGTTTCAAAACTCCTCAATCAAAAGAAAGGTTTAACTCTGTGAGATGAAAGCACGCATCACAAAGAAGTTTCTCAGATTGCTTCTGTGTAGGTTTTATGTGAAGATATTTCCTTTTCTACCATAGGCCGCATAGTGCTCCAAATGTCCACTTGCAGATTCTACAAAAAGAGAGTTTCCAAACTGCTCAATCAAAAGAAATTTTCAACTCTGTGAGATGAACGCACACATCACCAAGAAGTTTCTCAGAATTCTTCTGTCTAGATTTTATGTGAAGATATTTCTTTTTCCACCATAGGCCTAAAAGGGCTCCAAATGTCCACTTGCAGATTCTACAAAAAGAGAGTTTCAAAACTGCTCAATCAAAAAAAATTTTAACTCTGTGAGATGAATGCACACATCACAAAGAAGTTTCTCAGA
Source organism: Homo sapiens (assembly GCF_000001405.40). Lineage (NCBI taxonomy): Eukaryota > Metazoa > Chordata > Mammalia > Primates > Hominidae > Homo > Homo sapiens. The sequence goes on along the minus strand of NC_000009.12, from coordinate 43,170,973 downwards.
TTGCTTTTGTCTAGATTTTATGTGAAGATATTTCCTTTTCTACCATAAGCCTCAAAGCGCTCCAAATGTCCACTTGCAGATTCTACAAAATAGAGTTTCAAGACAGCTCAATCAAAAGAAATGTTTAACTCTGTGAGATGAATGCACACATCACAAAGATGTTTCTCAGAATGCTTCTGTCTAGTTCTTAAATGATGATGTTTCCTATTCCACCATAGGACTCAAAGGGCTCCCAATGTCCACTTGCAGATTCTACAAAAAGAGTTTTTAAACCTGCTCAATCAAAAGAAATGTTCAACCCGGTGAGATGAATGCCCACAACACAAAGGATTTTCTATGAATGATTCTGTCTAGTTTTTATGTGGACATATTTCCTTTTAAACCATAGGCCTCAAAGCGCTTCAAATGTACACTTGCAGATTCCACAAAAAGAGTTTTTCAAAACTGCTCAATGAAAAGAAAGGTTCTAATCTGTGTGAAGAATGTACACATAACAAAGAAGTTCGTCAGAATATTTCTGTATAGTTTTTATATTAAGGTATTTACTTTTCCACCATAGGCCTCGAAGAGCTCCAAATGTCCACATGCAGATTCTACAAAAAGAGTCTTTCAAAACTGCTCAATCAAAAGAAAGGTTCTACTCTGTGAGATGAATCCACACATCTCAGTGAAGTTTTTCAGAATGTTTCTGTATAGTTCTTGTGTGAAGATATTTCTTTTTCCACCATTGCCTCAAAGCGCCAAAAATGTCCACTTGCAGATACTACAGAAAGAGTGTTTCAAAGTGGCTCAATCAAAAGAAAGTTTCAACTCTATGAGATGAATGCACACATCACATAGAAGTTTCTCAGAATGCTTCTGTCTAGTTATTATGTGAAAATATTTCGTTTTCCACCATAGGCATCAAAGCGCTCCAAATGTCCACTTACAGATTCTACAAAAGGAGTGTTTCAAAACTGCTCAATTGAAATTAAGGTTCCACTCTGCGAGATGAATGCACACATCACAAAAACTTTGTCACATTGCTTCTGTCTAGTTTTGTGTGAAGATATTTCCTTTTCCACCACAGGCCTCAAAGCTCTCCAAATATCCACTTGCAGATTCTACAAAAAGAGTGTTTCAAAACTGCTCTATCGAAAGTTAAGTTCAACTCCATGAGATAAATGTCAACTCCATGAGATAAATGACAAATAAGCTTGTCAGAATGCTTCTGCCTAGTTTTAATGTGAAGATATTTCCTTTTCCACCATAGGCCGCAAAGTGCTCCAAATGCCCACTTGCAGATTCTACAAAATGAGAGTTCTCAAAACTGCTCAATTAAAATAAAGTTTCAGCTCTGTGAGAGGAATGCGCACATCACAAAGCAGTTTCACAGAATGCTTCCATCTAGTTCTTAAATGAAGATATTTCCTTTTCCACCATAGGCCAAAAAGCGCTCCAAATGTCCACTTGCAGATATTACAAAAAGAGTTTTTCAAAACTGCTCAATGTCTGTTCATGTCCTTCACCCACTTTTTGATGGGGTTGTTTGTTCTTTTCTTGTAAATTTGTTTGAGTTCATTGTAGATTCTGGATATTAGCTCTTTGTCAGATGAGTAGCTTGTGAAACTTTTCTCCCATTTTGTAGGTTGCCTGTTCACTCTGATGATAGTTTCTTTTGCTGTGCAGAAGCTCTTTAGTTTAATTAGATCCTATTTGTCAATGTTGGCTTTTGTTACCATTGCTTTTGGTGTTTTAGACATGAAGTCCTTGCCCATGCTTATGTTCTGAATGGTAATGACTAGGTTTTCTTCTAGGGTTTTTATGCTTTTAGGTCTAACGTTTAAGTCTTTAATCCATCTTGAATTGATTTTTGTGTAAGGTTTAAGGAAGGGATCCAGTTTCAGCTTTGTACATATGACTAGCCAGTTTTCCCAGAGCCATTTATTAAATAGGGAATCCTTTCCCCATTGATTGTTTTTCTCAGGTTTGTCAAAGATCAGATAGTTGTAGATATGTGGCGTTGTTTCTGAGGGCTCTGTTCTGTTCTATTGATCTATATCTCTGTTTTGGTACCAGTACCATGCTGTTTTGGTTACTGTAGCCTTCTAGTATAGTTTGAAGTCAGGTAGTGTGATGCCTCCAGCTTTTTTCTTTTGGCTTAGGATTGACTTGGCGATGCAGGCTCTTTTTTGGTTCCATATGAACTTTAAAGTAGTTTTTTCCAATTCTGTGAAGAAAGTCATTGGTAGCTTGATGGGGATGGCATTGAATGTCTAAATTACCTTGGGCAGTATGGCCATTTTCACGATATTGATTCTTCCTACCCAAGAGCATGGAATGTTCTTCCATTTGTTTGTATCCTCTTTTATTTCCTTGAGCAGTGGTTTGTAGTTCTCCTTGAAGAGGTCCTTCACATCCCTTGTAAGTTGGATTCCTAGGTATTTTATTCTCTTTGAAGCAATTGTGAATGGGAGTTCACTCATGATTTGGCTCTCTGTTTGTCTGTTGTTGGTGTATAAGAATGCTTGTGATGTTTGTACATTGATTTTTAAGGACATGAACAGACATTTCTCAAAGGAAGACATTTATGCAGCCAAAAAACACATGAAGAAATGCTCCCCATCACTGGCCATCAGAGAAATGCAAATCAAAACCACAATGAGATACCATCTCACACCAGTTAGAATGGCAATCATTAAAAAGTCAGGAAACAACAGGTAATGGAGAGGATGTGGAGAAATAGGAACACTTTTACACTGTTGGTGGGACTGTAAACTAGTTCAACCACTGTGGAAGTCAGTGTGGCAATTCCTCAGGGATCTAGAACTAGAAATACCATTTCACCCAGCCATCCCATTACTGGGTATATACCCAAAGGACTATAAATCATACTGGTATAAAGACACATGCACACGTATGTTTATTGCAGCATTATTCACAATAGCAAAGACTTGGAACCAACCCAAATGTCCAACAATGATAGACTGGATTCAGAAAATGTGGCACATATACACCATGGAATACTATGCATCCGTAAAAAATGATGAGTTCATGTCCTTTGTAGGGACATGGATGAAATTGGAAATCATCATTCTCAGCAAACTATCGCAAGAACAAAAAACCAAACACTGCATATTCTCACTCATAGGTGGGAATTGAACAATGAGAACACATGGACACAGGAAGGGGAATATCACACTCTGTGGACTGTTGTGGGGTGGGGGGAGGGGGGAGGGATAGCATTGGGAGATATACGTAATGCTAGATGACGAGTTAGTGGGTGCAGTCCACCAGCGTGGCACATGTATACATATGTAACTAACCTGCACATTGTGCTCATGTACCCTAAAACTTAAAGTATAATAATAATAAATAAATAAATAAAAACTGCTCAATGAAATAAAGGTTCAACTCTGTGACATGAATGCACACATCAGGAAGAAGTTTCTCAGAATATTTCTGAATCCTTTTTATGTGAAGATATTTCCTTTTCCACCATTGGCCTCAAAGCACTCCAAATCTGCACATGCAGATTCTAAAAAAAGAGTGTTTCAAAGCTGCTCAATCAAAAGAAAGGTTCAACACTCTGAGATGAATGCACATGTCACAAAGAAGTTTCTCAGAATGCTTCTGTCTAGTTTTTATGTGAAGATATTTCCTTTTCCACCATTGGCCTCAAAGCACTCCAAATGTCCTCTTGCATATTCTACAAAAAGAGTGTTTCAAAGCTGCTGAATCAAAAGAAATGTTCAACTCTGTGAGATGAATGCACCCATCACAAAGAAGTTTCTCAGAATGTTTCTGTCTAGTTTTTATTTGAAGATATTTCCTTTTACACCATAGGCCTCAAAACGCTCCAAATGTAAACATCCAGATCGTACAAAAAAAGTTTTTCCAAACTGCTCCATCAAAATAACGGTTTAACTCTGTGAGATGAATGCACACATCACAAAGAATTTTCTCTGAATGATTCTCTCTAGTTTTTACGTGAATATATTTCCTTTTCCACCATAGGACTCTAAGCGCTCCAAATGTCCAATTCTAGATGCTACAAAAAGAGTGTTTCAAAGCTGCTGAATCAAAAGAAAGTTTCAAATCTGTGAGATGAATGCATGCACACATCACAAAGAGTTTCTCAAAACACTTCTCTCTAGTTTTTATATGAAGATATTTCCTTTTCCTCCATAGGACTCTAAGTACTCCAAATGTCCAATTCTGGACACTACAAAAAGAGTGTTTCAAAACTGCTCAATCGAAGGTAGGGTTCAACTCTGTGAGGTGAATTCTCACATCAAAAAAAGTCTGTCAGAATGCTTTTGTCTAGTTTTCATATGAAGATGTTTCCTTTTCCACCGTAGGCCTCAAAGCACTCCAAATGTCCACATGCGGTTTCTATAAAAAGAGTGTTTCCAAACTGCTCAAGCAAAAGAAATATTCAACTCTGTGATATGAAAGCACACATCACAAAGAAGTTTGTCAGAATGCTTCTGTCTAGTTTTCATGTATAGATGTTTCCTTTTCCACCATAGGCCACAAAGCGCTCCAAATGTCTACTTGCAGATTCTACAAAAAGATTGTTTCAAAACTGCTCAATGAAAAGAAAGTTTCAACTCTGTGAGATGAACGCACACATCACAAAGAAGTTTCTCAGAATGCTTCTGTCTAGTTCTTAAATGAAGATAATTCCTATTCCACCACAGGACTCAAAGGGCTCCTAATGTCCACTTGCAGATTCTACAAAAAGAGTGTTTAAACCTGCTCAATCAAAAGAAATGTTCAACCCGGTGAGATGAATGCACACAACACAAAGGATTTTCTATGAATGATTCTGTCTAGTTTTTATGTGAACATATTTCCTTTTAAGCCATAGGCTTCAAAGCGCTTCAAATGTACAATTGCAGATTCCACAAAAAGAGTTTTTCAAAACTGCTCAATGGAAATAAAGGTTCAAATCTGTGAGAAGAATGCACACATAACAAAGAAGTTTATCAGAATGTTTCTGTATAGTTTTTATGTGAAGATATTTCATTTTCCACCATAAGCCTCAAAGAGCTCTAAAAGTCCACATGCAGATTCTACAAAAAGAGTGTTTCAAAGCCGCTCAATCAAAAGAAAGGTTCAACTCTGTGAGATGAATGCACAAATCACAAAGAAGTTTGTCAGAATGCTTCTGTCTAGTTTTTATGTGAAGATATTTCCTTTCCTACCATAGGCCGCAAAGTGCACCAAATGTCCAAATTCAGATTCTACAAAAAGAGTCTTTCAAAACTGTTCAATCAAAAGAAAGGTTCAACTCTGGGAGATGAATCCACACGTCAGTGAAGTTTTTCAGAATGTTTCTGTATAGTTTTTATGTGAAGCTATTTCCTTTTCCACCATTGCCTCAAAGCGCCAAAAATGTCCACTTGCAGATACTACAAAAAGAGTGTTTCAAAGTTGCTCAATCAAAAGAAAGTTGAAACTCTGTGAGATGAATGCATATATTACACATAAGTTTCTCAGAATGCTTCTGTCTAGTTTTGTGTGAAGATATTTCCTTTTCCACCACAGGCCTCAAAGCTCTCCAAATGTCCACTTGCAGATTCTACAAAAAGAGTGTTTCAAAACTGCTCAATCGAAAGTAAGGTTCAACTCTTTGAGATGAATGCACCCATCACAAATAAGCTTGTCAGAATGCTTTTGTCTAGTTTGTATGTGAAGATATTTCCTTTTCCACCATCGGCTGCAAAGCACTCCAAATGTCCACTTGCAATTTCTAGAAAAAGAGTTTTTCAAAACTGCTCAATTAAAATAAAGTTTCAGCTCTGTGAGAGGAATGCACACATCACAAAGCAGTTTCACAGAATGCTTCTGTCTACTTCTTAAATGAAGATATTTCCTTTTCCACCATAGGCCTCAATGCGCTCCAAATGTCCACTTGCAGATTCTACAAAAAGAGAGTTTCTAAGCTACTCAATCAAAAGATAGGTTCAACTCTGTGAGATGAATGCACACATCACAAAGAAGTTACTCAGAATGCTTCTGTCTACTTCTTAAGTGAAGATACTACCTTTTCCACCTTAGGCCCCAAAGCACTCCTAATGTGCTCTTGCAGATCCTACAAAAAGAGAATTTCCAAACTACTCAATCAAAAGAAAGGTTCAACTCTGTTAGATGAATGCACACATCACAAAGTAATTGGTCAGAATGCTTCTGTCTAGTTTTTATGTGAACATATTTCCTTTTCAACCATAGGCCTCAAATTGCTTCAAATGTACAATTGCACATTCCACAAAAAGAGTTTTTCAAAACTGCTCAATGAACAGAAAGGTTCAACTCTATGAGATGAATGCACACATCACTAAGAAGTTTGTCAGAATGTTTCTGTATAGTTTTTATATGAAGATATTTCCTTTTCCACTATAGGCCTCAAAGCGCTCCAAATGTCCACATGCAGATTCTACAAAAAGAGTGTTTCAAAGCTGCTCAATCAGAAGAAATGCTCAACGCTATGAGATGAATGCACACATCACAAAGAAGTTTCTCAGAATTCTTCTGTCTAGTTTTTATGTGAAGATATTTCCTTTTCCGCTATAGGCCACAAAGTTCTCCAAATGTCCACTTGCAGATTCTACAAAAAGAGTGTTTCCAAACTGCTCAATCAAAAGAAAGGTTCTACTCTGTGAGATGAACTCACACATCACAAAGAAATTTCTGAGAATTCTTCCGTCTAGTTTTTATGTGAAGATGTTTCCTTTTCCACCATAGGCCTCAAAGAGCTCAAAATGTCCATTTGCTGATTCTACAAAAAGAGAGTTTCAAAAGTGCTCCATCACAAGAAATGTTTAACTCTGTGAGATGTATGCACACATCAAAAAGAAGTTTCTCAGATTGCTTCTGTCTAGTTTTTATGTGAAGATATTTCCTTTTCCACCATTGACCACAAAGTGCTCCAAATGTCCAGTTGCAGATTCTACAAAAAGAGTGTTTCCAAACTGCTCAATCAAAAGAAAGGTTCAACTCTGTGAGATGAATGCACACATCACAAAGATGTTTGTCAGAATGTTTCTCTGTAGCTATTATGTAAAGATATTTCCTTTTCCACAATATGTCTCAAAGCCCTCCAAATGTCCACTTGCAGATTCTACAACAAGAATGTTTCCAGTTTCAGTTTTCTACATATGGCTAGCCAGTTTTCCCTGCACCATTTATTAAATAGGGAATCCTTTTCCCATTGCTTGTTTTTGTCAGGTTTGTCAAAGATCTGATAGTTGTAGATATGCGGCATGATTCCTGAGGTCTCTGTTCTGTTCCATTGATCTATGTCTCTGTTTTGGTACCAGAACAATGCTGTTTTGGTTACTGTAGCCTTGTAGTATAGTTTGAAGTCAGGTAGCGTGATCCCCCCAGCTTTGTTGTTTTGGCTTGGGATTGACTTGGCGATGCGGGCTCTTTTTTGGTTCCATATGAACTTTAAAGTCGTTTTTTTCCAATTTTCTGAGGAAAGTCATTGGTAGCTTGATGGGGATGGCATTGAATCTATAAATTACCTTGGGCAGTATGGCCATTTTCATGATATTGATTCTTCCAACATGGAATGTTCTTCCACTTGTTTGTATCCTCTTTTATTTCATTAAGCAGTGGTTTCTAGTTCTCCTTGAAGAGGTCCTTCATGTCCTTTGTAAGTTAGATTCCTATTTATTTTATTCTCTTTGAAGCAATTGTGAATGGGAGTTCACTCATGATTTGGCTCTCTGTGTGTCTGCTATTGGTGTACAAGAATGCTTGTGATTTTTGTACATTGATTTTGTATCCTGAGACTTTGCTGAGGTTGCTTATCAGCTTAAGCAGATTTTCGGCTGAGACAATGGGGTTTTCTAGTTATACAATCATGTCATCTGCAAACAGGGACAATTTGACTTCCTCTTTTCCTAATTGAATGCCCTTTATTCACTTCTCCTATCTGATTGCCCTGGCCAGAACTTCCAACACTATGTTGAATAGGAGTGGTGACAGTGGGCATCCCTGTCTTTTGCCAGTTTTCAATGGGAATACGAAAGGACAAAAAACCAAACAACACATGTTCTCACTCATAGGTGGGAATTGACCAATGAGAACACATGGACAAAGGAAGGGAAACATCACACTCCGGGGACTGTTGTGGGGTGGGGGGAGGGGGAAGGGACAGAATTAGGACATATACCTAACGCTAAATGGCAAGTTAATGGGTGCAGCACACCAAAACAGCACATGGATACATATGTGACGAACCTGCACATTGTTCACATGTACCCTAAAACTTAAAGTATAATAATAACAATAATAAAAAAAGGAGAAAGCCAAAAAAAAAAAAAAACCAGAAAAAAAAACCGTGTTTCAAAACTGGTCAATCAAAAGTAAAGTTCAATTCTCTGAGAAGAATGCACACATCACAAAGAAGTTTGTCAGAATGCTTCTGTCTAGTTTTTATGTGAAGATAGTTCCTTTTCCACCAGAGGCCACAAAGTGCTCCAAATGTACACTTGCAGATTCGACAAAAAGATTGTTTCAAATCTGCTCAATCAAAAGAAAGTTTCAAATCTGTGAGGTGAATGCACACATCACGAAGAAGTTTCTCAGAATGCTTCTGTCTAGTTATTAAGTGAAGATATTACCTTTTCCATCATAGGCCTCAAAGCACTCCAAATGTCCACTTGCAGAATCTACAAGAAGTGATTTTGCAAACTAACCAATCAAAAGAAAGTTTCAACTCTGTGAAATGAATGCACACATCACAAAGAAATTTGTCAGAATGCTTCGGTCTAGTTTTTATGTGAAGATATTTCCTTTTCGACCACAGGCCTCAAAGCACTCCAAATGTCCACTTGCAGAAAGTTCAAAAAGGGTGTTTCAAAACAGCGCAATCAAAATAAAGTTCAACTCTGTGAGACGAATGCATATATCACAAAGAAGTTTGTTAGAATGCTTCTGTCTAGTTTTTATGTGAAGGTATTTCCTTTTTTACCATAGGCCACAAAGCGCTCCAAATGTCCACTGGCAGATTCTACAAAAAGAGTGTTTCCAAACTAGAAAATCAAAAGAAAGTTTCAACTCTGTGAGATGAATGCACTCATCACAAAGAAGTTTCTCAGAATAGTTCTGTGTAGTTATTACGTGAAGATATTTGGTTTTCCATCACACTCCTCAAAGCGCTCCAAATGTCCACTTGCAGATTCTACAAAAAAAGTGTTTCAAAGCTGCTCAATCAAAAGAAAGGTTCATCTCTGTGAGATGAATGCACACATCACAAAGTAGTTTGTCAGAATGCTTCTCTCTAGTTTTTATTTGAAGATATCTCCATTTCCACCATAGGCCTCAAAGCACTCCAAATGTCCACTTGCAGATAGTACAAAAAGGGAGTTTCAAAACGGCTCAATTAAAAGTAAGGTTCAACCTGTGAGTTGAATGCACATATCACAAAGAAGTTTATCAGAATGCTTCTGTCTAGTTTTTATGTGAAGATATTTCCTTCTCTGCCATTGGCCTCAATGCGCTCCAAATGTCCACTTGCAGATTCTACAAAAAGAGTGTTTCCAAACTAGAAAATCAAAAGAAAGTTTCAACTCTGTGAGATGAATGCACTCATCACAAAGAAGTCTCTCACAATACTTCTGCATAGTTGTTACATGAAGATATTTCGTTTTCCATTACACTCCTCAAAGCGCTCCAAATGTCCACTTGCAGATTCTACAAAAAAAGCATTTCAAAGCTGCTCAATCAAAAGAAAGGTTCAACTCTGTGAAAAGAATGCACACATCACAAAGAAGTTTCTCAGAATGTTTCTGTCTACTTCTTATGTGAAGATATTTCCTTTTCCACCATAGGCCTCAAAGTGATCCAAATGTCCACTTGCAGATCCTTCAAAAAGATTTTCCAAACTAGTCAATCAAAAGAAAGTTTCAACTCTGTGAGATGAATGCACATATAACAAAGACATTTCTAAGAATCCTTCTGTCTAGTTTTTATGTAAAGATATATACTTTTATACCATAGGCATCAATGTACTCCAAATGTCCACTTGTAGATAGTACAAAAAGGATGTTTCAAACCTGCTCAATCAACAGTAAGGTTCAACTCTGTCAGATGAATGCACACATCACAAAGTATTTTCTCATAATGATTCTTTGCAGTTCTTAAGTGAAGATATTTCCTTTTCCACCAGAGGCCTCAGAGCCCTCCAAATGTCCACTTGCAGATACTGCAAAAAGAGTGTTTCCAAACTGTTCAATCAAAAGAAAGGTTCAAATCTTTGAGATGAATATACACGTCATGAAGAAGTTTCTCAGAATGTTTCTGTCCATGTTTTATGAGAAGATATTTCCTTTTCCACCATAGACCTCAAAGCACACCAAGTGTCCGCTTGTAGATTCTACAAAAAGAGTGTTTCAAAACTGCTCATTGAAAAGAAAGGTTCAACTCTGTGAGATGAATGCACACATCACAAAGAAGTTTCTCAGAATGTTCTGTCTAGTTCTTAAGTGAAGATATTTCCTTTTCCACCATAGGCCTCAAAGCGCTCCAAAAGTCCACTTGCAGATTGTACAAAAACAGTGTTTCAAAACTGCTCAATGGAAAGAAACGTTCAATTCTGTGAGATGAATGCAAACAACACAAAGAAGTTTGTCAGCATGCTTCTGTATAGTTTTTATGTGAAAATATTTCCTTTTCTACCATAGGCCTCAAGGCGCTCCAAAGGTCCACATGCAGATCCTACAAAAATAATGTTTCAAAGGTGCTCAATCAAAAGAAATGTTCAACTCTGTGAGATGACTGCACACATCATGAAGAAGTTTCTCAGAATGCTTCTGTCTAGATCTTAAGTGAAGATATTTCCTTTTCCACCATAGGCCTCAAAGCGAACAAAATGTCCACTTGCAGATTCTACAAAAAGAGTGTTTCCAAACTGCTCAACCAAAAGTAAGATTCAACTCTGTGGGTTGAATGAAAACATCACAAAGAAGTTTCTCAGGATGCTTCTGTCTAGTTCTTATGTGAGGATATTTCCTTTTCCACCATAGGCCTAAAAGTACTCCAAATATCAACTTGCAGATTCTACAAAAAGTGGGCTTCAAAACTTCTCAATCAAAAGTAAGGTTCAATTCCCTGAGATGAATGCACACATCACAAAGAAGTTTGTCAGAATTCTTCTGTCTAGTATTTTAAGTGAAGATACTTCCTTTTCCACCATATGCCGCAAAGCGCTCCAAATATCCACTTGCAGATTCTACAAAAAGAGTGTTTCAAAACTGCTCAATCAAAAGAAAGTTCAACTCTGTGAGATGAATGCCCACATCACAAAGAAATTTCTCAGAATATTTCTGTCTAGCTTCTCTATGAAGATATTTCCTTTTCCACCATAGGCCTCAAAGTGTTCCAAATGTCCACTTGCAGATTCTACAAAAAGAGTGTTTCAAAGCTGCTCAATCAAAAGAAATGTTCAACTCTGTGAGATTAATGCATACATCACAAACAACTTTCTCAGAATGCTTCTGTCTAGTTATTATGTGAAGATATTTCATTTTTCACCTTAGGCCTCAACTCACTCCAAATGTCCACTTGCAGATGTTACAGAAAGAGTGTTTGAAAACTACACAATCGAAGGAAAGGTTCAACTCTCTGAGATGAATGCACACATCACAAAGAATTTGTCAGAATGCTTCTGTCTAATATTTATGTGAAGATATTTCCTTTTCCACCATAGGCCTCAAAGCGCTCAAAGTGTCCACTTGCAGATGCTACAAAAGGAGAGCTTCCAAACTATTCACTCAAAAGAAATGATCAACTCTGTGAGATGAATGCATACATCACAAAGTAATTTGTCAGAATGCTTCTATCTAATTTTTATGTGAACACATTTCCTTTTCCACTGTAGGCCTCAAACCACACAAAATGTCCATTTGCAGATAGTACCAAAAGGGTTTTTCAGAACTGCTTAATCAAAAGTAAGGTTCAACTCTGTGAGATGAATGCACATATCGCAAATAGGTTTGTCAGAATGCTTCCACCTATTTTTTTTGTGAAGATATATCCTTTTCCACCTCAGGCCTCAAAGAGATCCGCATGTCCCCTTACAGATTCTACAGAAAGAGTGTTTCCAAACTGCTCAATCAAAAGAAATGTTCAACTCTGTGAGATGAATGCACACATCACAAAGATGTTTCTCAGAATGCTTCTGTCTAGTGCTTATGTGAAGATGTTTCCTTTTCCACCATAGGCCTCAAAGCGCTCCAAATGTCCACTTGCAGATTCTACAAAAAGAGTGTTTCAAAACTGCTCAATGAAAACAAAGGTTCAACTCTATGTGATGAATACATACATCACAAAGAATTTTCTCAGGATGATTATATCTAGTTTTTATGGAAAGATATTTCCTTTTCCACCATAGGCCGCAAAGCTCTCCAAATGTCCACTTGCAGATTCTACAAAAAGAGTGATTCAAACCTGCTCAATACAAAGAAATGTTCAACTCTGTGAGATGAATGCACATATCACAAAGAAGTTGCTCAGAAAGCTTCTGTCTAGTTTTTATCTGAAGATATTTCCTTTTCACCACAGGCCTCAAAGCACTCCAAATGTCCACTTACAGATCAACAAAAAGAGAGTTTCCAAACTGCTCAATCAAAAGAAAGGTTCAGCTCTGTGAGATGAATGCACACATCACAAAGAAAGTTGTCAGAATGTTTCTGTCTAGTTTTTATGTGAAGATATTTCCTTTTCCACCATAGGTCTCAGAGCACTCCAAATGTCCACTTGCAGATAGTACAAAAAGGGTGTTTCAAAAATGCTCAATCAAAAGTAAGGTTCAACTCCGTGATATGAATGCACATATCACAAAGTAGTTTGACAGAATGCTTCTGTCTTCTTTTTGTGTGAAGATATTTCCTTTTCGACCATAGACCTCAAAGAACTCCAAATGTTCACTTGCAGAATCTACAAAAGACTGTTTCCAAACTTCTGAATCAAAAGAAAGGTTCAACTCTGTGAGACGAATGCACAGATCACAAACAAGTTTCTCAGAATGCTTCTGTCTAGTTTTTATGTAAAGATATTTCCTTTTCCACCATAGGCCTCAAAGCTCTCCAAATATCCACTTGCCGATCCTACAAAAAGAGTGTTTCAAAACTGCTCAATTAAAAGGAAGGTTCAATTCTGTGACATGAATACACCAATCACAAAGAAATTTGTCAGAATGTTTCTGTATAGTTTTTATGTGAAGATATTTCCTTTTCCACCATAGGTCTCAAAGCGCTCCAAATATCCACTTGCAGATTCTACAAAAAGAGTGTTTCAAAGCTGCTCAATCGAAAGAAATGTTCAACTCTATGAGATGAATGCACACATCACAAAGTAGTTTCACAGAATGCTTCTGTCTAGTTATTAAGTGAAGATATTTCATTATTGACCATCACCCTCAAAGTACTCCAAATGTCCACTTACAGATTCTACAAAAAGAGTGTTTCAAAGCTGCTTAATCAAAAGAAATGTTCAACTATGTGAGATGAATGCACACATCAGAAAGAATTTTCTAAGAAAGATTCTGTCTAGTTTTTATGGGAAGTTACTTCCTTTTCCACCATAGGCTTCAAAGCCCTCCAAATGTCCATTGCAGATTCTACAAAAACAGTGTTTCAAAACTGCTCAATGAAAAGAAATGTTCAACTCTGTGAGATGAATGCACACATCACAAAGAAGTTTCACAGAATGCTTCTGTCTAGTTTTTATGTGAAGGTATTTCCTTTTCCACCGTAGTACACAAAGAGCTCAAAATGTTCACTTGCAGAGTCTAAAAAAGAGTTTTTCAAAGCTGCTCAATCAAAAGTATGGTTGAACTCTGTAAGATAAATGCACACAACACAAAGAAGTTTCTCAGAATGCTTCCGCCTAGTTGTTAAGTGAAGATATTTCCTTCTCCACCATATGCCTCAAAGTACATGAAATGTCCACTTGCGGATTCTACAAAAAGAGTGTTTCAAAACTGCTCAGTCAAAAGAAAGGTTCAACTCTGTGAGTTGAATGCACACAACACAAAGAAGCTTGTGAGAATGTTTCTGTATGGTTTTTATGTGAAGATAATTCCTTTTCCACCGTAGGCCTCAAAACGCTCCAAATGTCCACTTGCAGATTCTACAAAAAGAGTGTTTCAAAGCTGCTCAATCTAAGGAGAGGTTCAACTCTGTGTGATGAATGCACACATCACAAAGAAGTTTCTCAGAATGCTTTTGTCTAGTTATAATGAGAAGATACTTTTTTCCACCATAGGCCTCAAAGACCTCCAAATGTCCACTTGCTGCTCCTATAAAAAGAGGGTTTCAAAACTGCTCAATTGAAAGTTATGTTCAACTCTGTGAGATGAATGCATACATCACGAAGAAGTTTCTCAGAATTCTTCTTTCTAGTTTTTATGAGAAGATATTTCGTTTTCCACCACAGGCTGCAAAGCGCTCCAAATGTCCAATTAGAGATTCTACAAAACGATTGTGTCAAAACTGCTCAATCAAAAGAATGGTACAATTCTGTGAAATGAATTCACACATCACAAAGGAGTTTGTCAGAATGCTTCTTTCTAGTTTTTATGTGAGGTCATTTCCTTTTCCACCATAGGCTGCAAAGAGCTCCAAATGTCCACTTGCAGAGTCTACAAGAAGAGTTTTTCAAAGCTGCTCAAAAAAAAAGAATGGTTCAACTCTGTGAAATGAATGCACCCATCACAAAGAAGTTTCTCAGAATTATTCTGTCTAGTACTTAAGTGAAGATAGTTTGTTTTCCCCCATAGGCCTCAAAGCACTCCAATTGTCCACTAGCAGATTCTACAAAAAGAGAGTTTCCAAGTTGCTCAATCAAAAGAAAGATTCAACTCTGTCAGACGAATGGACACATCACAAATAAGTTTCTCAGAATGTTTCTGAACAGTTTTTATGTGAAGAAATTTCCATTTCCACCATAGTCCGCAAAGCGCTCCAAATGTCCACTTGGAGATTCTACAAAAAGAGTGTGTCAAAACTGCTCAATCAAAAGAAAGTTTCAACTCTGTGAGATGAATGCACATATCACAAAGAACTTTCTCAGAATACTTCTGTCTAATTATAATATGAAAATATTTGTTTTCCGCCTTAGGCCTCAAAGCTCTCCAAATGTCCACTTGCAGACCCTTTTCCACCATAGGCCTCAAAGCGCTTCAAATATCCACTTGCAGATTCTGCAAAAAGAATATTTGAAAGCAGCTAAATCAAAAGAAATGTTCAACACTGTGAGATGAATGCACACATCACAAAGGAGCTTCTCAAAATGCCTCTGTCTAGTTTTTATGTGAAGATATTTCCTTTTCCACCATAGGCTGCCAAGCGTTAAAAATATCCACTTGCAGATTCTACAAAAAGAGTGTTTCCAAACTGCTCAATCAAAAGTATGTTTGAACTCTGTGAGATGAATGCACACATCACAAAGAAGTTTGTTGGAATGATTCCGTCTAGTTTTTATGTGAAGATATTTCCTTTTCCACCTTGGGCCACAAAACGCACTAAATGTCCACTTGCAGATTCTACAAAAAGAGTGTTTCAAAACTGCTCAATGAAAAGAAAGGTTCAACTCTGTGAGATGAATGCACACATCACAAAGAAGTTTCTCAGAATTCTTCTGTGTAGTTTTTAGGTGAAGATATTTCCCTTTCCACCATAGGCCCCAAAGCGCTCCAAATATCCACTTGCAGATACTACAAAAAGTGTTTTTCAAAACTGCTGAATCCAAAGAAATATTCAACTTTGTGAGATGAATGCACACATCAGAATGAAGTTACACAGACTGCTTCTGTGTTGTTTTTAGGTGAAGATATTTCAGTTTCCACCATAGGTCTTGAAGCCCTCAAAATATCCACTTGCTCATTCCACAAAAAGTGTGCTTCAAATCTGCTCAATCAAAAGAAAGTTTCAATTCTGTGAGATGAATGCACACATCACAAAATAGTTTCTCAGAATGCTTCTGTCCAGTTTTTATGTGAAGATATTTCCTTCTCCACCATAGACCTTAAGGCTTTCCAAATATCCACTTGCAGATTTTACAAAAAGAGTGTTTCAAACTGCTCAATCAACAGAAAGGTTCAACTCTGTGTGTTGAATGCACAAATCACAAAGAAGTTTCTCAGAATGCTTCTGTGTAGTTTTTATGTGAAGATATTTCCTTCTCCACCGTAGACTTTAAAGCGCTCCAATTATCCACTTGCAGATCATACAGAAAGAGTGTTTCAAACGGCTCAATCAAAAGAAAGGTTCAACTCTGTGAGCTGAATGCATAAATCACAAAGAAGTTTCTCAGAATGCTTCCATCCAGTTTTTATGTGAAGATGTTTCCTTTTACCACCATTGGCCACAAAGCGCTCCAAATATCCACTTGCAGATTCTACAAAAAGTGTTTCAAAACTGCTCAATCAAAAGAAAGGTTCATCTCTGAGACATGAATGCACACATCACAAAGGAGTTTCTCAGAAGGCTTCTGTCTAGTTTTTATGTGAAGATATTTCCGTTTCCACTATAGGCCACAAAGCGCTCGAAATATCCACTTGCAGATTCTACAAAAAGAGATTTTCCAAACTCCTCAATCAAAAGAAAGTTTAAACTCTGTGAGTTGAATGCACACATCACAAAGAAGTCTCTCAGAATGCTTCTGTCTAGTTTTTAATTGAAGATACTTCCATTTCCACCATTGAGCTCAAAGCACTCCAAGTATCCACTTGCAGTTTCTACAAAAAGAGTGTTTCAAAACTGCTCAATCAAAACAAAGTTTCAACTCTGTGAGATGAATGCACACATCACAGAGAAGTTTCTCAGAATGCTTCTGTCTAGTATTTATGTGAAGATATTTCCTTTTGTACAATAGGCCTCAAACTGCTCCAAATATCCACTTGCAAATACTACAAAAAGATTGTTTCAAAACTGCTCAATCAAAAGAAATCTTCAACTATGTGAGTTGAATGCACACATCACAAAGAACTTTCTCAGAATGCTTCTGTGTAGTTTTTATTTGAAGATATTTCCTTTTCCACCACAGGCCCCAAACTGATCCAAATATCCACATGCAGATCCTTCAAAAGAAGTGTTTCAGAACTGTTCGATCAAAAGAAAGGTTCAATTCTGTGAGATGAATGCACACATCACAAAGAAGTTTCTCAGAAGGCATTTGTGTAGTTTTTATGTGAAGATGTTTCCTTCTCCTCTATAGGCCTCAAATCGCTCCCAATGTCCACTTGCAGATTCTACAAAAAGAGTGTTTCAAAGCTGCTCAATCAAAAGAAATGTTCAGCTCTGTGAGATGAATGCACACATCACAAAGAGGTTTCTCAGAATGCTTCTGTCTAGTTTTTAAGGGAAGATATTTCCCTTTCCTCTAGAGGTCCCAAAGCCCTCCAACTTTGCAGATACTACAAAAAGAGTGTTTCAAAACTGCTCAATCAAAAGAATATTTCAACTCTGTGAGTTGAATGCACACATCACAAAGAAGTTTCTCAGAATGCTTCTGTCTAGTTTTTATGTGAAGATATTTCCTTTTCCACCATAGGCCCCAAAGCACTCAAAATATCCACTTGCAGATTCTACAAAAACAGTGTTTCAAAACTGCTCAATCAAGAGAAACATTCAACTCTGTGAGATGAATGCACAGATCACAGAGGAGTTTCTCAGAATGCTTCTGTCTGGTTTTGATGTGAAGATATTTACTTTTCCACCATAGAATGTAAAGCGCTCCAAATATCCACTTGCAAACACTACAAAAAGAGTATTTCAAAAGTGCTAAATCAAAAGAAAAGTTCAACTCTGTGAGGTGAATGCACACATCACAAAGAAGTTTCTCAGAATGCTTCTTTCTTGTCTTTATGTGAAGATATTTCCTTTTCCATTCAGAACCTCATAGCAGTGTTCTGTAATCCTGTGTGAGGGACAAACACTCAGAATCCAGCCACTGTGTACTGGAATCCTATCTGAGGGCACACATTTAAAATCCAGATGTAGTCTCCTTGCTTTAGTGAATACACTTATCTCCTTTTCCTGCTATACATTTAGGCAAATTATTTTTCTGTATCTTAAATAAATGGTAAATACCTGAAATTTCTTACTTTTTCCAGGCAGAGTGTCTTCACTATTTAGCTGTAGAAGTATAACTATTTTTGTCTGTGTCACAATTTTGTACTCAGGAACCCTGGCCATGTCACTAGCCAAATGGACATAACTTATGGAATACATGGACAGCATCCGGTTGATATGCTCTAGAGAAAAATAGCAGCTACCATAGACTTCAGGAAAGACACATCGAGCAAATGACAAAAGTGTGGGTTTCCTACCTTCAGGGAGTCTAAGAATGCAGTAGAAAGTGATGTGGAGCAAACACCCTTCAAATGGAAGGAAGGGATAGGGAAAGGAAGACTGTTAGAGGCTCTTTTGAATGTTAGAGGCAACATAAAACATATTTGGATGTGTATTCTAAATAAAATGCAAATGTCAAGAAGGATGTCAGCTGTGAGTGGGACTCAGAGAAAGAGAAACGTTTTGGACTACAGAGGCCTGCAGTACAAGTGGATCTACAATTTTGTTTAGGGAATCCAATGCCTCAGGTATCTATGAGAGGCAGAATTTTCCTATGGAGCCAGCGGCAAGGCTCCAGAGGAGAAATACAGTACAAGCCACTTTATTTTGGAGTAAAAGACTTTTGTACAAAAATTACCTGACCCCTCCTTTTTTGAGAAACAATTTCACATTGGGATACTAATAAGAAGGAATGCTCAGTCATGAATAAGGGTGACCCCATTGTGATCTGAGCATTATAGGATCATAGTAACTACAACCAGTCTTCCATCATTCCATGGAAATTGCATGTATGCCACGTTGCCTTCTCAGTTTCCAAGGGACCAATTAATGAACAGGCTACTCACATTTTCAGCATCCTACTCCTGACACACTCCCACCCTTCTTTCTATTTATCTGTGATTCATAGAGATTTGCCTATGACTGGATTCCTGAGGAGAAAAAAGTCTGGATTACAGATGGCATTCCTTGTTATGGAAGGCCCTTCCTTCTGAAAGTCTATTTCTATCGTGTTCTTTCCCTGTGCTGTCAAAGGGTCACCCCTTTGTACAAAGGAGAAGAGAAATCCATCAAGTAAATAAAATTTCATTTAGCTTTGTAAAAAATATTTCTACCAAATCACGTGGAGGGCCTTATGGTTTGGTCCGATAATCAGAGATTTGAAAGAACCTGATATTGTTGGCCAGCAGATTAGAAAATAGTTATTAGAGAGAGATGGCTCAAGTGATAATAACTGTGTGCCTTGTGAATGCTCACCTAAACCAAAGATCACCGAAGATAATGTATTTTACCATAATGTTTTAATCTCAGGTAAATGCCAATTAGGAGACAAACACTTGTTTATCTCCTGATTGGTATTGATCTGAATTAAGCTGTCTGCCATTTGGAGAAATTTAAATGCTATTTTAAACACACAGTCTTGTTACTTGAGTTATTTATGATCTTAAGCGGCTCCCCTCCTTTTGTGGGTTAGATTGTGTCTTCAAAAAGAAAATATATATATTAGAGTTCTAGCCCCTGATGTCTGTGAGTATGACTTAATTTAAAATCAAATTATTTGCAGATGCTGTATAATTATGATATGCTAGATGAGCTCATAATGCATTAGAGTGGGCCATAATTCAATATGGTTGATATCCTCCTAAGAAGGGAAGAGGAAACAGAGACGCAGGGAGGAGATGGCCATGTGAGGATGGAGGTAGAGAATAAAGTGAGGTATCCTCCAGCCAAGCAATGACAATGAAGCTCAGTGATCACCCGGTGCTAGAAGAAGCAAGAAAGGATTTTTTCCCAGGTCCTTGAGAGAAAAATGCAGCACTGCTAACTTCTTCATTTAAGATTTCTAGCTTCCTGAACCGTAAAAGAATAACTTTATCTCATTTTAAGCGACCTGATGTGAACCACTTTGTCACAGCAGATATAGGAAATTACACCTCCTTAAAGAATGCAGAATCCTGGCCCGTGCTTGCCTCATACCTATTGAATGAGAATCTAAGGGCTCTAGAATCTGCATTTTGAAACTAATACATAATACACAAAGAGAACTCACTAAGTACTCTACATGCACTTCATCCTCACAAGCCATGAAGTAGTTTACTATTATAATTCTCATTTTACATATGGGAAACTGGAGCATTAAAAGATTAAGTAATTTGCCTACAGTCACTCACATAACCAGAAAGTGGAAGAGCTGGGATTCAATCCCAGTTCCAGACATCCTGATATCCTGGGTTCAGACACCACACACTTAGCAACTATTACACACTTAGCATTATTATTATTATTATTATTTTAATCACCATCTCCACCTTCTTAAGCACTCAAAAGTTGAAATCCAGTGGTGTGTTGCTGTTTCCATTCATAGCAAGTTATAGCCAAAATCATAAATTACACTTCCTCCAAAACAGTATACTGACTTCTCATCTCTTTTTAAAATCCCTTCCGTCCTTCTTTTCTTTCTTCTCTTCTCTTTTCTTTTCTCTTTTCTTTCTCTTGCTCTGTCACCCAGGCTGGAGTGCAGTGGCATCATCTCGGCTCACTGCGACCTCCACCTCCTGGGTTCAAGCGATTCTCCTGTCTCAGCCTCCCAAGTAGCTAGGATTACAGGTGCCCAACACCATGCCCGTTTAATTTTTGTATTTTTAGTAGAGATGGGGTTTCACATCTTGGCCAGGCTGGTCTTGAACTGCTGACGTCGTGATCCATCCACCTCGGCCTCCCAAAGTGCTGGGATTACAGGCATGAGCCACTGTGCCTAGCCTCTTTCACCCATTGAAATCTCATTTCAACAATTACCATCTTTTTTGAGTGGTATTTTTGAAGTTATAAATGAATTCCCTATAATACATAGTGAGAATATTTATGGGAGCTTCCTAATTGACTTTCTAAACATTCTGCATTGCTTCTCATTTCCTTCTTTAAATTTCCTTCTACCTTGACTTCCTTAAGACCATTCAATGTTGGCCCCATGCTTTCATTTTTTTTTTCTTTTTTCTCTTTTTTGAGATGAAGTTTCCCTCTTTTCACCCAGGCTGGAGTGCAACAGTGTGATCTCGGCTCACCGCAACCTCCGCCTCCCAGGTTCAAGAGACTCTCCTGCCTCAGCCTCCCGAGTAGCTGCGATTACAAGCATGTGCCACCATGCCCAGCTAATTTTGTATTTTTACTAGAGATGGGGTTTCTTCATGTTGGTCAGCCTGGTCTCAAACTCCCAACCTCAGGTGATCCGCCCGCCTCGGCCTCCCAAAGTGCTGGGATTATAGGCATGAGCCACAATGCCCAGCCCATGCTTTCTTTTTAATAACTCCTTGCTGCCTAGTTTTTTCAAGTCCACTGTGTAAGTACTAGTCTTAATGGGTATTTCTTTTCTTACTATTCTGCACCAATGTTTCCCTGATTGACAATAGTTTTCCTGAAATGTATTCTTGGAATGGAATTCTATGATACGCTTAGAAAATTCTGCATACCTTATACTTCAGAATGTGTATGTAAAAGACTCCAGTAAATGATCCAGGGAAGCAAAAATATTTGTGTGTTTTGCGAGTTGTATTCATATGTGTATAAAATTCCCACAGCACTTTGGGTAACAATGCTCTGCACACTTTTCCTGTGCTCCTTTTATCCATTCCTACACTTCCAGCATTTCCTTTGACGTTTGATTTTCTTTATTTTTTTTTACTCCAATATTTTCCTGTAGGTTTCAAACGTATATTTTAAAATGTCAACTGATTCTCCCCCTCTGTCTTCACCACCTGCATCTCAAATTTGACATAGCCATAAACACATTTTATATTTTGGCAAATAAATCTATTTCTTTTAAAGCATTGCCCATCTCAGCTAATGATGATAATATCAAGCCAGTCGCCAAGAAAATTTAGAGTATTTATACCTTGACTCTTCCTTCTAAATGAATTATTAAGTTCAGCTGTTTCTACCTTGAATTACCTTTCTATTCTGCCATTTCTCTTCTGTGTTGCTGCTAATGTTTTAATTTAGTCATTCATCACATCATGCCTGTACTGCTGGAATAATCTTGACTATTCTTTCTGACTTTTTCTTCTAACTGCATCTCAAAAACTTCTATCTAGAATGAAAAGTATATATGTATACTATATATACATATATACATACACATTATATGTATGTATATAGTATAAGTATAGACATGCTATATACTATATATACTATATATACACACACACCCACTATGCTTTTAAAAATTGTTTACTTATGTCCCATCATTGAAGGGTAAAATACAAAATCACTGATATTGAGAGACATTCTCCTCAATCATTTAACATTTTCCTTCACAAACCTGTGCTGTAGCCACACCCAGAACAGGTTATGTTCCTTCAAAGACACACACACTTTTCTATTACTTTCCTTTTACTCTTTTATTCCATCTGCTTAGACCATTTTTTACTTGTTTTCTGTCTATCTTCATTCATTTTTCAGGATCCAATTAAAATATTGATACAAAGTCTGAGATCTTTATATCTTCTCTTATTTAAATTCCTGGAGCACCAGATAACTTCCTCTATTATAATTCTTACTGTATACAACCATAACTCTCATTTGAATACAATGAATACATAATTATAAAATCAGATATATCATAAAATGATTGGTATCAATATGTGAAAAAAATCTTTAATGTTGAAAGTACAAGATTACAAGCCATCTGAAAGTAACTGAACATCAATCAGAGAAAAATTCTCGTCATTTTTTGATGAAACCAAAAGTAAGAGAATCTGGTATTAATCTACTACATCATTGGTAAATTACATATTAATTATTGTGAGAAAGAAATAATTGATGGAATTTAAAGAAAATCGGTTTTCCTTTATTTTTATTATTCTACCTAAAAGTATTATATCTAATTAAAATCATGATTTTAAAATTATCCCATCAAGTATGTCATCACACTAAAATCCATTGTATTTAATTTCTCAACTGAGAAATTGTATTCAATTGTATTCAATTTCTCTACTGAAAAATTAATATAAAAGCAATCACATAGCATTCAGAAATTAATAAATATTTAAAGAAATTAAACAGCATTAGATTTTCTTGTTGTAAAATTTTTTTCTTCTCTCAGTATGGCTTATGTCTCATTGCTTCTATTGAACATAGCACAATTCAAGTATTAATACAGCATCTTTATAAAAGTTGTGAATCTCAGAAATGAACAAGCTTACCTCCCTAGTTATTTATTAAAAGTTACAAGTCACTTTTTTTTAACTTCCTAATAATCTTAGAGGGGTATATTTTGTGTTTTTGTTTGCTATATCTTTCATAAAGAAGATCCCTAATGATTTGAAAGTTAGAACCAATTTTCTGAAGGATTGAGCCACGCTCCTTGAACTTGTGTGTTTGTGGGTGGCACACTATGTCTTTTGCAGACCCGGAACCTACCCCTTGGTCTAGAACATATTTTCCTCCACCTGCCTTTTAAGTTTTTATTTCAGCAGGAGTGGGTGGATTGTGGTTGACCGAAAATAGAACGGGCTACAAAAGCCCTTCCTGTTTGATATTGAATCTGCTATTTGAGTCACCCTTACATTATGAACTGACTGTTAATTAACACATTTGGTAAGAGAATATCCTGATCTGCTTTTCATGTGAGGCTCTCCCAGTAATAAGCAAAGAAGCATAATCAAACAAGATTTTAATTTCTCTATGCCCTGTTAGAAATTCAGATATAATTCAAGTCATCTTGGAAATTTTAAGTTGCATTCTGATGTCGTCTCTGTTCTGGCCATTGTGCAATGGGCCTTCAAATGTTGTAGTAGAGGCCAACTGACA
This sequence comes from Homo sapiens, assembly GCF_000001405.40. NCBI lineage: Eukaryota > Metazoa > Chordata > Mammalia > Primates > Hominidae > Homo > Homo sapiens. Next base: position 43,147,103 of record NC_000009.12, on the reverse strand, counting down.
TTCCATTGTTATTCATTTATACACAGGTATATATATGGTGTGTGTATGCAAATATATATATAAATATTCATATATGTGTACATGTGTACATACATACATATGGAGGTAATACAAGTTTGCATTGTTTTTAAAATTTTTTTACCCAAATTAACAATGACTCTATTACATATCTTTATTGGTTATATCACATTTATATAAATAAATTTATATCAGTGACAATTTCCAAGTAAGTGAAATTTGAATTGGATTCAGGGTTTTATTTTTTTGAAATTTCTGATTAAAATTACTTGACTTTTTAAATTGTATCTTAAAATATTCAAGTCCCATTTGTAAAAAAAAAAAAAAATAGAGTATGAAAATGAAGTGTGTCTTTATGAGTCACAAATTTTTATTTTACTTTACTAATTGTTAAAATAATATTTTTTCCATGAGGCATTTTTATAATGCCCTCTTTATTTATTTATTTTTTTGGTGATGTATTTTATTATTATTATTATTATACTTTAAGTTTTAGGGTACATGTGCACAATGTGCAGGTTAGTTACATATGTATACATGTGCCATGCTGGTGCACTGCACCCACTAACTCGTCATCTAGCATTAGGAATATCTCCCAATGCTATCCCTCCCCCCTCCCCCCACCCCACAACAGTCCACAGAATGTGATGTTCCCCTTCCTGTGTCCATGTGTTCTCATTGTTCAATTCCCACCTATGAGTGAGAATATGCGGTGTTTGGTTTTTTGTTCTTGCGATAGTTTGCTGAGAATGATGATTTCCAATTTCATCCATGTCCCTACAAAGGACATGAACTCATCATTTTTTACGGATGCATAGTATTCCATGGTGTATATGTGCCACATTTTCTGAATCCAGTCTATCATTGTTGGACATTTGGGTTGGTTCCAAGTCTTTGCTATTGTGAATAATGCCACAATAAACATACGTGTGCATGTGTCTTTATAGCAGCATGATTTATAGTCCTTTGGGCATATAGCCAGTAATGGGATGGCTGGGTCAAATGGTATTTCTAGTTCTAGATCCCTGAGGAATTGCCACACTGACTTCCACAGTAGTTGAACTAGTTTACAGTCCCACCAACAGTGTAAAAGTGTTCCTATTTCTCCACATCCTCTCCATTACCTGTTGTTTCCTGACTTTTTAATGATTGCCATTCTAACTGGTGTGAGATGGTATCTCATTGTGGTTTTGATTTGCATTTCTCTGATGGCCAGTGATGGTGAGCATTTCTTCATGTGTTTTTTGGCTGCATAAATGTCTTCTTTTGAGAAGTGTCTGTTCATGTCCTTCGCCCACTTTTTGATGGGGTTGTTTGTTTTTTTCTTGTAAATTTGTTTGAGTTCATTGTAGATTCTAGATATTTGTCCTTTGTCAGAAGAGTAGGTTGTGAAAATTTTCTCCCATTTTGTAGGTTGCCTGTTCACTCTGATGGTAGTTTCTTTTGCTGGGCAGAAGCTCTTTAGTTTAATTAGATCCCATTTGTCAATTTTGTCTTTTGTTGCCATTGCTTTTGGTGTTTTAGACATGAAGTCCTTGCCCATGCCTATGTCCTGAATGGTAATGCCTAGGTTTTCTTCTAGGGTTTTTATGGTTTTAGGTTGAACGTTTAAGTCTTTAATCCATCTTGAATTGATTTTTGTATAAGGTGTAAGGAAGGGATCCAGTTTCAGCTTTCTTCATATGGCTAGCCAGTTTTCCCAGCACCATTTATTAAATAGGGGATCCTTTTCCCATTGCTTGTTTTTCTCAGGTTTGTCAAAGATCAGATAGTTGTAGATATGTGGCGTTATTTCTGAGGGCTCTGTTCTGTTCCATTGATCTATAACTCTGTTTTGGTACCAGTACCATGCTGTTTTGGTTACTGTAGCCTTGTAGTATAGTTTGAAGTCAGGTAGTGTGATGCCTCCAGCATTGTTCTTTTGGCTTAGGATTGACTTGGTGATGCGGGCTCTTTTTTGGTTCCATATGAACTTTAAAGTAGTTTTTTCCAATTCTGTGAAGAAAGGCATTGGTAGCTTGATGGGGATGGCATTGAATGTGTAAATTACCTTGGGCAGTATGGCCTTTTTCACGAGATTGATTCTTCCTACCCATGAGCATGGAATGTTCTTCCATTTGTTTGTATCCTCTTTTATTTCCTTGAGCAGTGGTTTGAAGTTCTCCTTGAAGAGGTCCTTCACATCCCTTGTAAGTTGAATTCCTAGGTATTTTATTCTTTTTGAAGCAATTGTGAATGGGAGTTCACTCATGATTTGGCTCTCTGTTTGTTTGTTGGTGGTGTATAAGAATGCTTTTGATTTTTGTACATTGATTTTGTATCCTGAGACTTTGCTGAAGTTGCTTATCAGCTTAAGGAGATTTTGGGCTGAGACAATGGGGTTTTCTAGATATACAATCATGTCATCTGCAAACAGGGACAGTTTGACTTCCTCTTTTCCTAATTGAATACCCTTTATTTCCTTCTCCTGCCTGATTGCCCTGGCCAGAACTTCCATCACTATGTTGAATAAGAGTGGTGAGAGAGGGCATCCCTGTCTTGTGCCAGTTTTCAAAGGGAATGCTTCCAGTTTTTGCCCATTCAGTATGATATTGGCTGTGGGTTTGTCATAGATAGCTCTTATTATTTTGAAATAAGTCCCATCAATACCTAATTTATTGAGAGTTTTTAGCATGAAGGGTTGTTGAATTTTGTCAAAGGCCTTTTCTGCATCCATTGAGATAATCATGTGGTTTTTGTCTTTGGTTCTGTTTATATGCTGGATTACATTTATTGATTTGCGTATATTGAACCAGCCTTGCATCCCAGGGATGAAGCCCACTTGATCATGGTGGATAAGCTTTTTGATGTGCTGCTGGATTCGTTTTGCCAGTATTTTATTGAGGATTTTTGCATCAATGTTCATAACGAAAATCAATATATATCATAACAGCTCTGTAAATGTTTCTCTGAGTTCTGTGAGCCATCCTAGGAACTTAATTGAACCCAGGGAGGGGGCTCATGCGAACCCTTTTTTTTTTTTTTTTTTTTTTTGAGATGGAGTCTCATTCTGTCTCCCAGGCTGGAGTACAGTTGCAGGATCTCAACTCACTGCAACCTCTGCCTCCCAGGTTCAAGCAATTCTCCTGCCTCAGCCTCCCTGGTAGCTGGGCTTATAGGAGCCCGCCACCACACCCAGCTAATTTTTGTATTTTATTTCATTTATTTATTTTTTTGAGATGGAGCCTCGCTCTCTCACCCAGGCTGGAGTGCAGTGACATGATCTCTGCTCACTGCAAGCTCCTCCTCACAGGTTCAGGCCATTCTCCTGCCTCAGTCTTCCAAGTAGCTGGGACTACAGGCGTCGGCCACCATGCCTGGCTAATTTTTTTTTTTTTTGTATTTTTAGTAGAGATGGGGTTTCACCGTGTTAGCCAGGATGGTCTTGATCTGACCTCGTGATCAGCCTGCCCCGGCCTCCCAAAGTGCTGGGATTACTGGTGTGAGCCACCGTGCCCAGCTTAATTTTTGTATTTTTAATAGAGACAGGGTTTCACCATGTTGGCCAGGCTGGTCTCAAACCCCTGATCTCAAGTGATCCACCCGCCTTGGTCTCCCAAAGTGCTGGGATTACAGGCGTGGACCACCATGACCGGCCGTGGATGTAGTTTTTAGCCAGGCAGTCAGAAGTATGCGTCGCCTGGACTTGGAATTAGTACCTGAAGTGGGGCTGGTCTCATGGGATCAAGCCGTCAATCTGTGGGATTGGACACTATCTGCAGGTAGACAGTGTCAGGATTGAATTGAATAAGAGGACACCCAGTTGGTCTCTGTGAGAAATGTTTGGTGTGTAAGGAAAAGCCCCCACACAGCCAGCCACAGAAGTGTGCTATTGTTGAGTGTGAGAGTACAAGGGAAAAACAGTTTGCTTTTTTGCTTTATAGTGGGATATTTGATCCATAGGTCTATATCTAAGCACATGAATAGAATGTGTTTGGGCCTGGTTTTTTAGTCTTGCTGGTCAGTAACTAGTTTGAGAAGAGAGACTAGCACACTGATCCCAAAAGAACTAGGCCAAGAGCAGATAGGATTTGTGGAAACTTGAACCTCTTATTAGCTCCTTAAAAGACGTACTTTTCTAAACTTCTTTGGAGCCTGGGATTCTAGTACTGGTGAGTTTCCACCGGCAGCAGACTCCCTGAAGATTTGCTAGCCCTCTGCAGGGTTGGCAGGCCACTACCACATTTAGTTGGCTCCTAGGGTATGTTCCACACCAGACTTCCCATTGTGGGAAGGCCAAGAGAACTGAAGACACAGTCTCTACTCTGGAGGTGGGGAAGTGGGGGAGGTGGTAATTTAATTAACAGTAGATGGTGGGTGAGGCGACTTGGTAAGGTAAGAGGACACACAAAGGAAGTAACTGCAGTAAACCTTAGCTGGCGGCACAAGTGAGGAGGTGTGCTTGAAAGAGAAATGGAGTGTCTGGAAGTGGGTGAGTATATTCTGGTAGGTGTGACAAAGGCACTGTTCCTCCAACACCAGTCCTGGGAAAGGCATATGATATGGTTTGGCGCTGTGTCCCCAGCCAAATCTCATGAATTATGAGCTTCAGTGTTGGAGGAGGGGCCTGGTGGGAGGTGACTGTATCATGGGGATGAATTTCCCCCTTGTTTTTCTCGTGCTAGTGAGTTCTCATGAGATCTGGTTGTTTAAAAGTGTGTGGAACTGCCCCTTCACTCTCTCTCTTTCCTGCCGCCATGTGAATATGTACTTGTTTCCCCTTTGCCTTCCCCATGATTGTAAGTTTCCTGAGGCCTCCCCAGCCATGCCTCCTGTATAGCCTGCAAAACTGAGTCAATTAAACCTTGTTTCTTTATAAACTATCCACTCTCAAGTAGTTTTTTACAGCAGTGTGAGAACAGACTAATACAACATGGGATCCCAAGTAACTATGCATTCAGAGAAGAAACACAGGTATGTTTGGGAACTGGATGATGGAAGGTACAGGGAAGCACAGTAGGTAACTTTCATGGGTCCTACACTCTACAACATATTCTTGGGGTTGGAATGAGTCAAACAGGAGACTGATGTCCAGGATGGAATTGGCTGTTTATGTTCCCAGGTGTAGGTCTCTTCCTTAACAGATCACGGTACCTTCATTACAAATGGCCTGGGAAGCGTACTTAATGCAGAAACCCCAGCAAATTCTTACAGGGGTTAGTCATGCAGTTATACATTTTCATTCTGGGATTTCTAGGGGCTTAATAAAATTCCTTCATTGGATCATTTAATCCAACATAAATTATTTCCCTACACCTACTTTATACTTGCTCCCTGATTTCATACCAGTGAGTATAGCCTGATGTAACTAAACATTCTGAATTTTCAGTGATACCCAGAGAAGAGTGTGATAACCAATTCTCTCAAAAGCGATTTACTGCAAATATTTTCATTTACAGTAAGTCCTTACTTAACATTGTGGATATGTTCTTGGAAACAGTGACTTTAAGCCAAACGAGGTACTGTGTGGCTTCATAACTCAACTCTTTTTCCTATCAATTAGACTCTGGGAAAATTGGTTTTGTATGCATTATGTCCTTTTGCTTAAAGTGGTAGTTTCCAAGAACCTATCAATGACATTAAGTGAGGACTTCTTGTAATCTGATATCTGCGGGTGGATAATTTAAGGAACACATACATAGTTAAGCCTGTAAACTGCTGTAAGTTCCAGATATTATCAGTTCTATTTCTCCACAATTACAATTCCAGTTTTGGGATTTCTTTTTGCTCATTAAATTTGAAAAGCCAATTCCAGTTTTAAAGCTTGACCCTTTTCTTATAACTTTTTTTATAACTGATAATATATCAGTTATATCAGTTATATTTCTTAGGCTTCCCACGAAACCCTCAAACTGACACTGAGGGTGGCCTTGCTATCTAATTTACAAAACCGGTTATCTTGGTTTGCGTTCATTTTATTTCCCTTGCATACATTGCTTAGCTGCTTCTGATTATATGCCTCTTAGCCACGGCTGGATAGAAAAGTGTAATAAGAGAAAAGTGTAACTAAGAGACACAGAAGAAAGAGAAGTTCCATGAGCACCAGATACTTTTATGGGTGCCTTTTGGAAGCTCTAAATTGAGATGTATCTTTGTTGTCAATTTTTGCTATGAATCCAAATGAAAAATGGCGGGAAAAAAACAAGTAGGCTGTAGATGAAAGTGGAAGAAAAATGAGTCTATATATATATATATATATATATATATATATTACCAGTTGTATGAAAGTATATGAGTCAATATTCCATCAATACCTAGAAAAATAGTAGATCAATATGCTGATTTTAGGGGTGGACACAAAAGTGTTATAAGCGTCTTTTATCTTTTCTTTTTTCCCTCCTTGACTCTGAAGAGAAACACCATTTTTCTATGTATGCAAAGAGTAAAAATTCAGAACTACCACGCAGGGATTAATAGCAGTGAACTGCAAACTCAACTCAGTGGTATAGTACCTGGCAACATTATTACTCAGCATATTTCCCTGGCTGAGGCTGATTTCATTTAAAGTAGTTTTATACTTGTGCTAAAAATAAGTGTACATCCCATTAAGGGAGAAAAGATCCTCTACACAATGGATTGGACCTACATAACCTTATGTACCAGAGAGGAAAACATCATTCTCATGAGTCACAAAGCTTTCTTCTTCTTGTCAGTATGATAAACAGTTTCCGGAAATTGAGAACGACGCTGGTTACTTTCCTTCCTCCTGAACATGCCACACTGAAGAGACAGGGATGACTCCTTCCCTATGGGACAGACACACATGTAGCTTTCCCTGGGTTGTGGAGGAAGGCATGGCCACAACACCATCGGCAGCCTGCTGCAGGGACCTCACGATGAGAGGAAGCAATGGATGCCTGGGCCAGGGAAATGCATATTTGGGAGAAAGCAGGAAATTCTGATGTAGAGATAGGGAAGAACCCTGGGGAAAAGGATCCAAGCTGGGCGGGGAGGAGGAAACCACCAGGATCCCAGGATCAGAGACAAAGGACACAGGGACACAAACAAAGTGAGGCCAGATGGAGAGGGCAGGCTCACGGGGAGAGCAAGCTCACAGGGAGAGCATGAGCCAAACCTGGCTTATTTCACACTCATCAGAGAAACTGCACAGATGGGGCCAAACCAGGGCCCAGGAGCATCGGAGAGAGGAGGGCCATTTCAAAGACTTTTGTAAAATAAGCTCAAAGTTTCTTTGTTTATTTGTGGGTGTGGGAGTGGAAACGTAGGGTAAGTGAAGAGAGTGGGGAAAAAGGGATGGGTGATTTTGTAGGCAAGATGCTCCCTGAGGAGGTCCTGGTGGACCTGCTGTGGGGAGTGGCATTCTGCACACTCTCATATCATGGGGAGCGCATGACTACATTACTGCTTACACATCTCCAAGTGCAGCTTGGGGGGTGAATGTTTAATTGTCTCACTGTAACTGTCTAAATCTCTGGAAAATGTGAAGGGTCATGCATTTGATTTAAACCTATGAGGTCTGAAGGAATTCTCCTCCATGCCTAACTGAGTGAAGCAAGTATATAACCAACCATGCATCCCTAAGCAGGGCCGGTATGAAAGGGAGGAAACGCCTCCCCACTGAGCTCGCAAAGAACTTCATCACTGACCTGAATCAGATCCAGCAGGAAATGAAACACTGAGTACATACTTTTACAGTAGAGGGAGGGGGACGGAAAACAAAGTGAGCTGAACTGAAACGTGAGAAAGAACAGAATGGCAGTGAGTCCACGGGGCAGGGCCGCAGCTTTCTTTTTTCATGGCCCTCAGTCCAGTAACCCCACCCGGCATTCGTAGCGGGTGACATCACTGATGCCCCAAACATGCTCCAGCAATTTCCTGCTTTCCAGAGTCCAGCCGAGCAATGATGTCAGTGGTGCACCTGGGTAAAGATATGGCAGGGCTGGGTCACAGGGAGTGGGGACAAAAGCCAACCCAGTTAAATAAACTGCTGGTCTTCTAGGGCCTGGTCCCTAGGCAGGCTTCCACCATGAGATAGGTATAGCCCAGGCCAATCCCAACAAGAGGAAAAAAAGCATGTACTTGGCCGGGGGCGGTGGCTCACACCTATAATCCCAGCACGTTGGGAGGTTGAGGCGGGTGAATCACGAGGTCAGGAGTTTGAGACCAGCCTGAACAATGTGGTGAAACCCCGTCTCTACTAAAATTGGAAAAAATTAGCTGGGCGTAGTGGTGGCTGCCTGTAATCCCAGCTACTCGGGAAGCTGAGGCAGGAGAATCGCTTGAACCCGGGAGATGGAGGTTGCAGTGAGCCGAGATCACACCACTGCACTCCAGCCCAGGCAACAGAGTAAGACTCTGTCTCAAAAAATAAAAAAAAAAAGAATGCACCCATGCAGTGCCTCCTGTCACCCTCTGCCCAGAAAGGGCACAGGGGCCAGGGTGAAAGAGTTACAGGAAGACAGAGGGAAGGAAACCATGCAGACATAACCACATGGGGGCAGGCCCTAAGCTGCTGGGACCTCCACAGTGTATCCCTTTCCTCCAACTGGGAGACGGAAGCACCGATGGTCTTTCTCTACAGTGCCAGGAGCCACCCTGCCCCCAGAGATGCCCTACAATCAATGACTACCATCTAAATGCTTCTGAATAGTTTCATTCCTTGTAGATGATATTCCAAATACTATAATTTGTACTTCTCCACAATTACAATTCCAGTTTTGGGGTTTCTTTTTACTCATTAAATTTGAAAAGCCAATTCCAGTTTTAAAGCTTGACCCTTTTCTTAAAAGTTTAACTTCTCTTTTTATTCAGGCTTCCCACTAAACCCTCAAACTGACTCTGAGGGTGGCCTGGCTAATTTACAAAACCGGCCAGGCTGCCTAACCCCTAGATTCCAGCCCAGAGTGTTGCCATAAATTGCTGTCAAGACATGCCTCTATGTCCCATGTTTGCCAGTGAGAAAAGGGTTCATATTCTAAGTTCTTCAAGTCTCTCTCACTGCCTCAATGTGAAGTCAATGGAAAACAGTCAAATACACCAAAAATTAACTTCAAATGGATATCTGCTATGAATTCCAACTTGGTTGGACACTTCTCCAGGCCAACTGTTGTGAAAATGCATTGTTGTTTTAAAAAACACTGTGAGAGATGGCTGGGCACGGTGGCTTACTTGAAGTCAGGAGTTTGAGAACAGCCCAGCCAATATGGTGAGACCCCAGTCTCTATGAAAAATATAAAAATTGAGCCAGATATGGTGGCTTGCACTTGTAGTCCACGCTACTTGGGAGGCTGAGGCAGGAGTATCACTTGAACCTGGAAGGCGGAGGTTGCAGTGAGCCGAGATCATGCTACTGCACTCCAGCCTGGGTGACAGAGCAATACTCTGTCTCAAAAAAAAAAAAAAAAAAAAAGAGCGAGAGAAAACACTGTGAGAAGAACGAAGTCAATCACCCCCTCTCCAATGCCCAACACAGTAAGCAAGAAGGGCCCAGGAACAAATTAACAGGGAAAAACAATCTTGCATTTGCTTAGTGGAATCTGGGGTTTGCACACATTAGTCAGAGCTAGACAAATCATACTGAATACACTTCTTATAGAAACATTCTAGCTCTTATGGCCTTTCCTTGCTGTCCCAACTTTTGAGGTGCGAAAACACAGCAACACAGCCAGGACCGGCCAGGTGACGGCACGGAGCCCGCTCCCACAGGCTGCGTGTGTGTTCTCACTCTCTTGCAAGTGGCCTGAGTTAAGCCTTCTCCCCAAGCACTTGCAGTTTATCATCGCCCTATTTACTGTATTTTCATGTTATAAAAGTGATATACACCCAACGTAGTAATTTGATCTATACAAAAAAGAGAAGAAAAAAAGCTACTTATAATATCACTGTCTAATTTAAGGTTTTGGTGTAGTCTTTCTAGTCTTTTTCTATATGGAATGTAATTTACTTCTCAAAAATATCATTTCATATACTTTGCTTACATATTAGCATTTTTGTCATGAAATTTATGCCAACTGATTAAACGGCCCTTGTAAATTACAGAAACTTAAAGACAATATCAAAACAATGTGACCACAAGACAAAGACCACCTACTACTAAATTATTTTTGGCATGAGATTACTTTTTGAGAAGTTTTATAAACTATTAGGTTTATTGAACACTATAAACTGTAATCCTTGAAAGAATTTTGGAAGCATACTATAACAGGGTAATTTGTAGTAGAATATAGGGTTGGAAAACCTTAAAAAACAACTTGCTCATTTCTTCCTATATCAAAGATTTGTATTAGAAAATCTATTTCTTACAAAAAGATGTACTAAGTGGTATTATGTCAGTCAAGCATCTTGTATTATTTTCTAGCTTTCAATAATATGTATAATGTCATAAAAAAGAGGGAAGAATACACAAAATACATATGAAGCTTACTAGGAATGAAGAAAGTTATTTTAGGAAGGAAAAATTGGTTACCATCAAGGAATATGGAAAACACTAGCAATGCATGTAAGAATGACCTCAAAGGTCTTAGACGTCCACGAGCTGGGAATGCTTGTGCTGGGTGCTTCAGTTACAACAGCATGGGGAAGTTAAATAGACTAGTGAAGCTGTTACACCAGTTAATAGTATTTATTATTATTTGTGGTCACCAATGCCAATTAAAACAATAATTAAATAGAACATGATGAAATAATTCAATGGTAGGAAAAAAAATCTGGCCTACAAGTGAACATGGAAAGTAAAAGTAAATATTTAGAAAGTGAAATCAGGAGTGGAAAAAAGCTCCAGCATCTCACCATGGGGTCTTCCAAAGCCAGCAATACTGGAGATGTTTATTGTTCAAAGATGGACTTGCTTGGGTTGGGATTCTCCAACTAGAGCCAGAGAGGAGATTCTCTGCTTCCCTTGAGGACACAACAAGAGAGGCTTTCTTATAAAGCCTGCCACATTCTGTGCCTGTATTGTTTTATTTACTGGAGTCTATCATAAGGCCTGTGAGGAAAGGACTGAATCTCTTTCTCATAGCCGTTGGGCTGATGGCCCTGCGTGCTGTAGGCATTTAATAATTCACTGAGTAAATGAATGAACCCTGCAGGAGATTGGGAGCCTTTCTGATCTTGAGGTCTCAGTTTGGACTATCTTTCTGGAGTGGATAGACGAATATGTTTTTCAGCAGCACTCTAATAAGCGCACATTGGGTGACTAAGCAGAAGAGTGATTCGTTTTGCTAGAATTTTCCCACCTGCAGGAGCCAGTCCCCCTGGTGTCCCCATTCCCTGTCCCCTCAGTCATCTCAGCAGGAAATTACTATCCTGTCTCCCACATGGGTGATGAATGTTCAAGGCATTTCAGCAGACTGTGGTAAGGCCCAGAATGGGTTCAAGTAAAAGTAAATACCAGTCCTTATTAGGAGATCCTGGCCCCTCTGATGCATGTGTCCCACTACACATGCAGCTTCCTGCTCTGTCATAGAAAGCAGCCCTCTAGGGCCACCGCCTCCAGTGAGAGTTTCCTGACCTCCAGGAACTTCTGTAGTCAGGCACCACTCCCTTCCCTCACACCCCACACCCGATTGTTCCAGATTTCATCACTGTGCACTGATGCTCACTGCGACCCCACATGTGGCCACAGGAGGAACTCGGCTGAGGGCTGAGAAGACCAGATAATGACACAGAGGGCTCACTTCAGGAAACCCAGAGAGCTGCAGCGGCTCCTCCAGGGCCATTCCACGCATTCATTTTCTAACAAGTCATAAGTCAAAGAGTGACATCAGGAGCGGACAGCCTGGTGTCCAGGCATGAGCCATGGCAACAGATTCTGATTTCCCAGAACGGCTTTGGTCTTTACCTGATGTTGGATATGGTAGTGTTAGCTGGAGTGGGAGGAGATTCACATTGTATATTTGTTTAGTGACTCCAAAGATTTTAAATTATATTGTGTTTTTTATTATTTTATTCCATTTTTTTAGAGACAGAGGTCTCACTCTATCTCCCAGGCTGGAGTGCAATGATATGATCATAGGTCAGTGTAGCCTCAAACTCCTGGGCTCAAGTAATCCTCCCATTTCAGCCTCCTGAGTAGCTGGGACTCCAGGTGTGTGCCATGACTCCTGGCTAATTTTGGTTTAAGTAGAGACACAGTCTGGCTATGTTGCCCAGGCTGGTCTTGAACTCCTGGCCTGAAGCAATCCTTCTACCTTGGCTTCCAAAAGTGCTTGGATTGTAAGTGTGAACCACTGTGTGGGCCCTGGTTTTTGTTTAATGGCTATTAAATGCTCAGAAGTGAATTAAGGTTGCAGTTAAATGCACAATTTTTATATCAAACTATTTTCTTTGCTAATTCACTTCTATCTGCGTCTACCAGCTGTAAACTACCTGAAGCAGAGAAAGCTTCTTTAGGTTGGGGCTTCCTGTAGCCCCGAGCTGAGTGCCTTATGCAGCATTGGCCGAGTGAATGAATTTGTTGGGTGAACTGCTGCGGGGTTTAGAGTCCGCAGAGGGTAGGACAGAACAGATCGTGATCGAGGCTAACCTTCTCATCTACTCTACCATTTCATGCTCTGTTTGGGCACCTCCGTCACCCCTCACTTCCCCTGATGGTCCAGTCTCTCTGGGCCTGCACTGTCCAGCCACCCTCTTATCCCTAAGCCAAGGCCTTTGCCAACTAAAGCTCAGGAGTAAAGTGGCCATCACTGAGGCCATTCTATGTATGTATGTATGTATGTATGTATTTAGAGATGGAGTCTTGCTCTGTCACCCGGGCTGAAGCACAATGGCGCAGTCTTGGCTTACTGCAACCTCTGCCTCCCAGGTTCAAGCAATTCTCCTGCCTCAGCCTCCCGAGTAGCTGGAATTACAGGTGCCCGCCACCATGCCCAGCAAATTTTTGTATTTTTAGTAGAGATGGGGTTTCACCCTTTTGGCCAGGCAGGTCTCCAACTCCTGACCTTGTGATCCGCCCAACTTGGCCTCCCAAAGTGCTGGGATTACAGGCGTGAGCCACTGCACCCGGCTGACTGAGGCCATTCTAAGGAATATACAGCAAGCTCTTCAGTACCCATTTTTAACTGAGGTATAACTAAATGATACACAGGCCCAGCACAGTGGCACGAACCTATAGTCACAGCAACTTGGGAAGCTGAGGTGGGAGGATTGCTTGAGATCAGGAGTTTGAGTCCAGCCTGGGCAACACACGTGTATAGGTCTATGAGTCTGGAAGAATGTATATAGCCATGGAATCACTACCATGTCAAAACATAGGATATTTCCATTATCCCAAAAAGTTCCCTCCTGCCCCTCTGCAGTCAAACACTTCCCTCCCCCAACTCCTGGCAACTGCTGATCTGAACTGTAGACCTGAAAATGTCATTCAGAACCCATTTCATCTGGACCCTTCTCTCTGTGTCAACATTGCTGTGAGCGGTGTCTGTGGGATTTTTCTGGACGTTCTCTGCCATGCCCCTGCTCCTTCCTTCCTGCCTTCTGGAAGGCACCCCTGCCAGGAGTCGGCTGCATTAAAGTGGGTGTTTCAGGGGTGTCTTCCTTTACTCTCTTCTCACTGATTTCCAGCTATCCCTGTGTCTCTTGTTTAATGAGTGCCTTCACCCATATCCTTAAACCCACCAGGGCGACCTTCCTTCCCCTTTCTTTGGAGAGCTGTATCTGTATTTCCAGTGGAGACACAGACTGTTCCTTAGATCCTATTAACCCTCTGAGCTCTCTCTCTTCAAGCCAGGCTCATTTCTGGCTTGGCCAATCTGCCTCCTCCCGTGTCCTTTCCATGACACGGTGATGGCATCACCAGCCAGTCACCAAGCTAGAACAGTCCCTTCACCCGGCCCCTACTGTAGGAGGATACTTTTAGAGTATGTCTGCAATTCACCCCCACTCTCCGTATCTACTTCTGTGGCCAAAGTGCAGACCTTGATTTCCTCTGGCCCCAGCTGAATTAACCCACCTATCTGGGCCTGGTTCTCTTTTCACTAAACATTCTCCACATTGCTGCCAGAGCTATTTTTCTAAAATACACATCAGACCACATTCTTCTCCTCCTTATTTAAAAACAAAAAATCAAAAAAATAAAAAACCAAGAAACAAACAAAAAACCCACCCTACCGTGGCTCCTCAGTGTGTAGAGATCAGACTCAAGTTCCGTGAGATGGTCTTCAAGATCCTTGGCCATGTGACCCCGTCCTGCTATCCCAATCCCATTCCCATTCCCATCCCCAGCCTCCCCACCTCATCCAACTCCAGCCACATTGGATCACCCCAGGAGAGGATGTCATGTATTAGTACTCTGGTGCCTTTGAGTCAAAACTCACTGTTTTGCCAGTTCAGAGGTTGAGCCCTTTTTGAAGAATCCCCTCTTCTTCCACAGCCCAGGTAAGTTCTACCCCAGGCATAATGAGCTGTTATCCCCCTGGGATCTGAGGGCATTCAGAATACCAACACAATGCTCTCCAGATACCTCTATGCTATTCAAATCCATGCATCTCACACCTGCTCATCTTAAAATCTCTGTGCCTCACATGCAGGAAGAATTCAAATGATGCTGATTGAAAAAACATTGTGTCCAATATTAGATGAAGTATGTAAATATCAAGGCAAGAATCTGCACTTTTTGTCTGTCTATTGCTTGTTTGCACAATAGAGCCACATGGTTTATTATAAAAAATTATTATAATGTATGCTGTTTAAGCTCAGATCACTTTGCACTAATGATGATGATAATGATGGGTTAGAATTTTTTTTCTTTTCTTGCCATGGGATCTGCCAGGTTTTAAGAATTCTTTTTTATTCTAAACCAAATTCAGGAGCACTCCCAAAGACAAGAAATCAAATTTAGGCCACTGATGGTACCAATGGAAGGCTATCACTGTGTAGCTATACCAAATGAAGCCAATCTTCATGGATTTTAAGCACTTTGATAAGCTTTTATATCTCTGCTCATCTCCTTTACCTCCATAGATAACACAAAATAACAGAATAATCAACCAATAGCAACATAATCCCATCACAACAACATCAAAAATGAGAATTCATATGATTCAGTAATTTCCTAAGCCAGAACTTCCCACCTGATGTGCTGGGGAAGTGAGAGGGTGAGGACTGCTTTCCCCAGCCCTTGTGGTGACTGGGCAGATCCTGTCTGGTGTGAGCATTCAACCCTACTGATTACATCATTTTGGGTGCTATGTGTGATAAAGGTTGACAACCACTGTCCTAAGCCATTCTACCATTTAAATAGACTGAATTCTCCCAAGTTATGTTCTTACTTGCCTTAGGAAGGAAATTAGTATTATGACTCTAAGGATCCTGAACACATGATCTAAAAAAAGAAAAACCCAAACCACAATGGCAAAGGTAGGTGAGACAGAGTGTTTAGAAAAATAGCGAATACTGTACTATTAATTACTCCCAATTCTCCCTAATCCATGATTTTTAAAGAGCGGGTGGAGCATAACGATTTGAGGCACTGCGACAATGCAGAATGGGGAGGGATTTTGGAAAATGTGACTCACTCACCGTTCCGACCAAAGGGTAAATGAACCCAGCACCTATGCTGGCCCGGACATCACTGATAGGTAAGATGAAGTCCCTTGGCACACCTTTTTTGTCAGGTTGGTGAGACAGAGAAAGATCGGTCTTTGCCATGCAGATGGGCAAATTTCCAAAACCCTGTAAGAAAGGAAAGAAAATGTGTTCACTGATATAGATGTGAGTCTCCTGTGTTCTTCAATTTGCACTTTATACAGTCTCGGCAGCAATGGTATGCCAGCTCAGATCGAGGCACACGCAGGAGCTGCTTGTTACTACTTGTTCACTGAAGAAGCAAGAAGGTGAGGATAAAAACTCATCTCCATGTGATGACTGTTTAGTAGGTCAAGGGTGACTATTGTTTATTTTGGAGGTCTCGTTAAGAGAAGGCAGTGTTATGTGCATGTTTGGGAAAAGCATTGCTATTTTCAGGCAAAGCAGCAGCTGTAGAAACCGCTTTCCAAGACTATTAATATCTGGGACCCAGCAAGGTAATCTGGAGAAAGGCTCTGCGACTAGGCTCTTAGTTATGTTGTTCACTCATTCTGGAGTCAGTCAAGAAGCAAAGGGTTCCTTTGTGTTGGTTTATGAATCATGGTTATTTGATCTGCAACTACATTACAAGAACTAAGATGAGGTCACTATTTAAGCTTCTTGTTTTTAAGGACCAAAGTCTATGTCTGACCCAGAGTTCCAAAGGTGAAAGATCAGGAAGTCACATGTGGTGTCTCACAAAAAGCACAGTGTCCTCTAAGCCTGTTTCTGATTAAATGGCACACAGTGTTCCTTTAGAGGCTTTGCTAATTCATTGCAACCACATACTTGGCACTAACTTTTAAAAAAATAAAAATAGAGATGGAGGTTTTGCTATGTTGCTCAGAGTGGTCTCAACTCCTGGCTTCAACTGATCCTCTGCCTTGCCCCAACAAAGTGCTGGGATTACAGGTGTGAGCACCATGCCTGGTTGACACGAGTTTTAAGGAGTATTTCCTTGATAGAGATAAAGGGAATGAAATCTTTAGTCAAATTTTCATAAGACTTAGCCTAAAACTATTTGGAAGATCTTAGAGTCTTATCAACTTAGGGAGGACTTGGGCTTGGGGCCATTTTCTTTTTGAAATCTCCACTCTTCTATACTGATAAGAATTTTGCTGAGTGAGAATCACAACTGCCTTTCAGAATGGTGCCAGAATTTTGAATTTCAGACATGGTTAAATATTAAAGTAATTTCTATAGGTTTGCTAATGTAAAAATTTTGTCAGTAGGCATATTAAAAAGAAACAGAAACCAACCAGTATGCTATATACTGTCACCACATTACTTCATAAAAGAAATAACATTTTAACACTGAAAGGAGAAAAGACTTAATATTACAATAAATGATAGTCTTAAATATCATTATTAAAAACTCAGGGGAAAAAAAAACAAAGCAACCTCATGAGAATGACCTTATTTTACTTGGTTCATTGCACATGAATGAAAACTTCACCACAATGCCTAGGCACAGAGCAGTGCTTGGGAATCCTTTTTGTAAAGGGTAAGCCAAGAACATCAGGGAAAATTTTAAGAATTTAGAACTTTCTGAGTTCCTATTTTACCAAACCTAGGAGAACAAATACCCTGGCTGGCAATGGTAGCATTTAACAAAATTTCAAATGGGTTTACAAAAAAGAATAAGGAGTTGGAGATTGTTTTTAAAGATAAGGTCAACACTACCAATCATGAAGCTCTTTAGCCAGCAGGCTCTTAAAATGTTCTGACTTCTATCTATCTGATTACACCAAAGTAGGAGGGACACTGGAGGCACATGGTCCTTTTGGTAAAAGGTGGCTGAGCCTCCTGTAATGGAGTTGATTCATCATGACTGTCACTGGACTAGGTGATGACACATGCTGTCAGATCATAGCCACCTTCCCAGCTGTTTGCCTACTTGCCTTTCTCAGTGGCTAGAGGTAGAAGATGATGGAGCCTTCAACCTCAGTGGACCAGCTCAGTAAAAAGCCAATGAACCGCTTGCATAAGAACAGCAAACGTTCCCATCTTTATAGGTTGCACTCCTATCTGCCTACCCTGGCACCTTGCTAGCATTTTTAAGGTAGTAAGAGGCCTGTAAGGAAGAGGAAGCATTGCAATTCATGTAAATCTGACTCCGCAGCTCTACTCCAAAGGATAGTTTCAACATTCTGGGCTGAGTGGGAGGGATGAAAGATCACACATCACCTACAAACAGGGATACCACCCATATCAGACACATTTATAGTCACAGAAGTAAATGGTGCATGGATCAGAGGATACATGCCTCACCATAAAGTTCTAAATATAGTGTACACTCTACCCGAGGATATTGCTTTCATCTTTGTTAATCAGAAAATAGATTAAGCAGAGGTTAGCTGGTGAGACATGTACAAATCCTCAAGTCAAGCTGAGTATTCTGAGAGCCTAAGGTGAATTTTTTCTTTTCCCCTAAAATTACAACTTTTACCTGCTGAGTGTAACGATCTATTTTGACTTGTGCCTCAGGACAGAGTTCGATATCTTTGGCTCCATAGACAGCCTGGGCAATGGTCCTTATCTTGTCCACAATTGGAAGCTGCAGAAACACAAATTATAACAAAATTGTGTAAGTTTAATCTGGTTAAAGATTTTTTAAAAAGTTTAGTGACACTTACTATAATTGCTTAAAATTCCCTTATCAGGGTCCCCCTCAGCAACTGCAGGATTCCTTGCAAACCCTCTTTTTTCCTTTTAGCACCCTAAAGCACTGAAATTTTCAGTGTCAGAATAGATCAGATGTCAACTAGCAAATAAGCCTTAGGTGTTCAGGCAATTTAGAGGCTGCTTAGAGCCCACGTAGAATCTGCAGAGGGAGGCCGGGCACAGTGGCTCACACCTATAATCCCAGTACTTTGGGAGGCCGAGGCGGGTGGATTACCTGAGGTCAGGAGTTCGAAACCAGCCTGACCAATATGGTGACACCCTGTCTTTACTAAAAATCCAAAAAAACTAGCTGGGCTTGGTGGTGCATGCCTGTAATCCCAGCTACTTGGGAGGCTGAGGCAGGAGAATCACTTGAACTGGGTGGCAGAGACTGTGGTGAGACAAGATTGTGCCACTGCACTCCAGCCTGGGTGGAGTGGGACTCCGTCTCAAAAAAAAAAAAAAAAAATCTGCAGAGGGAAGAGGGAAGTTAGTGCCTTACAGAGGGCTTCTGACTAGGAAGCCCCGGAACTGCGGCCGACCCCTTCCTCTCCCTGCCTCACCCCTGCAGAAAGATCTGCAGAAAAAGCTGGAAGGGGTGGGATGGTGTGTGTGGGGGTGGGGACTGGGGCTATGCAGTTTCCAGACCTGGTCTTTGGCACCCTCTACAGGACAGTTCCATTCCCACACCTGAGCTTTGGACAACTGAATCCTATGCCCCTTCCCACCCATGGAACCTGGTGCCAGAAATTCCCAGGACTTACCCACCATCCACCACGCCACATAGCAAGTGTCCTCAGTGTCTGCAGACCAGAAACAACTCCCTTGTGTCTCAGCACTGGGCCACCTGCTGAAACCCCAAACTGCCTGCCCCATTGTTTGAGACCCAGTCAGGCCTTGGCTCCAAAAGTCCTCTTGGACTGCCGCTGGCCCCCAGGGCCTCTCCTGACTGCACCTCGGTCCCGGAGCTCCCACGCCGCTGGGCCCCGAGCCCCATGCCCCGATCCAGCTGTGGCTCCTTTACGGGGGCCTTGCTGGCCTTTCCTAAGGGAGGTGTTTTCCCGAGGGCAGGTGGACTGCTCCTCAGACTAGGGGCCCTCGGAGGGCCAGGCCTGGGCTTCTACCTCCTCTCGCAGGCTGGTGTCTCTCTGCAAATATGGCTCGTGTGTCCTCCTTCCTCTCAGACTGGGGGCCCCTGAGGACTGGGCCTGAGTTTCCCTCTCCCCCTTCAGAATGGGGTTCCCTGAGGACTGACCCAGGGCCTCCCGCCGTCCCCTCCATCTGGCTGTTAATCTCCAACACTTCCACCTCCAGTCCTATTCTGCACAGCTCTCCCCAGCGCTGGGGGTTCAGAGGCCTCTTCAGCCTTCCCCAGGGCTGGGGCTCAGGGAGGGCTTCCTCAGGCGCTGGCCCCAGAGTCAGGCTGCACATTGGCTTGGAGGACAGGCCTTTCCTCTGGGACTGTGAGGCCCAGAGTGCCCACCCAGAACTCCACCTCTGACCTCACAAAGGCCTGCTTCAGAACTCGGTCTCCACGGCACTGCTGGCCAGATGAGGGATGTTATTTTGGGCAGTGCATCTGGACTTGGTTCAAGTGGCACCAGCCAAATCCCTGCCTTACTGACCTCTCCCCTGGAGGAGCAGGAGCAGCACTCGAGGCCGCCCTGGGAGGGCTGAGAGGCAGGCTCTGGACTGGGGACACAGGGATAGCTGAGCCCCAGCTGGGGGTGGAAGCTGAGACAGGGACAGTCACAGAGGAACAAGATCAAGATGCGCTTTAACTGAGAAGCCCCCAAGGCAGAGGCTGAGAATCAGAAGACATTTCAGCAGAGTGAGTGGGGCTCCAGGCAGGGTGGGGATGGGACAGCCTCCTCAGTGCCCAGATCTGGAAGGGCCATTCGCTGGGTACCATACAGCGAGGAGGTGACTGAGGGATTGTTTGGGGAAGGAGCCCCGGCTGGGAGTGGAAGTCCCAGCTTTCTTGTTATGGTGCAGTCCTGTGTTGCTGTGTGACACAGGCACATACACCTTCTCTCTGGGCCTCAGTTTCCTTACCTGTAAGTTGGTTGTTGGGAGGACCAGTGGCAGAGCAGAGATGGCAGGGATGCACTGGGCTGGGCTGTCAGCAGACCATGGGGGTGGGACGAGGAGAGAGCTGAAGACCACCAGCAGTGGACCACAGCGGGAGGCGTGCAGGCAGGAGACGGGTCAGCTGCCGGCTTGCTGGAGTCATTCCTCCCACGCAGTCCCCTCCTGAGGGGCTGGAGCTGGGGCTGGAGGGTTTCAGCAGTCAGGGCTGGAGATAAGAGTCTGTGCTGGAGCTAGAGGGAACTGGGCTAGAGAATCAGGAGGACAGACAGGGTGAGGGGACTTCGGGCTACCTTCATGCTGTCAGTTAGAGATAAAGATAAGAGTACAAAGGGGAATTTTTGGGTGAGGTACACGGGTGAAATGAGTTTTCAGGGCCTCATCCTGTGTGTTCACCTTATGTGTGTGTGTGTGTGTGTGTGTGTGTGTGCATGCGTGCATGTGTGTGTGTGTGCAGGTCCTGGACAGTCACAGCTTAAGTTAGCAGCAAGAGGGCTTGAGGTTAAAGGTATAGCACGCAAATATGAGGCTGGAGCCACTGAGTAGAGGCTGAGGGCATCTCCACAGTCCAAAGCTGGGCTGCAGACAGGGAAGGTCAGCAGGAGCACTGGAGGGTCTGGCCTGGGGCTGGGGTCCTGGGGCCAGCATGGGTGGGGTGGGGCTCCAGGGTGTCGCCTCATTGGCTGAGCACCGCTCCTCCCTCCCTGTTGCTTGGCTGGGTTAAGGGAGTGGCACTAGCAGGAGCTGCCCCAGGGCTTCTCCCCTGGGGACCAAGGTCTGATGGAAGTGTGGGGCCAAGTTCTGTGTCCTCCAGCCCTAGTGACCTCTCTTTGGCTCCTCAGCATCTACAAATCTGAAGGACAAAACATGGTTCAAGCATCTGGGCACAGGCGGTAAGTACCCCACCCTCTTCTCACCCTCCAGCCCCCTGTCCTCCACCCAGCCCACTTCAGTGCCCTCCCTGCTCCATCCTCAGCCTCTCCCTTGGGGCAGCTGTCCCCCCTCGACCTCCTCCTCCCCACCCACCCACTCGTCTCTGAGGTCCCAGAAGAAAAGCATCTTCCACCTGTTGCCTGGGCTGGGTCCTGGGGTGAGGGGAGGCTCAGAAATACTTGGATGAGGGTCAAGGCATGCAGGTGGCCTTCAACTCAACTGCACTCAGCACCTCTCACCCTCTCAGGCTCAGCTGTCTTTGGGGTGAAAAAGAGCCAGTCCTTGCAATGGCCAAGGCCCTGCCTATGTAGTCCTTGTTAGCTTTCTGGCCTCCCCACTCCAGCCCCCTGCTCTCCCTCCTCCAGCCACACTGAGTTTCTTTTCTGTTTTTTTTTTCTTTTTTTTTTTTTTTTTGAGATGGAATCCAGTTCTGTTGCCCAGGCTGGAGTGCAATGGCACGATCTTGGGTCACTGCAACCTCCTTCTCCCGGGTTCAAGCGATTCTCTTGCCTCAGCCTCCTGAGTAGCTGGGATTACAGGATTACAGGCACACGCTACCATGCCCAGCTAATTAGTTTTTTTTTTTTTTTTTGTATTTTTAGTAGAAATGGGGTTTCGCCATGTTCACCAGGCTGTTCTTGAACTCCTGACCTCAGGTGATCCACCCGCCTCGGCCTCCCAAAAGGTTGGGATTACAGGTGTGAGCCACTGCACCTGGCCTCACACTGACTTTCTTTGCTTTCTTCAAACATGCTGAGAGTCCTCTGGTGACTATTCCCTCCATCTGAGAGGCTTTCTGCAGTTAACATACAGCCCACTCTCATCTCCTTCATGGCTTTGCTCCAAGGCCACCTTCTCAACAAGGATTACTCTGACTGCCCTATTTGAAATCACACCCCATCTCCAGCCCCTGCACTCCCAATTCCCCTCCCCTTGCTCTGTTTTTTTCCATAGGAGCTGGTACCTTCGCTTATACAAAGGTACTTACTTATTACATTTCATTGCTGTCAGCTCCACACAAGCAGGGATATTTGCCTGTTGTACACTTGGACGGAGAGAATGAATAGTGCCCCTCTGTTGACATCATTGCCTCTAGCCTACATCTCTTTCCAGGGCTTTAGATCCTGTTTCTAGAGACCCACTTGTGTCTCACAGGCAACTCAGCTCCTAGATGGAAACAGCTTCCTCCGCCCCCCACAAGTCCACTCCTCCTGTGCTCTTGGCTCAGTCAGGGGTCCCCTTATCTTCAGTTGCTCAAGCCAGAAGTCAAGGTCATGTCCTTGATACTTCCCTCTCCCCCATGCCTCACATCCAGTCACCAATCTCCTAAAATATCTAGAATGTGCACAGCTTCCACCATTCTTTCTACCACCACCCTACTCCTCCATGGCCATGTCAGGCCACCACCCGCCCATTCTTCAAAACTCCCTTCAGGCCTCACCTCCCATGCCTCCCCTGAGTTCCCCCAGTCCCAGGCTGCTTCTCTCTGGTGGTGTTGCCATTACCCATCTCTTCTATTAAACAGAATGACCCAAGAGTGGAGAGTGGGTTTTGACTTTGTATCCCTGGTGCTTGACTCATAAGTAGGTGCTCAACAAAAATTTTTTCTTTTTTTGAGATGGAGTCTTGTTCTGTTGCCCATGCTGGAGTGCAGTGGCATGATCTCGGCTCACTGCAACTTCTGCTTCTTGGGCTCAAGCAATTCTCACATCTCAGCCCCCACCCCAGCTGGTATTACAGGCGCCTGCCACCACGACCAGCTAATTTTTTTTTTTATTTTTAGTGGAAATGGGGTTCTGCCATGTTGGCCAGGCTGGTCTTGAACTCCTGACCTCAAGTGATCCACCTGCCTCGGCCTCCTGAAGTGTTGGGATTACAGGCATGAGTCACCATGCCTGGCCAACAAATGTTTGTTGAATGAAGAAATGTTGGTTAGCAGGTTGAATTGTTGGCTCGTGGTTAGTTGGATAGTTTATGGTTGACTGGTTGATTAGATAATTCAATGAGTTAATAGCTGGTTAACAGGAGAATCAGTTAGTTGGTTTTTGATAGGTTAGTCAAAGGGTTAGTAAGCCACCGGGCATAGTGGCTCATGCCTGAAATCCCTGCACCTTGGGAGGCTGAGGCTGGAGGATTGCTTGAGTCCAGGAGTTTGGGACCAGCTTGGGTAACATGGCAAAACCCCATCTCTACAAAAAATAGGAAAAAATAGCCGGTCAAGGTGGCATGCTCCTGTAGTCCCAACTACTTGGGAGGCTGAGGTGGGAGGATCACTTGAACCCTGGGAAGTCTAGGCTTCAGTGAGCTGTGACTGTGCCACTGCACTTCAGCCTGGGTGACAGAGTGAGACCCTGTCTCAAAAAAAAAAAAAAAAAAAAAAAGAAAAGAAAAAGAAAAGAAACAGGCATTAGTGAGTTGTTAGCTATTTAGTTCCTTGGTTAACAGATAACTTAGGGGATCTGGTTGGCTGTCAGTTTCTTGCTTTGTAGGCTGGCTTTCTTGGGCCCCTCTTCTTAGTCTGTACCCTCTCCTTGAGCTCTCTCATCTATGCCCATGGCTCAGATGACCATCTGTGATTTGCTGTCCTCCAAATGTGTCTGTAAGTGAGACCACATGACCAGCTGCCTCCTCACTGGCCATCCCACCCAAGTGTCTAGCGGGCTCCTCACACTCAACATGTCCAGAAAGGGCCTCCTTGTCCATTCTTCCACAGCTTCTCTGCTGTGCCCCACGCTAGTCATTCCGCTGCCCTAGCCAGGACCTGAGGGCATCGCTGAGCTGCCCCGCTCCCTTCCCTCTCTAACCAAACACCAAGCCTGTCAGCTTGACTGTGCTCTTGTGGCCATTGGCACTGCCATCTCTGTGGCTCAGGCTGCCACCACTTCTCCACCCATCTGTGGAGAAGCTGATGCTCACCCTGCCTCCACTCCACTTCCTCCATCCTGGCCTCCACAGGGGAGGCAGCTCTCCTGCTGAAATCCTCCACTTGGCCCATGGCCCTCTGGTAGAGTTCAGACTCCCTAATGTGGGCCATGAGGCCTTCTGCCACCTGGCCCTGGCCCCTCTCTGCCCATCTCATGCCACCTCCACTCCTCCGTGGCCAGCCCATTCCTGCACATTGGATACTGTCTTAGTTGCAGGCCTTTGCACATGCCAGTCCTACACCCAGAGTGATCCCTGCCTCCCTGGAGGCTCCTTTACCCTCCAGCCTTCTTTTCTTGACCTAAATTTCCCTTTCTCTGGGAGCCTCCTACCCCCTCCTCTAGGCCATTCACTTCCTCCACATGCCCCACGGTGCCCACTCTTTCAGCTGGGGCAATGCTCATCACACTGCATAGTAATTGCTCAATTGATTGCTTTTCTTCCCACGGGCTGGATTGTACCAGTGTCCTTTACTGAAGTGACTGAACATTCTAGGCACAGTAGATTCAAGAAATCTTGAGTTCATTGGCTGGTTGGTGGTTATCTGTTGCTTACTGTGTCTTGCCTGCTGTGTGGTGATGAGGAAGGAGCCAGGCTTCCAGGATTCTCTTGGTGTTCTTGTATTTCTGCTCTGTCCACTTCTCTCTCCTCTTCTGTGGTTACCTCCAGCATGGGAGGTGGGGTTGGATGGGAGCCAGTGGAGGGTCACCTCACCCTGCTAGGGAGAGCAGCAGTATTCCTCAGGGCTCCTAAATTCCCCTGACCTCACAGCAGCAAAAAGTAAGCAGAGGGAATGAGAGACGTCCAGGCATGGAATAAAACATCTTCCACTTTTCAGCTGAGACCCTCTGTTCATAGCTCACCCAGCCCAGTCCTTGCTCTATTCCTTACCCCAGAGAAACAAAACCAGGGATGAGTAGATGGAGGGGGATGCAGAGTTGTGCGGATATTCCACTGGCCCCATCCAACTCCAGCTCCCATGTAGCATCGTATAGGGGTCTCATTATCACATGACCAGCCTCCTCAGCCCTGAAGAAGAGACCCTACCAATGCAAGCAGCAGCCCAAAGACAGTCCTGGGAAGGTACCATAGAGGCAGGGGAGAGGTAGACAGAGCAGGGAGCCAAGAACACCAAGAGAATCCTGGAAGCCTGGCTCCTTTCTCATCAGCACAGAGCAGGCAACAACCAGCCAAGGAACCAAAGATTTATTGAATCTACTGTGCCTACTATGTTCAGGCACTGCAGTGAAGCAAACTGGTATGATCCCAGCCCTTAGGAAGAAAAACCGTTAATTAATTAAGCTTTTTTTTTTTTTTTTTTTTTTTTTGAGACAGGGTGTCGCTCTGTCACCCACGCTGGAGTGCAGTGGTGTGATCTCAGCTCACTGCAACCTCTGCCTTCTGGGCTCAGGCAATCCTCTCACATCAGCCTCTCCATTAGCTGGGACCACAGGCGTACACCACAACACCTGACTAATTTTTGTATTTTTTTTTTTTGTAGAGATGAGGTTTTGTCATACTGCCCAGGCTGGTCTTGAACTCCTGGGCTCAAGCGATCAGCTCGCCTCGGCAAGTGCTGGGATTACAGGCGTGAGACACTGTGCCTGGCCTAACTGAGCAATTACTATGCAGTGTGATGAGCATTGCCCCAGCTGAAAGAGTGGGCACCGTGTGGCATGTGGAAGAAGTGAATGGCCTAGAGGAGAGGGTAGGAGGCTCTCCCAGAGAAAGGGAAATTTAGGTCAAGAAAAGAAGGCTGGCGGGTAAAGGAGCCTCTGGGGAGGCAGGGGACCATTCTCGGTGTAGGACTGGCATGTGCAAAGGCCTGCAGCTAAGGCAGTACGTGATGTGCAAGGATGGGCTGGCCAGAGGAGTTGAGGGGTTGGTGTCAGCTTCCGGGCATGCAGACAGTGAGATAGCAGAGTGACTAAGGCCATACTTAGAGGTATCTGTATCCCTCTTCTTCCTCTTTTTTTTTTTTTTTTTTTTGAGATGGAGTCTCGCTCTTGTTGCCCAGGCTGGAGTGCAGTGGCAAGATCTCGGCTCACCACAACCTCCATCTCCCATGTTCAAGTGATTCTCCTGCCTCAGCCTCCGAAGTAGCTGGGATTACAAGCATGCGCCACCATGCCTGGCTAATTTTGTATTTTTTAGTAGAGATGGGGTTTCTCTATGTTGGTCAGGCTGGTCTCGAACTCCCGACCTCAGGTGATCTGCCCACCTTGGCCTCCCAAAGTGCTGGGATTATAGGCGTGAGCTACCGGGCCCAGCCCCTCTTCTTCCTCTTTATCCTCCAGTCCCACCCCGCCACCTTCCCCAAACTCCAGTCCTATACCTCTCCCTATACGCAGATTTGGGACATGTTACTCACCTGTTTCATCTACCTTTCCATCTAACCGTGCACTTAACTAAATATAAATCAAGTGCCAGGCCCTTTGGGAAGCTCTGAGGATCTAGTTGGGAGTAAGACAGATTCCCCAGTTTTCACTCATTCAACAAATACTTATTGCACATCTACTATGTGCCTGGCATGGTGCTGGGCACTGAAGATACACCAGGAAGTAGATCCAGTCCTTCCTTTTCTCCCTCCCTCTCTCTTGGTCATTCATTCATTCACTCACTCTCTCACAAACCTCTGTTTGCACTGACCTGGTTGCACAGCCTGGTGCATTTTGCTGACCCCTTCATTTTTGACAGAACCTGGCGCATGTTTCAGCACTCAGTGCTGTTTACAGAGCTAAGCAGCAGACTTTGTCACACCTCATGCTGTTTGTAGAGTGCCTCACTGTTGCCAGGCCCTGGCCTGTGACCCCAAAGTTCTGGCTCTAGCAGATAGGCGGACAGACAGATGGACAGACATAGACTACTGAGCTCTACTTTCCAGCCTGCTCTCTCCCACCCTGCTTTTTCCCAGAGGCTTGTTGGCACCGTGGATTGCACTTTCAGCTCCCCACCTGCCCGTCTGCAAAGTGGCCTCATTGGTGTGCCATTTTTACTGGTCCAGTCCCAACTACAAGGGGCATGGCTTGGCCATCTACCCCAGTTCCTCTCCATGTCCCCATGGCTCTCAAGTGTCTCCAATTCCAGCTGTCCCAGCTGCTCCAGGCAAGAGGAGGTGTGTGTGGCAAGTCTGCTGGGTTACCTATTAACTCAGCTGTGAGTTGAAGAGCCGATGGGCAGCAGGCAGACTTGAGTCTCCTTACTGTCCATGGGCTCGGGCCACTGTATCAGGTCCACCCGTGGCTCCAAAATGGTCTCCTGGTCCGTGATAGCAAAGATCCAGGAAATATGGTGCGAGGAAGATGAGAGGAAGATGGAGCGAGAGTTCCTGGCTGAGTTCATGAGCACATATGTCATGATGGTGAGTGGGTGGGCAGCACGAAGTGAGTGGGGCTCTGCCATGGCCTTCCATGACCCCCTCCCCATTCTGACCCCATGGGTCACATTGTCCATTCCTTGCCTCTGAGCTGGGAGCCTGGGGAAGCAGCGAGGAAAGTAAGGAGGGGGGGCTTTCTCATCAAGTCTTTTTGGACAGAAAGGGCTCATAATATGTGGGGGTCAAATGAAATCATGCACTGGGGTATCCGGGGCAAGGCTGGAAATGGGGAGAAGGGAAACCCAGAGTAAAGAGATTAAAGAGGCCCAGGTGCAGTGGCTCATGCCTGTAATTCCAGCACTTTGGGAGGCTTAGGCAAGTGGATCACCTGAGGTCAGGAGTTCGAAACCAACCTGGCCAACATGGTGAAACCCCATCTCTACTAAAAATACAAAAATTAGCTGGGCATGGTTGCAGACACCTGTAATATCAGTTATTCAGGAGGCTGAGGCAGGAGAATCACTTGAGCCCAGGAGGTGGAGGTTGCAGTGAGCTGAGATCACACCATTGCACTCCAGCCTTGGTGACAGGAGCAAAACTCTGTCTCAAAAAAAAAGAAAAAAAAGAAAAAAAAAAGAGAGAGAGATTGAAGAGAAACTTGAAGATCAGGCTCTGATAATGAATCCAGAGGGCAATGGGCGATGTTGAAGGCTGGCAAGCAGGGGAGTGACATGATCAGATTTGGATTTTAAAGGTAATTTTGGGTGCAGTGTGGAGCATAAGCAGGACAGGCAAGGCTGGCAAGAAGGAACCAGTTAAGAGGCTGTTTTTGATCTGGGACAGAGAGGGTGATGACTGATCTGGGGTTGGAGAAGAAAGCACATGTTTGAGAGGGCTGTGGAAGACAGAATCGGGGAGACTCTGCCAACAGAACATGTGGGCAAAGCGCCGATGAGCTGTTCTGGAGCACGGGACCCAGCACAGGGTGAGAGGCAAGATGCCTGTGGGGAAATCCAGGAGATAGTTAAACACAGGCAAGGGGCTGGAGCTCAGGAGAGGCTTGGTCTGGAAGGAAAAAGTTGAAGTTCATCACAACACAGGTGGTGGTTGTCAACACTGTCTAGAAGGAGTGTACAGAAAGAGAAAAGGATGGTTTGAGGACAGAGCCCTGAGGAATGAAGAGGGGCACACAAAGGAGCCTGAGAAGGAATGGTCAGAGAGGTGGGAGGAGAACCAGAGCCGACTGCGTGACAGAGGGGGCAGTGGTTCCACCA
Source organism: Homo sapiens (assembly GCF_000001405.40). Lineage (NCBI taxonomy): Eukaryota > Metazoa > Chordata > Mammalia > Primates > Hominidae > Homo > Homo sapiens. The sequence goes on along the minus strand of NC_000009.12, from coordinate 43,118,327 downwards.
GGAAGAAGCCGTCAGCGGCATGGGCAGCGGCAGATGGGCCACACGAGGTGAGCACTGGCAAGGGGCCTTAGGGTTTGCCAACGTGGAGGTTGCTGGTAACCTTGACAAGGGCTCTTCTTTAGTGTGTGATTGGGACAGAATCCAGACTGCAGGCAGGATGTGAGGTTGCTCCCTCTCCACCTGCTTCAGCCCTGCCACTTACCCCAGTGAGCCTCTGCCCTTAACATGACTGTAGCCATGTTTATTGCATCTTATGCAGGGTCCAGGGTCTAGAAAAAGAAGGGGCAGCCTCTGGGAAGGGAGGCAAAGGCAGCCAGGTGCATGCTAGAGGAAGGTGGGGTGAGAGAGGCTGTTTGTGTGTGTGGTGGGGCCCATGGAGCTCAAGGGAGAGAGGAAATTGGAACACCAGGGTTCTTAGCCTGACCCTGCCACTGAGTGACCAGTTGCCTTGGGCAGGTCTCTCCCTGGCTTAAAGCCTGACTTCTCACTTATATCGTGTAGAATTAGGCCTTCGTGGGCTTTGGAGCTGTGTTTGAATCCTAGCTCTGTTATCTTCTAGCTGTGCGACTATCCACAAGTATCTTAACTGTTCACAAATTTAGCTTTCTTGTTTTTGAGACAGGGTCTCACTCTGTCTCCTAGGATGGAGTGCAGTGGTACGATCTCAGCTCACTGTAGCCCCCACCTCCCATACTCAAGTGACTCTCTTGCCTCAGCCTCTTGAGTAGCTGGGACTACAGGCACGTGCCACTGTGCTCAGCTAATTTTTCTATTTTTAGTAGAGATGGGGTTTCACCATGTTGGCCAGACTGGTCTCAAACTCCCGAATTCAGGTGACCTTCCTGCCTCGGCCTCCCAAAGTGCTGGGATTGCTGGCGTGAGTCACCTCGCCCGGCCCACAACTTTAGCTTCCTTATTTGTTAACAGGAGGACTTGTGTGAAGAAGGCCAAGTCTCAGCACCCAGTGTGGTACCCATGTATTGGTCCCTTGTTATTACGACGGGTGCTCTAGCTGCTGTCTCCTCTCTGTCTCTGGCCCTCCCCTACTCCTCTCTTACCTCCCCACCTGCTTTGGCTCCTGAGCTGTGAGGACAGCAGTTGGATCCTGTCCCTCCTTAATCCAGGGCAAAGTAATTCACTTACCACAAGACATTCCAGCCCCATGAGGGCTGTTAACCCTTGGAACCTCGGAGGCAGGAGGGTGCATCCTCTGAGAGCTGTTAGGGAAATAGGCACCGCCCACATGCTTGATACCTGCCCACATCTGTGTTCCTCCTCCTTTTGTTGAGATTTTCATTGATCACCTAATGCATCCCGGGCTCTGTGATGCTAAGCCCCTTACGTGCAGCATCTTCCCAAATCCTCACAATAGCCCTGTGAAGCAGGTACTATTATTATCCCAGTTTCACAGATGGGAAAACTGAGGCTCCTTGAGACTAAGCCTTTTGCCCAAGGTCACACTTTAAGTCAAGATTAAATCCAGTGCAGTCTAATATCACAGTCTTTTTTGTTTTTTTTTTTTCAGATACAGTCCTGCTTTGTCGCAGTGGTGCAATCTCGGCTCACTGCAACCTCTACCTCCCGGGTTCAAGCGATTCTTGCGTCTCAGCCTCTGGAGTAGCTGGAATTACAGGTGCATGCCACCATGCCCAGCCAATTTTTGTATTTTTAGGAAAGACAAGGTTTCACCATGTTGTCAAGGCTGGTCTTGAACTCCTGACTTCAAGTGATCCTCCCACCTCGGCCTCCCAAAGTGCTGGGATTACAGGCATGAGTCACCGTGCCCAGCCCAATATCACAGTCTTGACCCTTAACCTCTATGCTCTGTACCTTAGCTTAAATATTGCCAGCTTTTAAAGACTGGCTTGTTAATGCTCCCCCAGCCAGGGTAAGGTCCTCACTTTCAGGTAGTTCAAGATGCCTCTCTCGGCCTCAGTTTCCCCACTTATAGAGTGGGAGAAAAATTCTTGCTGTGCAGATTTGTTGTGAGGATTGAAGACAGTAGCACTTGTAAAAGAACTTTGTGAGGCGTAAGCCTATATCGGATATTGTGGTGTTGTTATTTTTAGTTGCCAGGCTGTGCCAAGAAGTGAGGGCTTTTTTTTTCTTTTTTTTTTTGTAAATATATATATAGGAATCTCAGTGAGTCACCAGGGTGAATGTTTTGCCAAAAAAGCTAGTGTGACCTTGGCCCCATTTATTGCAGCCAGGACAAGGGAAGTGGACTGATCTGTGTTGCAGCTTCCAGGTGTGTTGCCCTTGGAGCTGGCCTCCTGGCTGTGGGGGAGAGTTGGATGGGCTAGGCCACATTCACTGATCAGGGAGAGGAGGGGCTGGAGCCATCCGGGCCCTGGAAAACCAGCCATACACGTGAGACACGGGGCAAGGGTTGTAGATCACATACTACGGGGGCCAAGAGAGCGGCCACTCAGGGCGGTGGGGACTTTGGCTGGCTGCAGAGTGCCAATCTGTGCAAGGCTGTATAGCTGCTGCCACTCCAGCTGACTGTTGCCATGGAGGGTGGAATGCAGGCCAGTGTTGCCTGAGCTGCTCATTTTTCAAGAGAGATGGAAACTTCTGTTCTTCAAAACCAAGTTATCTAAACAGAATCTGTGCGCTGGATGAATTAGGTGCATGAGTTGCCAGTTGGCAACCCTGACACAAGGAATCATGTGGGGTTCATTCACTCACCCAGTATTTTATTTTATTTATTTTATTTTTTTGAGAGAGTCTCACCCTGTTGCCCAGGCTGGAGTGCAGTGGTGTGATCTCAGCTCACTGCTCTGCCTCCCGGGTTCAAGTGATTCTCCTGCCTCAGCCTCCCGAGTAGCTGGGATTACAGGCATGTGCCACCACACCTGGCTAATTTTTTGTATCTTTAGTAGAGACGGGGTTTCACCATGTTGGCTAAGCAGGTCTCGAACTCCTGACCTCATGATCGGCCTGCCTCAGTCTCCCAAAGTGCTGGGATTACAGGCGTGAGCCACCATGCCCGGCCTATGCTCATCCAGTATTTTTAGCACATGGTATTGGAATGCAGGAAAGGCCATGGGGGCCCCTCTGTTTTCAGACCCTCCATGCCTCCTCCAGTCCCTCTACCTCTTGACCCTGCCAGCCTGTCAACCTGTCCTGACCTCACTCCCCCCTGCACCCCCATCTGTTCCTGTCCTCTCCTGCTGTATCTTATCCTGGATCTGAAGCCAGCCCAGCTCTGGGCTCCCCTGCTTCTGTCCTGGGGCTTCTGAGGGACCCAGTGGGCTCTGCTCAGCTGCCTCTCCCCCACCATATCTGGGCTATTTCACATTTTCTCAGACTTCCCCAAAGCTGCTCTGTACTCTGACTTTTTTTTTTTTTTTTAAATCAGCAAATGGCTTGATCTGCTGCTTGATAGGTAAAATAATCAACACTTCCTATGTTCAGCTCACCCTCTTGTCCCTCTTACCACCAGACCCATTAACCACCCGTGTATCCACATATCACCCCTTGGCTGGGGCGGGGTCCTCTCCTTCCTGGAGGACACCTCCACTTCTGCACCAATCCAGCTGTCCAGCCTATTCAGGTACTTTACTCTGTCCTTTTTCTCTGTCCTTTATCTTCAGCCCATCCCTCTCTCAGCCTATAAACATACTGAAGTTTCTCCACTGAAAACAACACAAAATGAAACATCCTTCCCTTCACCCTGTCAGCCCCTTCACGGGATCATGTTCTCTCTTCCCCGCTCCTCAGGCGAGTTCTCGAAGAGGAGTCTACACTGGTGCCTTTCAACTCTTTTTTTTTCTTTTTTTTTTCTTTTTTTGAGATGGAGTCTTGCTCTGTCACCCAGGCTGGAGTGCAGTGGTGTGATCTTGGATCACTGCAAGCTCCACCTCCTGGGTTCAAGCAATTCTCCTGTCTCAGCCTCCTGAGTAGCTGGGATTACAGGCAAGCACCACCACGCCTGGCTAATTTTTGTATTATTAGTAGAGACGGGGTTTTGTCATGCTGGTCTTGAACTCCTGACCTAAAGTGATCCATCCACCTCGGCCTCCCAAAGTGCTGGGATTACAGGCATGAGCCACTGCACCCGGCCTGGTCTGCCTTCTTACCCTGTACCCTCTCCTGGGGCCTTCTCCTCTGTCGGCTTTGACTTCGGCCCTTATGTCTACAATTCTTCAGGTTTTCTCCTTTATCAACTCTAGAACAGAGTTCTCCAGGGGAAATACAATACAAGCCATCTGTATAATTTAAATTTTTCTAGTATCCACATTAAAAAGGTAAAAAGCAACAGGTGAAATTAATTTTAATAATTAACCTACATAGCAAAAATCCTATTTCAAGATGCAATCAATGTAAAATTATTAGGATATTCTGGCCAGGCATGGTGGCTCACACCTGTAATCCCAGCACTCTGGGAGGCTGAGGTGAGAGGATTGCTTAAGGCCAGGAGCTCGAGACCAGCCCGGGCAACATAGTGAAACCTCATCTCTACACAAAATAAATTGAAAAACTTAGCTGGGATAGGGCTCAATGGCTCATGCCTGTAATCCCAGCACTTTGGGAGGCCAAGGCAGGCTGATCATCTGAGGTCAGGTGTTTGAGACCAGTCTGGCCAACATCGTGAAACCCTGTCTCTACTAAAAATACAAAAAAATAGTTGGGCATGGTGGCATGCACCTATAATCTCAACTACTCGGGAGGCTAAGGCAGGAGAATCACTTGAACCCGGGAGTTGGAGGTTGCAGTGAGCCGAGATTGCGCCATTGCACTCCGGCTTCGGCGACAGAGCAAGACTGTCTCAAAAAAAAAAAAAAAAAAATTGGCTGCGTGCCGAGGCACATGCCCATAGTCCCAACTACTTGAGAGGCTGAGGTGGGAGGATCACTTGAGCCCAGGAGATGGAGGCTGCAATGAGCCCTGATCATGTCACTGCACTCCAGCCTGGGTGATAGAGCAAAACCCTATCTCAAGCATCAAACAAACAAACAAATAAAACAGAGGCACAAGAAAGCAAGGCATGCATGGAGCAGCGCAGTTGTTTGGTTTGAGGCCATCTGTCACAGGTAACTGCCTGGATTTAATCCTGGCTCACCATGTACAGGCTGTGTGACCTTGGACAAGCCATTCAAGTTCTCTAAGCTTCAGATTACCCATCTGTCAAGTGGGGGAGAATAATAGTGCTTAACTATCATTTGCAACATCTGAGTTTCTGGCTTGGCCAACGGGGATGGGGAACATAGAGTGAGGAGCAGGTGTGCTGTGAGATGGCGAACCTTCATCAGAGCCTGAGACGCCCGCGGAACACCAGGAGAGTTGCAGTGGGGATTTGCAAATAGGCATCTGGCTCCCCCACGGAGATGATGGGAATTTCAGTGCATCAGGCATAGATGAGACTGTCTACGTGGTAAAACCATGCCTGAAAAGACCTTTGGAAAATCAGGAGGCTGCTGGAGCCCTTGGAGAGAGCTTTGGTGTCTGTGACATGTGGAAGTGGAAGCCAGATTGAGGAGGGGGTGCGAGGGAAGGGGTGAAGCAGCTGGCCAGTGTGTTCTCTCCTGCAGCCTGACTGAAACAGGGAGGGGGCAACCAGGAACCCACAGCTGGAGAAGGACACTGGGCAGGGGTGGGACAGTTTGCTGGGAAGGATGAGACTCCAGTGTGTGGGAGCCGATCAATGGGAGGATGGAAGGTATGGGGGAGACGGAGGCCTCTGCAGAGGGAGAGGATAGCACAGGAGCCAGGGCTGAAGGGAACAGTGGCTCTAGACTGAGGGTAATGGGCCTGAAGGTAGGCCCCTTCCCCTGTAAAGGCAGCATTATCTGAGGAGCCGTGAGGGATGGGCAAGAAGCAGCAGCTTGGGAATGCCGCCTGAGGTCAGTGGAAATGAAGCTGAGGGCAAGACAGTTAGGGCCCCACTGTTCCAGCATTGTGGGAATTGCGGTGGAGTGTGTGCATGTGTAGGGAGGGGTTCCTGGCAGAGTCAGGCATGGATGGATTTGGGGGTCCCTTGAAGAAACTTCCTTCAGGTCAGCCTGAAGTGTGAGGGACTCTGAGGGGGTGCAATGCATGCCAGCCATCCCCTCCTTGCAGCCCTGCCTTACCCCAAAACTTCAGGTGGGCCTGGGGCTGAGGTGCTTGGATGTTTGTAGTAAGAGCTTCTAACTCTGCCGCTCCACCCGGCTCTCAGTGGCTCAGGTCTGAGAGGCCTCAGCAGGGGCAAGGAGAGGAGGCAGTGAGGAGGGAAGGCTCTGGAGGAAGAGGGCATGGCAGAGGGTCTTCGAGGCAACGCCAGGGAGGCCCAGGGCATGGGGGTGAGGAGCTAGAACTGAGCTCTGAGCCCTCCTCTGAGGTTGGGGCTTCTGGGCAGGCAGCCCCCTTAGAGGCCCTCCCTTGTAGGTATTCGGCCTTGGTTCCGTGGCCCATATGCTTCTAAATAAAACATTTGGGAGCTACCTTGGTGTCAACTTGGGTTTTGGCTTCGGAGTCACCATGGGAGTGCACGTGGCAGGCCGCATCTCTGGTGAGTGAGCCCAGGCCCTGCCGGACCGGGCAAGACCAGGTGTCCCCAACAGGCTCTTTCCTGCCTGCCTCAGCCAGCTCCTTTGCCAGCACAGCCAGTGCCTCAGCCTGGCCACCGGGCGGGAGGAAGTCTCCTCTGAAGCCCGTGCCTATGACGTGTCTGCCCCAGATTCTTCCTGGCCCCCCCGACCTACCATTTTCACTGGCTGGGTGATCTTAGGCAAGCCATCGCCTTCTGTGTTCCTCAGTTTCCTTAAGAGTGAAACGAAGATGGTGGCCCCTGCCTCACGGGGTGGTTGTGAGGGCTCAAGGAGAGAACTCTGTCACGGAGCATGCTGTCATACACACTAGCCATCGTTGTTCTCATACTGTTTGTCACTGTTGTTTGTTCTGCTCTCACTCCCTGACACACTTGCCTGCTGCCCGCAGGAGCCCACATGAACGCAGCTGTGAGCTTCACTAACTGTGCACTGGGCCGTGTGCCCTGGAGGAAGTTTCCAGTCTATGTGCTGGGGCAGTTCCTGGGCTCCTTCCTGGCGGCTGCCACCATCTACAGACTCTTCTACAGTGAGCGTCCTGCCCGGGTGTCCGCCTCTGGCCTCAACTGCCTGTTATGAAATATGGGCAGATTGGACCTCAGTGTCCTGATTTGTAAAAAATAGCTGGGAGAAAAAAGGCTTGGAGGTCTCCCACCCTCTAACCTATAACCTCATTTCTGGGACCCCGGTGGGGCTTAGTTGGGGGCAGGTTCGCATGATAGTCTGTGTCTCCACAGTGGCCATTCTCCACTTTTCGGGTGGAGAGCTGATGGTGACCGGTCCCGTTGCTACAGCTGGCATTTTTGCCACCTACCTTCCTGATCACATGACATTGTGGCGGGGCTTCCTGAATGAGGTCAGTGGTCCAGGATGAGTACCCCTCCCCCTGCCCTCCACCCCTCAGGACGGAGCCAGCAGGGAGTCCCTCCGGATAGACAGGACAAGAACTCTGGATGGAGACTGTACCAAGATGTGTCTCTGCTGGTGGGCTTGGGTCTGGGGCACTGCCGAGGTCCTGTGGCTTGGGGAGGGGCCCAGGTGAGCTGCCACAGCATCTGCTCCTCAGGAGTGGCTGACCGGGATGCTCCAGCTGTGTCTCTTCGCCATCACGGACCGGGAGAAAAACCCAGCACTGCCAGGAACACACGCGCTGGTGATAGGCATCCTCGTGGTCATCATCAGGGTGTCCCATGGCATGAACACAGGATATGCCATCAATCCATCCCGGGACCTGCCCCCCCCGCATCTTCACCTTCATTGCTGGTTGGGGCAAACAGGTCTTCAGGTACTTCCCCTGCCCAGGCCCATTCCTTTGAGATTTTCTGTGGGGCCCCTGTGTGTTGAGGTGTGGGGGGTGATGTGAGGGGCAGCACAGGAGGGTCCTGCAGAGCCCCCAGGTGGCCTGGGGAGCAGGAGTGAGTCCCAACATTTCCCCAGGCCAGTACAGATACAGATCCTGCACCTGCACTGAGTGTCAACCCTGTCCCTGAATCGGGCTGAGGCTGACCAGGGCCCCGGGTTGGGGGTGTTTCCTGGGTTAGCCTGAGGATGACTCCTCTGCTCAACCAGTCTTGGCCCGAGGTGGATGAGGGTGCTGTCCTGGGCATCAGCCCCCTCAGCTGGCCTCTGCCTCTTGCCTGCAGCAATGGGGAGAACTTGTGGTGGGTGCCAGTGGTGGCACCACTTCTGGGTGCCTCTCTAGGTGGCATCATCTACCTGGTCTTCATTGGCTCCACCATCCCACGGGAGCCACTGAAATTGGAGGACTCTGTGGCATATGAAGACCATGGGATAACTGTATTGCCCAAGATGGGATCTCATGAACCCATGATCTCTCCCCTTACCCTCATCTCTATGAGCCCTGCCAACAGATCTTCAGTCCACCCTGCCCCACCCTTACATGAATCCATGGCCCTAGAGCACTTCTAAGCAGAGATTATTTGTGATCCCATCCCTTCCCCAATAAAGAGAAGCTTGTCCCACAGCAGTACCCCCACTTCCTGGGGGCCTCCTGTGGTTGGGCTTCCCTCCTGGGTTCTTCCAGGAGCTCTAGGGCTATGTCTTAGCCCAAGGTGTAGAGGTGAGGCACCTCAAGTCTTTCATGCCCTGGGAACTGGGGTGCCCCAGGGGGAGAATGGGGAAGAACTGACCTGCGCCCTCAGTAGGAACAAGGTAAGATGAAAGAATGACAGAAACAGAATGAGGGATTTTCAGGCAAGGGGGAAGGAAGGGCGGTTTTGGTGAAAGGACTGTAGCTGACTGATGGGGGGTTGGCTTTGGAAATACTTTGAGGGGATCCTGAGATTGGACTCTAGACTCTCCCCTGGTTGTTCACTTCCCCGAGTTCTGGCCGGTTCTTGGACCAGACAAGGCATGGCCCAAGAAGGTAGATCAGAATTTTTTAGCCTTTTTTTCATTAGTGCCTTCCCTAGTATTCTTCCAGATTTTTTTTTCTTAATCACATGAAATTTTAATACCACAGATATACTATACATCTGTTTATGTTCTGTATATGTTCTGTGCTTTATACGTAAAAAAGAGTAAGTTTTTTTTCACCTCCCCTTTTAAGAATCAGTTTTAATTCCCTTGAGAATGCTTGTTATAGATTGAAGGCTGGTAAGGGGTTGGGCTCCTCTTTCTTCTTCCTGGTGCCAGAGTGCTCCCACATGAAGGAATAGGAAAGGAAGATGCAAAGAGGGAAATCCTTCGAACACATGAAGACACAGGAAGAGGCCTCTTAGGGCTCCAAGGGCTCCAGGGAAGCAGCTGCAGAGGTTGGGTGGGGTGAGGGGCCAGGATCCACTGACCCTGGGGCCAGGCAGGAATCACTCTGTTGCCTGGGGCTCAGAAGGCAGTATCACCCATGGTTCCTGTCATTGCTCATGTATTTTGCCTTTCAACAATTATTGTCCACCTACTGTGTGCAGGCCCTGCCTGGACACTGGGGATGCACAGTGGATGCACTGGGCTCTGCCTTTGAGGGTTGCAGTTTAATGGGTGACAGGTAATTATAAGGAAGAAGGTGAGTGCAGAGTGGGAGGCTTGGAGGCTGTGGGGCTTGGGGTGGGGGAGCTCACATCCAGCCTCTGGGCCAAGGCCAGGAGGCTTCCCAGAGGAGGAGACAGAGCAGGGTATTGTGGTGGGGGGTGTCCTTTTTGGGTCTGGGATCTGCACTTTACAGTTTGAGGGGATGAGCAGAGGAGGCTGGGCTTCATTCTGGAGATGGGGACATGGTGAGGTGAGGTTTAGAAAGCACACCTGAGCCGCAGTGTGTAGGATGCTGGAAATGGTGGAGATGGGCCTGCAAAGAGAGTGCTGGGAAGTGATGACCCAGGAGCAGCAGCCGGGCACCTAACAATGGGTCAGCACCGTGGGCGTGGAGACAAGGGCCGGGATTGATCAATACCCAAGAAGTACAATGTACAGGACTTGGGCTCCATTTGGATGGAGTGGGTGAGGGAGGAGTCAGAAATGGCTTCCGGTTTCCAGCTTGGGCCTGGGGATTGGAGATGTCCCCACTGAGAGTAGGGCACAAGTGAGGAAATGGTTTGGAGAGGAAGATGATAAGTTACATCATGGATGTGCTGAGTCTGAGTTGCCTATGGGACTTGGAATGGGGGGTGGCAAAAGGTGTGTGATCTTGAGCAAGATATTCAACTCTTCTGGGCCTTGGGCTTCTCATTTGTAAAACGGTGATAAGAATATTACTTCCCATTTGTGTTGCTGTGAATATTAAATGCGCTACCACATGTAAAATGTTGAGAATCATTTCTAGCTCAGAGTAAGTGCTCAATAAACACAATTATGCCTTTTATATGGTCTGGAGCTCAGAAGTGGAAGACAGGGTTTTGTGAAGTCATGGCTTTGTGGATGTAGCTAGATTGTGGAGTAATGGCAGGAGGGTCGGGGGCATGGCACAAGGTAGGTTGTCAAGAGACACTGGACACAACCCAAATGTCCATCCACAGGGGAACAGATACATAGACTGCTGCACAATTGCACATAATAGAATCCTCTACAATAGCAAAAATTAAGGCACAACAGACACCTGCAACAACACAGAAAAATTCTGGAGGCATAAAAAGTAATACAGTAGCTGGGCATGGTGGTTCACACCTGTAATCCCAGCACTTTGGGAGGCCAAGGTGGGTGGATCACGAGGTCAAGAGATCAAGACCATCCTGGCCAACATGGTGAAACCCTGTCTCTACTAAAAATACAAAAATTAGCTGGGTGTTATGGCACACACCTGTAGTCCCAGCTGTACTCGGGAGGTTGAGGTGGGAGAACTGCTTAAACCTGGGAGGCAGAGGTTGCAGTGAGCCAAGATCACATCACTGCATTCCAGCCTGGCGACAGAGCGAGACTCGGTCTCAAAAAAAAAAAAAAAAGCCTGGTGTAGTTGGGCACCTGTAATCCCAGCTGCTCAAAAGGCTGAGGCAGGAGGGAATCCCTTGAACCCGGGAGGCGGAGGTTGCAGTGAATGGAGATTGTGCCACTGCACTCCAGCCTGGGTGACAGAGTGAGACTGCGTCTCAAAAAAAAAAAAAAAAAAGTAATACAGTAGACTATATACAGTGTGACACAGTCTTGTAGCTGAAAAATAAGCAAAAACACATTCTTTGATATATATATGTATGTAAGAAAACTATTTTAGAAAAAGAAATAATTCCTACAGGCAGATGGGGAAGAACACAGGAGTAGTACAAGCTATTAATAATTTTCTAGTTTTGGAGTTGGACATTTGTGGGTTTATTATATGATTGTGCTTGATAACATATAAATGTGATACATATTGTTTGTATGAGATATATATATATATATATATATACACACACACACACAGATAGATGATTGCTGACAAGGAGTTTCTAAAGATCATATATATATTTTTAGGTAAAATAGAATAACATTCTGCTTCTGGTCTTCATAATAAAAGAGAAATCAGGACTAAGAAATCAAGTGTTTATTATATAGAGTTTTAATTTTTATTCTTTTATTTATTGATTTATCTTCTTTAGGCATGTGCAGAGATGAACTCACTAATTGTTCAAAATAAACAATTTGAATTCAAAGCAAAGTATATTTTTGGAATATCAATTATCACTTATTGCAGATAAATGATAATATAAAACACCAACTTTGGAATTTATTTGTTTTACTTCTGTGACTCTCAGCCTTCTTTTTAAAATATAGTGTATGTTTTAGGTAAGTCCAGACAACAGCCAGCACTGCATTTGGTTTAAAATCCAGCTTTATAATGACTTCATCTTTCAACCAGCCAAAGGGTAGTTACCTTGTGTCTGCCATCGTGCATATGCTCTCAGCTCCTGACTGAGAAAACATGCCTACAAGCACTTCCCTGCCTGAGATTATATTAAAAATCCATACCTGTGCTAGCAGCATGAGTTCAAGTTGATTATTGTTCTAGATCTGTGACTTCCCATTCATCCTCCTAAAGATATAAATGATTGCTTTTCAATAGACCACATACATAGGAATGATTATGAAGGCAAGGTTTAGTAACAATAATATACATAGTACTCTAATGGGATTGAATTGGAACACCCACATTAAACTCTCTTAAAATATATGGAGCAGAACACATGAGAGAAAGCAAAAGAACAAGTGCACACAGCAGAGCTGCGAGTTGCATACTCTGTGCATGCTAATACCATCGCAACAACATCACTAAGGCTTCTGGGTAACGTTTGCCACATCATATTGTGACGTGCATTTGTTTTTATATTTTACCCTAAAAGGCAAAATAACTCTCCATGTGATGACAGAAGGAGCACACACACAAAAAAACCCTCTCAGAAATATTAAAATGGCTGCAGGTAATTCAAATGGTATACTGTTTTAAAAGGTACTTGTCAAAAACTTTAAGTTGGAAAAGCATCTTGGAAGTCATTAGATTCATATTTACATTACTTGAATTGTGACCCTAGCTTGATATTTCCATGGTGGGAGACATATTTTATTTAGGAGGCAGCAGTCTATTTAGTTTTTGAGAGCTTAATCGATAGATGGTTCAGATTTTCTACTGAACCAAAATCTAAATGCCTACCCATTGGTTTTCGTAGCCAACGTCAATATCCAACTGCTCTTTCATACAACATGGCTTCAAAGGCTATGTAACTAACATCATGCCACTGCACCTATGTCTTTTTAAAGCCAAGTACCTCTAGTGCCCCTCATTATAGCTCATATTTCAAGGTATCTTTCAGCAACAATGAATTGCATTAATCAAACTCACTTTTTTTGCGTGTGCTTCACTTTATAGCTCTTCACAAATAACACATTTTTCACAAATTGAAGGTTTGTGGCAATCTTGCATCAAGCAAGTCTATTCATTCTATTTTTCCAACAACGTGCTCACCTTGTGTCTCTATTTGACATTTTAGTAATTATCACAACATTTCACATTTTTAAATTATTATTATTATTTTAAATATTTTAACTTTTATTTTAGGTTCATGGGAACGTGTGGAGGTTTGTTCTTTAGGTAAATTCGTGACTCAGGGGTTTGATGTACAGATTATTTTGTCACCTGAGTAGTAAGCATAGTACCCAACAATTTTTTTTCCCTGAACCTCACCCATCTCTCATCCTCCTCCCTCAAGCACACCCTAGTGTCTATTGTGCTGCTCTTTCTGTCAATGTGTTCTCATTATTTAGCTCCCAGTGATAAGTGAAAATAGGGAGTATTGGGTTTTCTGATCCTGTGTTACTTTGCTAAGGATAATGGCCTCCAAGCTCCATCCATGTTGCTGCAAAGGACAGATCTCATTCTTTTTTATGGCTGCATAGTAATTCATGGTGTATATGTACCGTACTTTCTTTTTCCAGTCTACCACTGATGGGAATTTAAGTTGATTCTTGGGTATCTATTACCTAAATTACATATAAAAGCAGAAAAGAAAAATGACAAGTAGAACATGAAAGTTAAACAGTATCTTTTCAGGTTCAATGACATAAATATTCTTATTATCTAAAGGTATAAAGTCTAATGTTTTATTTCCTATAGTGCTTTTATAGCAAAACACTTTTCAGAATTAGATAAACCAGATTGAGGCCCCAGTCTTACTACCTATTAGCTAGGTAAACTTGAGCTTTGGGATTTTCAGATTCAGATCTTGCAGGCAAATAAGATTTATTTGATATTACTTGAGGATGACAATGTCTATCTTGCAGATTATTATGGTAATGAGTTTATTTATGTGGATTGTTTAAGGATATTTTAAAACTATGTACAGACCTAAAAAAATCCTCATAATCTTTGCAGAACTGGGGAGGCATACAGGCATAATACAACTGTAAGAGTTACTGTTTCTCATGCTTTTGTTTTCTAACTGCTCTGGCCACTGTTTTAGAAGGAAGGGTGAATATATGTAAATATTCCTGAAAAAATAAAGTTTTAGAATATTAAATTATTACATATTTCATTCAGAATTTTTTGAAAGGTAAAACCAATGATTGAACGTAGTTCATGGGATGATCTGGTCCATATTCATCTACCATGATTTAACAAATTTTTTTCTCATCTATTGATGAGGAAAAAATTAAGGGGAAATGTAGAAATGTAAGGTAAATGATCTGCAAAGAAATACACACAGGAGGTATGTGGGAATGTAACAGTGTAGGTCCGCAGGCAAACTAGGTGAAGGAGGAAGGTGAGGAAGAAAGGCATTTAAGACTTACTCTTTCTGTTTTCTTCTCAATTTTAAAGCCTGATGGAATATAATTTTCTCTACAGTAAATGTTGAATGAAAATCAGTTTTGTATGTGTTAATAATGACTTCACCAAGAGCATTTGAAGCTCTGTCTATCATATTTTGATGCTCAAAATTATACATTGTTTTTATAGCTTAATAGTCTCATATAGTCAATTATTGCCTCCCCTCCAGACTGACACTTTGAACATTATTATTAACACTGCTGTCCTTAAACCATCATCGGCCTGCAGTGCAGACAATTTATTGATAGCTAATAAAACAGTGTTCAGATGCTGCCTGAGGACAGGATTCAGAATTGTCATACCAATGCATAACCACATTTGATTTTTTGGAACAAGTTCCATTACTTAAAAATTATGGTTTCATTTTCTTATTTTTATATCTAGATTTTAACATTAAATGCACACCTATATAAGCATTAAATATGTTATTCAGTTATGTGTGAGTGTAACAAATTTCTTGTAATGTGTATGTACAGTTTAATATAAGACAGATTATTGGTTAGGAAATAGTTAACAATTAATAATAGACATTGGTGAACCTCAATTACTAAACCAGAAAATAAGTTTATTTATTTATTGTATTATTTTTTTATTATACTTTAAGTTTTAGAGTACATGTGCACAATGTGCAGTTTATTTAAATGTATTGACTGTTTTTTAGTCACTACACAAATCATCTAAAAGAAAATACCACAGATGAAACCTGCAGATCCACTAACTAGTTATCAGTTTATCAAGACTGATCGTGTCCACTCCCTTCAGAAATCACATGGATTTGTGCATTATGCAGATCTTTTTTGGTCTTCCCCATCTTTTCCCATCCTGAACTAGAAGTAGAAGCCTATTGCATTTTTATCTGGTGCTTTCTTTTGCATTTAGTAGAAATACATACACATACTACCCTAGGCTACTCCGCAGTACATTAAAATTTCCTTTTGCTTTCCAGTAATTTCAAATATCTCAACTAAATATCTCAGTTGAAAAATCAAAGTTTTAATTCTTATCCATCTTTCAACATAAAAACTTTTAATATTGATTATAATATGTTGCCTGCACTTTTGTTTTTTTTGTTTTGTTTTGAGACGGAGTTTCACTGTGTTACCCAGGCTGGAATGCAGTGGCTAGATCTCAGCTCATTGAAATGTCCCGAGTTTAAGCAATTCTCCTGCCTTAGCCTCCTCAGTAGCTGGGATTACAGGCAAGCACCACCATGCCCTGCTAATTTTTGTATTTTTAGTAGAGATGGGGTTTCACCATGTTGGCCAGGCTGGTCTGACCTCAGGTGATCCTCCCGCCTCGGGCTTCCAAAGTGCTGGGGTTACAGGCGTGAGCCACCCTGTCTGGCCCAGCACTCTTAATAGATATATAAATCTTACTCTATTAATTGAACTAAGAACATCTTTATAATTTTCCAAATATCATTTATAATTATTAAATATTAAAACACATTTATTCTGCTTACCAAACTTTGCATCTCCTCAGAATGCCTACATATTTTGCCATATGAAGGTTCCAGTGGAAGTTTCAGACAATACATTTTGATGGCAAATGGTGAATTTTCCTATTGAGAAATATGTTGATTACAAGAAATAAGAGAGACAGTAGATTTTCAAAACCTTTTCAAACTATTTCAGATGAATATTCAGAATTATTTTACTTATAGATTGCACTCTTCTAAGGCACTTACATATTCTGACAACTATGTGTTTTTGAAGCAAATTTTGACTGAATTAATAAATGACAGCACAGATCAAAATTTAAAAACTTACAAAATTCTCAATAGATTTCACAATTGTGCAAAGTCCCATGCTTTCTTTTAATATTGTATACTTATTAAACTTTTAATGGGTACTTTTTAACAGTTGATTTATTATCAAATAAACTTTCTATAATTTGACAGAACAACATAAATTCTTGTTTTTCTCCTTTCTACCTAGAACATACATATGATAGTTGAAAAAGACACATATTCTGATCATGAAGAAATAAACACAAGTTAAATATGACTAAGCAGAAAGATGGAAGGACCAGGAACGGTGATGCTAACTTGGAACCACGATGCAGGCTCTAAACTCCTCTACAATCATCCTCCCTTGTGAGAAAAATACATAATTCACTTTTAAAATAAATAGAAACCTGAACACACTTCTTAGCTGGTTTAAGTATTTTAAAAACATTGATGAATTAAACACAGAAATATGGGGAAATCTCATTACTTACCTTAAATTTTGAAATTTTCATTACAGATCATGAGTTACTTAATGCTTTTTCATTCCTGAGTTTACATTGTAAATTAAAGTTATGTCACCTTTAAAAAATAACCAATTAAAAATAATGATCTAAATTTATACTTTAATTTTAACTAATAGTATTATCTCTTATTATTTACCTCTGATAAAGTCCAAATGTTTGTAGGCCTATAGCTCTGGTTATATACAATGAAATATCTTTCTCATGAGTGTAGAATATCTAGATTATATTTAATGCATTTACTTTTTGAGGAAAAGGAAACCCTTAATAAAATAGCTTCAAATATTTGGTTTTAAAAAATGAGAAAACAAATACATTACAGGACTTTTGGATTTATCACCAACATGTGAAGGGCTCAGAAGTTGTCATTCCTGGCCTTACAATAATAATAATAAAAGCTATACAAATTGAAAATCAATGACATTTCCACAGTGGGAGACATATTTTATTTAGGAGGCAGCAGTCTATTTAGTTTTTGAGAGCTTAATCGATAGATAGTTCAGGTTTTCTAGTGAACCAAAATCTAAATGCCTACCCATTGGTTTTGGTAGCCAATGTCAATATCCAACTGCTCTTTCACACAACATGGCTTCAAAGGCTATGTAACTAACATCATGTCACTGCACCTATGTCTTTTTAAAGCCAAGTACCTCTAGTGCCCCTCATTATAGCTCATATTTCAAGGTTTTCTGTTCCTGCATTAGTTTGCTGAGGATAATGGCTTTCAGCTCCATCCATGTCCCTGCAAAGGACTTGATCTCATTTCCTTTTATGGCTGCATAGTATTCCATATTGTATATGTACCACATTTTATTTACCCAGTCTATCATTGATGGGCATTTGGGTTGATTTCATGTATTAGCTATTGTGAATAGTGCTGCAATGAACACACACATGCATGTATCTTTATAATAAAATGATTTATATTCCTTTGGGTACATACCTAGTAATGGGATTGCTGGGTCAAATGGTATTTCTGGTTCTAGGACTTCGAGGAATTGCCACAGTCTTCCACAATGGTTGAACTAATTTACATTCCTACCAACAGTGTAAAAGCATTCCTATTTCTCTGCAGCCTCAACAGTATCAGTTGTTTCTTGACTTTTTAATAATCACCATTCTGACTAGTGTGAGATGGTATCTCATTGTGGTTTTGATTTGCATTTCTCTAATGATTAGTGATGTTGAACTTTTTTTTTGCATGTTTGTTGGCCACATAAATGTCTTCTTTTGAGAAGTGCCTGTTCATGTCCTTTGCCCACTTTTTAATAGGATTGTCTGTTTTTTTCTTGTAAATTTGTTTAAGTTCCCAGTAAATTCTGGATATTAGACCTTTGTCAGATGGATAAATAGCAAAATTTTCTCCCATTCTGTAGGTTGTCTGTTCACTGTGATGATAGTTTCTTTTGCTGAGCAGAAGCTCTTTAGTTTAATTAGACCCCATTTGTTAATTTCTGCTTTTGTTGCTATTGTTTTTGGCATTTTTGTCATGAAATCTTTGCCTATGCCTGTGTCCTGAATGGTATTGCCTAGATTTTCTTCCAGGGTTTTTATAGTTTTGGATTTTACACTTAAGTCTTTAACCTATCTTGAGCTAATTTTTGTATAAGGTGTAAGGAAGGGGGTCCAGTTTCAGTTTTCTGCATATGGCTAAAATTCTTCCATAGTTCTTCCAGCACCATTAATTAAATAGAAAATCCTTTCCCCATTACTTGTGTTTGTCAGGTTTGTTGAAGATCAGATGGTTGTAGCTGTGTGGTCTTATTTCTGAGTTCTCAATTCTGTTCTATTGGTCTATGAGTCTGTTTTTGCACCACCACTATGCTGTTTTGTTTACATGCTGGTTTGGTAGCCTTGTAGTGTAGTTTGAAGTAAGGTAGCATGATCCCCCCAGCTTTGCTATTTTTGCTTAATATTATCTTGGCTCTACAGACTCTTTTTTGTCCATATGAATTTTAAAACAGATTATTCTAATTCTGTGAAAAATGTCAATGTTAGTATAAGGGGAATAGCATTGAATCTATAAATTACTTTGGGTAGTATGGCCATTTTAATCATATTGGTTCTTTCTATCACTTCCCTTCTTAGCTCTATTCCTAGGTATTTTATTCTCTGTAACAATTGTGGAATTGGAGTTCTTTCATGATTTGGCTCTCTGCTTGTCTGTTGTTAGTGTGTAGGAATCCTTGTGATTTTCGCACATTGATTTTTTATCCTGAGATTTTGCTGACAATGGGGTTGAGACAATGGGGTTTTCTAGATAAAGGATCATGTCATCTGCAGAGACAATTTGGCTTCCTCTCTTCCTATTTGAATACCATTTGTTTCTTTCTCTTGCTTAATTGTTCTGGCCAGAACTTCCAATAATATGTTGAATAGGAGTGGTAAGAAAGAGCATCCTTGTCATGTGCCTCTTTTCAATGAAAATGCTCACAGCTTTTTCCCATTCAGTATGATATGGGTTGTTAGTTTGTCATAAATGGCTCTTAATATTTTGAGGTATGGTCCCTCAATACCTAGTTTATTGAGAGTTTTTAAAATGAAGGGATGTTGAATTTTAACATGAAGTGTTGTTGAAAGGCCTTTTCTGCATCTATTGAGATAATTATGAGGTTTTTATCTTTAGTTCTGTTTATGTAATGGATTACATTTATTGATTTGCATATGTTGAAACAGCCTTGTATCCCGGGGATGAAGCCAACTTGATTGTGGTGGATAAGCTTTTGGATGTGCTGCTGGATTTGGCTTGCCAGTATTTTATTGAGGATTTTTGCATCGATGTTCATCAGGGATATTGGCCTGAAGTTTTCTTGTTTTGTTGTATCTCTCCCAGGCTTTGGTATCAGGATGATGCTGGCCTCATAACATGAATTAGGGAGGAGTCTCTCCTCTTCAATCATTTGGAATAGTTTCAGAAGAAATAACACTGGCTCCTCTTTGTACATCTGGTAGAATTCCACCATAATTCCATCTGGTCCTGGTCTTTCATTGGTTGGTAGGCTATATATAACTGCCTTAATTTCAGAACTTGTTATTGGTCTATTCAGGGATTCAACTTCTTCCTGGTTCAATCTTGGGAGTTTATGTGTCCAGGAATTTATCCATTTCTTCTAGATTTTCTAATTTATTTGCATAGAGGTGTTTATAGTATTATCTGATGGTTGTTTGTATTTCTGTAAACTCAGTGTTCATATCCCCTTTATCATTTTTTATTGTGTCTATTTGATCTTCTCTCTTTTCTTATTAGTGTAGCTAAAAGTCTATTTTGTTAATTTTTTTCAAAAAAACAGTTCCTGGATTTGTTGATTTTTTGAAGGGTTTTTCCTGTCTCAATCTCCTTTAGTTTTGCTCTGATCTTACTTATTCCTTGCCTTCTGCTAGCTTTGGGGTTTGTTTGTTCTTGGTTCTTTAAACTGTGATGTTAGGATGTTGACTTGAGATATTTCTGATGTGGATATTTAGTGCTATACATTTCCCTCAATGCTATTTTAGCTGTATCCCAGAGATTCTGGGACATTGTCTCTTTGTTCTCATTAGTTTCAAATAACTTCTTGACTTCTGCCTTAATTTCATTTTTTACCCAGTAGTCATTCAGAAGCAGGATGTTACATTTCTATGTAGTTGTGTGGTTTTGAGTGAGTTTCTTAATTTTGAGTTCTAATTTGATTGTACTGTGGTCTGAGAGACTATCAAGATTTTAGTTATTTTGCATTTGCAGAGGAGTGTTTTACTTCCAATTATGTGATCGATTTTAGAGTAAGTGCCATGTAGCTCCAAGATGAATGTATATTCTGTTGTTTTTGAATGGAGAGTTCTGTAGATATTTATCAGGTCCACTTGATCTATAGCTGTTTGAGTCCTGAATATCCTTGTTAACTTTCTGTCTTGATAATTTGTCTAATATTGACAGTGGGGTGTTAAAGCCTCCCACTATTATTATGTGAGAGTCTAAATGTCTTTGTAGGTCTCTAGGAACTTGTTTTATGAATCTGGGTCCTCTAGAATTGGGTGCATGTGTATTTAGGATAGTTACCTCTTCTTGATGAACTGAATACTTAACCATTATGTAATTCCCTTCTTTGTCTTTTTTTATCTTTGTTGATTTAAAGCCTGTTTTCTCAAACACTAGAATTGCAACCCCTCCTTTTCCTGCTTTCCGTTTGCTTGGTAAATTTTCCTCCCTCTGTATTTTGAGCCTATGTGTGTCTTTACATATGAGATGGTTCACCTGAATACAGCACACTGGTGGGTCTTGACTATCCAGTTTGCCAGTCTATGTCTTTTATTTGGGACATTCAGTCCATTTACATTTAAGGTTAATATTCTTATGTGTGAATTTGGTCCTGTGATTATGACGCTATCTGGTTATTTTGCAGACTTGTTAATGTTGTTGCTTCATAATATTATTGGTCTGTGTACTTTATTGTGTTTTTGTAGTGGCCAGTAATGGTTTTTCCCTTCCATATTCAGTGATTCCTTTACGAGCTCTTGCAAGGCAGGCTTGGTTGTGATGAATTCCCTCAGTATTTGCTTGTCTGAGAAGGATTTTATTTCTTCTTTGCTCATGAAGCTTAGTTTGGCCAGATATGAAATTCTGAGCTGGAAATTCTTTTCTTTAAGACTGTTGACATGAAGTCCTTGCCCATGCCTATGTCCTGAATGGTAATGCCTAGGTTTTCTTCTAGGGTTTTTATGGTTTTAGGTATAACGTTTAACTCTTTAATCCATCTTGAATTGATTTTTGTATAAGGTGTAAGGAAGTGATCCAGTTTCAGCTTTCTACATATGGCTAGCCAGTTTTCCCAGCACCATTTATTAAATAGGGAATCCTTTCCCCATTGCTTGTTTTTCTCAGGTTTGTCAAAGATCAGATAGTTGTAGATATGCGGCGTTATTTCTGAGGGCTCTGTTCTGTTCCATTGATCTATATCTCTGTTTTGGTACCAGTACCATGCTGTTTTGGTTACTGTAGCCTTGTAGTATAGTTTGAAGTCAGGTAGTGTGATGCCTCCAGCTTTGTTCTTTTGGCTTAGGATTGACTTGGTGATGTGGGCTCTTTTTTGGTTCCATATGAACTTTAAAGTAGTTTTTTCCAATTCTGTGAAGAAAGTCATTGGTAGCTTGATGGGGATGGCATTGAATCTGTAAATTACCTTGGGCAGTATGGCCATTTTCACGATATTGATTCTTCCTACCCATGAGCATGGAATGTTCTTCCATTTGTTTGTATCCTCTTTTATTTCCTTGAGCAGTGGTTTGTAGTTCTCCTTGAAGAGGTCCTTCACATCCCTTGTAAGTTGGATTCCTAGGTATTTTATTCTCTTTGAAGCAATTGTGAATGGGAGTTCACTCATGATTTGGCTCTCTGTTTGTGTGTTGTTGGTGTATAACAATGCTTGTGATTTTTGTACATTGATTTTATATTCTGAGACTTTGCTGAAGTTGCTTATCAGCTTAAGGAGATTTTGGGCTGAGACAATGGGGTTTTCTAGATATACAATCATGTCGTCTGCAAACAGAGACAATTTGACTTCCTCTTTTCCTAATTGAATACCCTTTATTTCCTTCTCCTGCCTAATTGCCCTGGCCAGAACTTCCAAAACTGTGTTGAATAGGAGTGGTGAGAGAGGGCATCCCTGTCTTGTGCCAGTTTTCAAAGGGAATGCTTCCAGTTTTTGCCCATTCAGTATGATATTGGCTGTGGGTTTGTCATAGATAGCTCTTATTATTTTGAAATATGTCCCATCAATACCTAATGTATTGAGAGTTTTTAGCATGAAGGGTTGTTGAATTCTGTCAAAGGCTTTTTCTGCATCTATTGAGATAATCATGTGGTTTTTGTCTTTGGCTCTGTTTATATGCTGGAATACATTTATTGATTTGCGTATATTGAACCAGCCTTGCATCCCAGTGATGAAGCCCACTTGATCATGGTGGATAAGCTTTTTGATGTGCTCCTGGATTCGTTTTGCCAGTATTTTATTGAGGATTTTTGCATCAATGTTCATCAAGGATATTGGTCTAAAATTCTCTTTTTTTGTTGTGTCTCTGCCCGGCTTTGGTATCAGAATGATGCTGGCCTCATAAAATGAGTTAAAGCAATGGCAACAAAAGACAAAATTGACAAATGGGATCTAATTAAACTAAAGAGCTTCTGCACAGCAAAAGAAACTACCATCAGAGTGAACAGGCAACCTACAAAATGGGAGAAAATTTTTGCAACCTACTCATCTGACAAAGGGCTAATATCCAGAATCTACAATGAACTCAAACAAATTGACAAGAAAAAAACAAACAACCCCATCAAAAAGTGGGCGGAGGACATGAACAGACACTTCTCAAAAGAAGACATTTATGCAGCCAAAAAACACATGAAAAAATGCTCATCATCACTGGCCATCAGAGAAATGCAAATCAAAACCACAATGAGATACCATCTCACACCAGTTAGAATGGCAATCATTAAAAAGTCAGGAAACAACAGGTGCTGGAGAGGATGTGGAGAAATAGGAACACTTTTACACTGTTGGTGGGACTGTAAACTAGTTCAACCATTGTGGAAGTCAGTGTGGCGATTCCTCAGGGATCTAGAACTGGAAATACCATTTGACCCAGCCATTCCATTACTGGGTATATACCCAAAGGACTATAAATCATGCTGCTATAAAGACACATGCACACGTATGTTTATTGTGGCATTATTCACAATAGCAAAGACTTGGAACCAACCCAAATGTCCAAAAATGATAGACTGGATTCAGAAAATGTGGCACATATACACCATGGAATACTATGCAGCCATAAAAAATGATGAGTTCATGTCCTTTGTAGGGACATGGATGAAATTGGAAATCATCATTCTCAGTAAACTATCGCAAGAACAAAAAACCAAACACCGCATATTCTCACTCATAGGTGGGAATTGAACAATGAGAACACATGGACACAGGAAGGGGAATATCACACTTTGGGGACTGTTGTGGGGTGGGGGGAGGGCGGGAGGGATAGCAATGGGAGATATACCTAATGCTAGATGACGAGTTAGTGGGTGCAGCGCACCAGCGTGGCACATGTATACATATGTAACTAACCTGCACAATGTACACATGTACCCTAAAACTTAAAGTATAAAAAAAAAAGACTGTTGAATATTAGCCCCCAATTTCTTCTGGCTTATGGGTTTTCTGCTGAGGAGTCCACTGTTATTCTGATGGACTTCCTTTTCTAGGTGACATGGCTCTTAACAATTTTCCTTCATTTTGACCTTGGAGATACTGACGATTATGTGTTTTGGGTTGATCTTCTCATGGATCTTAGTGAAGTCCTCTGAATTTCCTGAATTTGAATGTTGGCCTGTCTTGCTGGGTTGGGGAAATTCTCCTGAATGATTTCCTGAAGTATGTTTTCCAACTTGGTTTCATTCTCCTCATTTCTTTCCGGTACACCAATCAGTTGTAGGTTTGGTCTTTTTACATAATTCCATAGTTCTCTGATTATTTTTCATTCCTTTTCAGTTTTTTCTCTAATCTTATCTGCCTGTCTTATTTCAGCAAGATAGCCTTTGAGCTCTGAGATTCTTTCCTCTGCTTGGTCTATTCAGTTATTTATGCTTGTGGTTGCATTGTGAAGTTCTGGTGTTGTGTTTTTCAGGTCCATCAGGTCATTTATGTTCCTCTATAAACTGGTTATTCTGGTTTACAGTTCCTATAATGTTTTCATGGTTATTAGCTTCTTTGAATTGTTTTAGAATATACTTTAACTCAGCAAAATTTGTTATTACCCACCTTCTGAAGAATACTTCTGTCAGTTCATCCACCTCAAGCCTCCACCCAGTTCTGTGCCCTTGCTGGAGAGGTGTTGCAATCATTTGGAGGAGAAGAGGCATTCTGGCTTTTTGAGTTTTCAGCATTTTTGCATTGATTCTTTCTCATTTTCATGAGCTTATCTATCTTCGATCTTTGAGGCTGCTGATCTTTGGAAGGGGTTTTTGTGGGGCCATTTTTGTGGATGTTTTTGTTGTTGTTGTTTTCTGTTTGTTTGTTTTTCTTTCAACAGTCAGACCCCTCTTCCTTAGGGCTGCCGCAGTTTGCTGGGGGTCCACTCCAGACCCTATTCACTTGGTCCCTCCCCTACCTGGAGGTGTCACCAGTGGAAGCTGCAGAACAGCAAGGATGGCTGCCAGCTCCTTCTTCTTTGAGCTCCATCCCAGAGGGGCACTGATGTGATGCCAGCAGGAACACTCCTGTATAAGGTGCCTGGAGACCCCTGTTGGTGGTCTCAATCAGTTAGGGAGTATGTACAGGATCGGGGACCACTTAACAAAGCACTCTGGCTGCCCCTTGGCAGAGAGGGTGCACTGCACTGGAGGGAATCTCCCTTGTCCAGAATGTCCAGACCCTTCAGAGCCAGCAGGCAGGAAAGACTAAGTCTGCTGAACCGCAGAGACTGTGGCTGTCCCTCCCCACAGGAGTTCTGCCCAGGAAGATCAGAGTTCTGTCCATAAACCTCTGGCTGGAGTTGGTGAAATTCCCACAAGGGGGCCCCACCCAATGAGTAGGGATGGATCCAGGTTCCGCCTAAAAAAGCAGTCTGGCCATGATCTGCCACAGCTGCTGTGCTCCCGGTCTAAACCTCCCTGTCTCCCCAGCACCACCAGGGGAAAACAGCCAACTGATGCCACAGTGATAGCAACCACCCCTTCCCCTGGGAACTCAGTCATCTTAGACAGTCTCCAGTCTGCTGTCACTGGCCACAGCCTGAGTGGCGATGAGAGTCTGCACAGCTCTGTGCTTGGCACCCAAGGCCCTGGTGGGTGGGCTCACAAGGGGATCTCTTGATCTGTGAGTTGCACAGATCCATAGAAAAAGCATGGTTCCTCAGGAAAGGGAGCACAATCACTCACTGCCTCCCTTGACTGGGGGTGGGAGTGCCCCTTGCCCCATGCAACTCCCAAGTGAGGCATTGCTCCACCCTGCTTTTCCTTGCTCCCTGTGGGTCAGGCCAATCACCTTGTCAGTCCCAGTGAGAGAATCTGGATACCTCAGATGAAGGTGCAGAATTCACTCGCCATTTTTGTTCTTCTAGATGGGAGTCACAGACCACAGCTGCTTCTAATTGGCCATCTTGGCACCTCCTCATTTAACCTTCTTTTCTCATCTAAAGGGGATAAAGGATGAAACTGTCCCAAAGAAAAGTTTATAAACCAATTAAGGGAGAAAATAAAATTCAACTAGGCTTGCAGAATAATCAGTGGCAATCATGAAATCCACATCCCAATTTGGCCTACTTCCTTGTAGCTAGTTACTTCTTACTCCCACAAGATAGTGTAGCCCTTGTCACAAGACTGTGTTCCTTTTCTTTTCTATAGATAAGATCTAAGGCACGTGAGATGATATGCTTTCTGTTTGAGTTTCTCCTTTATGTTACACATACTGATAAAATTGTTGATGCCAGTTGATCTGAAGGTCCCAGCAAGGAGCCGACTCACAGAAGAATGCAGTTTTCACATCGTGATGATTTAATCTTCCTTGACCTGACCAATTGACAACCCCAATTCTCCAGAACCTCACCCGCCACAATCCCCTTAAAAACCCTGGCCCAGAACCCCTCAAGCAGACAGATTTGAAGCTTGAGGATTCCTTCATCTCTTTGCCCAATGGCATTGTGATTATTAAACTCTTTTTCTGCTGCAAATTATGATGTCTCAGTGTATTGGTCTATTGCTGCTCAGTGGGCATATGAATCTGGCAGTCCTGTAATAGGGACAAAAGATAAACTACTGGCAAAACACTCGTAAAAGTCATAACCTAAGACATAGGCCCACTGAAAGGCGGATATTCAATCAGAGCACTATAGAACATATTTCTCTGCTCATACCATAAAATTTAAACCAACATGACTCCAATATAAGGAGACAGACAAAAGAGCTATAAGAAACAGACACTGTTTGAAGATGAGTACTTAAGGAAACCTAAAGTTAAGGGAGGAGACAAAAACAAGGACACTAGAGGAATTTGAAACCTTCAGAAACTTGAGCTATAACAAATATTAAATGCAGTTCAACTCCAAGACAGATTAACATATATCCTCAATTAACTTTATCTCAGTATCAATTTATCTCAGCATCAATTTATCTCAATATCTATTATGGATACCACATGTCTGGCTCTCAACAATGGCAACAAAATTACAAAACATGGTAAAAGACAAGAAAAAAATTAACAATCTGAAGAGACAGGATGATCATCAGAACAAGACTCAGTGATGATGATGCATATTTTGGAAATAGCAATCAAGAAATTTTACATAACTATGATTAAGATGTTAAGGACACTAGTGGAAAATGTAGAAAATATTCAATAAAAGATGATTAGTATAAGCAGAGAGATGAAAATTCTAACAAAGAACCAAAAGAAAAGGCTAGAAATTAAAATAACGCCAATAGATTTTTAAAAAATGCTTTCAATGGTTTCATTAGTAGACCAGACATGTTTGGGGAAAGAATTGGTGAAACTAAAGATAGGTCAAAAATACATTTTAAAACAAAGTGCCAAGAAAAAATAAACGGAAAAAAAAAAGTGAAGGACATCAAAGACCCGCTGGGCAGTCTCTAAAGTTGAACAAAATGGGAAACTGGAATAGCAGAAAGACGAGAAAGAGAGAAATGAGGAGAATCTATCTAAATGAGTAATGATCAAGAAATTTTAAAGCATAAGGACATGAAACAAACAACCGGTCCAGGAAGCTCAGAGAATACAATTCATGACAAACAACAAAAATACAGCACCAGACATAGCATTTCCTATATGTAGAAGAAAATAAAATAAATCAATAAATAGACAAAGAGAAAATCTTGACAGAATCTGGAATGAAAACTACATTCCTTGTAGAGAAAAAAGAGCAAGGATTTCAGCCCACTTCCAGTAAGAAACCAGGCAAGAAAGGAGAGAGTTGCGGGAAATGTTTAAAGTGTTAAAGGAATAAATGCACCAACTTAGAATTCTACATCTAGCAAAATTATACTTCAAAAGCAGAGGGGAAATCAGAATTTACCAGACGATAAAACACTAACGGAATATATTGCCAGAAAACTTTCCTGCAAATGTGTTAAAAGAGGTTATTCATGGAGGAGAAGAATGATATGATCAGAAAACTGTATTTACAATAAGAAAGCAAGTATGTTGAAAAAGGAAAAAAAATGTTTTATTTTTCTTATTCTAAATCTTTTTAAACTACATGTTTGTTTAAAGTAATATTAGTAAATGTTTTGGGCAATTACAGCATGTGGGTAAGTGAAATGCCTGATGGTTATGTTACAAAAGATATGAAGGATGAACTGGGACTATTCTATTAATGTGTCCAGAATTGGTGGGTTCTTGGTCTCACTGACTTCAAGAATGAAGCTGCAGACCCTAGTGGTGAGTGTTACCGTTCTTAAAGATGGTGTGTCCGGAGTTTGTTCTTTCTGATGTTTGGACGTGTTCGGAGTTTCTTCCTTCTGGTGGGTTTGTGGTCTCGCTGGCTTCAGGAGTGAAGCCGCAGACCTTCGCGGTGAGTGTTACAGCTCTTAAGGCAGCACGTCTGGAGTTATTCATTCCTCTCGGTGGGTTCCTGGTCTCACTGGCCTCAGGAGTGAAGCTGCTGACCTTCCTGGTGGTTGTCACAGCTCATAAAGGCAGTGTGGACCCAAAGAGTGTGCAGCAAGATTTACTGCAAACAGCAAAAACACAAACCCTCCACACCACGGAAACGGACCCAAGCCGGTTATCACTGTCCCTTGTGGCAGCCTACTTTTATTCCTTCACCTGACCCCACCCACATCCTGCTGATTGGTCCATTTTGCAGAGAGGTGATTGGCCTGTTTTGACAGGGTGCTGATTGGTGCATTTACAAACCTTGAGCTAGACACAGAGTGCTGATTGGCGCATGTACAATCCTCCAGCTAGACACAAAAGTTCTCCAAGACCCCACCTCACTGGGGAGCCCAGCTGGCTTGCCTAGCGGATCCCGCGCTGGGGCCGCTGGGGGAGCTGCCCGCCAGTCCCACGCCAGGCGCCTGCACTAGTCAGCCCTTGGGTGGTTGATGGGACCAGGCGCCACGAAGCAGGGGGCAGTGCCCTTGGGGAGACTCCCGCCAGCCGCTGGGGAGTCCACGGGGGAAGGGGCAGGCGGGGAAAGGCTCGAGCATGGCGGGCTGCAGGTCCCGAGCCCTGCCCCACAGCGAGGCGGCTGAGGCCTGGCAAGAATTCGAGCCTAGAGCGGGCGGGCCGGCAGTGATGCGGAACTCAGCGCATACTCCGAGGCGGCTGGCCCTGGGTGCTAAGCCCCTCACTGCCCAGGGCCTGTGGCGCCAGCCTGACCACTCTGAGTGCAGGGCCGCCCCCATGTGTGCCGCGCAGAGCCTCAGTTCCCGCCTGTGCCTCTCCCTCCACACCTCCCCACAAGCAGAGGGAGCATGCTCCGGCCTTGGCCAGCCCACAGACGGGCTCCCACAGTGCAGCGGTGGGGCGAAGGGCTCTTCAAGCGCGGCCAGAGTGGACGTCCAGGCCGAGGAGACACGGAGAGCGAACAAGGGCTGCCATCACGCTGTAACTTCTTATTAAGGTACCTGCACTATATGTGAACTGGTGGAGTGCTATTTGAAGGTGATCTTAGATTAGTAACAAATGTGTGTTGGATACTCTGGGGAACCACTAGAATAGTTGAAAAAGAAAGTATGCTTTACAGGTAATGAGTGACATTAGGTTTGATAATGGATTTTTAGATATAATATTAATACGAAAAGTTCTAGCTACAAAAGAAAAAATGTTAGAGTTTGTTAAATTTAAAATGGAATTTTCTGCTCTGTGAAAGACTCCAGAGAGTTAAAAGACAAGCCACAAACTAGAAGAAAATATCTGTAAACCATATATCTAATAAAGTACTGGTATCTAAACATACAAATAACTCTGAAAACTGAATAATAAGAAAGCAAACAAGCCAATTACAAATGTGCATAGAATCTGAAAAGACACCTCACCCCTGCCCCCGAAATACCCATGGCAACTGGCATATAAAAATATGCTCAACAGTATTTTTTTTCTTTAGAGAAACACAAATTAAAACAATTGTAATACTACCACACATTAGTTAGAATGGCTTAAATATTACAAATTCTGGTGAAAATGTAGAGCAATAGTAGCTGTTTGCTGAAGGGAATTTTAAAAATGGTACTGCACGCTGGAAGACAGATTGGCAGTTTCTTACAAATCTAAATATCGTCTCACCACGCACTTCAGCTATCATTCTTCTAGGTATTTATCCCAATGATGTGACAATTTATATCACATAAAAATGTGAGTGTTTATCAGAGCTCTTTTTTATAATTATCAAAAATGGACAGCAACCTACATGACCTTAAACCTTAAATAAGTGAATTGATATACTGGTACATCCAGAAAAAAGAAATAAA
Organism: Homo sapiens; assembly: GCF_000001405.40. Classification (NCBI taxonomy): domain Eukaryota; kingdom Metazoa; phylum Chordata; class Mammalia; order Primates; family Hominidae; genus Homo; species Homo sapiens. The sequence goes on along the minus strand of NC_000009.12, from coordinate 43,088,353 downwards.
TATAAATCTACAGGAATAAATACATGAATATTCAATATTTATTGCTCTGTGAAAGAAATTAGTCAGCAAATGCCTCGTATTATATATTGCTAAATATATGACATGGTAAAAAAGGCAAAACAATATAGTATAAAAGATTAGTGCTGGCCGGGCGCGGTGGCTCACGCCTGTAATCCCAGCACTTTGGGAGGCCGAGGCGGGTGGATCATGAGGTCAGGAGATCGAGACCATCCTGGCTAACAAGGTGAAACCCCGTCTCTACTAAAAATACAAAAAATTAGCCGGGCGCGGTGGTGGGCGCCTGTAGTCCCAGCTACTCGGGAGGCTGAGGCAGGAGAATGGCGTGAACCCGGGAAGCGGAGCTTGCAGTGAGCCGAGATTGCGCCACTACAGTCCGCAGTCCGGCCTGGGCGACAGAGCGAGACTCCGTCTCAAAAAAAAAAAAAAAAAAAAAGATTAGTGCTTCCAGAGGTGAGGGGAGAGGAAGTAGGGTTAAATATGTGAAACATGAAAACAATTTTTTTACTGTACTGAAACTATTTTATATGATATTGTAATGGTGGACATAACATTATGCATTTCTCAAAATCCATAAGAGTTTTTGAGCTTGAGGAGGAAACATTAATTTATATAACTTTTAAAAAAAAACTATCCTTTAGGAAGTAGAGGGATTGCAAGATGGAATGCAGAGTGTGACAAAATATTATAACTGTATTGAAAATATATGAAACAACCTCACTGAGATGGGTGGGAAAAAATGCGTTGAAATAAGTAATTTCAGAAATGAGAGGAGACTGTAAAATTAAAGGTGAAAGGAAGGGTATACAAGCACAGTGCTCCAGTTAATAAAGTTGTTTCTCATGGAGGTATGGCGTAACGTTTCTGACATCACTGTATATATACACTGTGAATGAACAATTAAGAAAGTGAGTGATGAATGGTGGCTGGGAACAAGTAGAGGGTTATTCTTGATATTCTCCTCAAATTTCTTTAATTAATTAGTAAATGAATTAGCAAGTCCCTAATGGCCTTTAGAGTCTGCTGAAGGAGATGAATAAACAGCTGACTATTAATATAGCATAATATAATATAGTGTTTAATATAAACAAAGGGCTATGTGAGTGTGGACCAAGAGACTATTATTTTCACCTTTTATCTAAAACCTTGAAAAAGTTGGCACTTCTACCTTACCTTAGATAGTAAGCAAGAGTTAGATAAGTTGAAATGACACATTTTTCATGCAGAAAATATTACACATGAAGACATGGAGGTTCAAAATTTCCAGGTTATAGGGAAATTGCAGGATGCTGAAAAATGCAGGTTGCTGAAAGGAATGCAGTATGATGCAAGATATTTGAAGTTGGGCAAAAATAATTTTAACTTCTATTATACAGTCTGTAGAGAATGGGCAACATTGAGGGGTAACAGAAGCCTTTGTTACCCCATCTTTGAAAAATAAATAATAATAATTATCCCATTTAGATATTAAAGATTAAATAGGTTAGTGAATTCAAAGTATGCCATATAAATTCTGGCAAATAATATGTTCAAAATAAATTGTAACTTTGATTATTAAAACATATGTATACACACATGTACATATATATGTATGTGTATATGTATGTGTATGTGTGTGTGTATAACAGAATTAATTTTATATCATAGTTGAAGTAAAAGAATGGGAAGAAAAAATACTTTAATGGGCCTCCAAATAGGACAAGACTATATACATATAGTCTTGCATATATATATATATATATACACAAACACACATATAAATTAAATGTATCAATACACACACACACACACACATATTCTCAGTACATGGGGATAATCAGAAAGATGGCTACAAAAATACAACCCTCTTAGTTTTATATAACCCTTTATAAATATATAAAACCAAGAGAAGAAAGAATGCCTTCTGAAGCACAGTAAACTAACCTAAGGGGGGTAAAGTCAGAGGATTTTACTATGTTGGAACTGAATTTATTAACATAGCTATAGAAAGAGTCTGTCAATTAAAGGAGAATTAGTTGCCTATGGAAACTGAGCTACAGATGAATCTTTAAGGCATAAATATCTTTTCCACCTAAGTGGAAGTCCAATTCCTGAGGTAGGAAGTCTGGGCAAGTGAAATTGCCAGTTAAGTTGGTAAGCCTTCCTACAATAAAAATAAATGCATGTGTACATTTATATTAGCTTGATGGTGTTAAATATTCTAATCATTGAACTTTATTTTTCTGATCTAATACATACCCAGCTATCATGTGACTACATTTTGTTTTCCCATACAGATGTGCGTTTGGGTGGAAAGTATGTACTGTTTATGCTGAAGTAAGAATTTTATTTTATATAACATAGTTCTTGTTATAAATTAATAAACTAACATTCTGATTGTTTATAGTCATTGTGTGTTGAATCGGGTCTCCAAAATGAAATACTAATCCCAATACTTGTGAATGTGACCTTATTTGGAAATAGGTTATTGCAGATGTTATTTTGAAACAGGGTCATATTGAAATGGGATGGGCCCTAATTCAATGACTGGTTTCTTTATAAAGAAAGAAAATATGGACACAGAGAGACATAAAGAAATATAGGGAAGAAGGCCATGTAATGACGGAGGCAGACAGTGGGGTGATGCATGCACAAGTCAAGGAACACCAAAAATTGCTGGCAACCACCAGAAACTAGAAGACACACGTGGAACGGACTTTAAGTCAGAACTTTTCAGAAGGAACCAATCTTGCCAACACCTTGATTTCAGGCTTCTAGCTTACAGAGCTGTGAGACAATAAATGTTTGTTTTTTTTTTAAGCCACCTATATTGTGATACTTTGTTATGGCAGCCCTAGAAAGCTAATACAATAGTCAAAAGGAAATAAATTATCTCCCTGTAGCCTAAAACTTTAAAAGAATTTTTTTTTCCCAGAGGCCTTTTCTTTCATTTGTTGGTTTTGGTTTCTATACAATAGATCAAACATCTTCACTAATAGTTTTCTTAGACATTATTTTTGGAAACATTTTTAAAGGACTCATGGAAATCTATAATCTATGCTGATTGACTACTTCCATGTAAAGAATTTGATATTTTTCATAGTTACTACTGGCTGTTGCTGTGCTATTCCTAATTGTCTTGAATGTTGCGTATGTAGCATGAAATCCCAATTTTTATTGAAGTAGGATATATATATATATAAAACTCTTCTATGGTTGTCTTCAAGCTGGAGCCTATTTGTTAGCACTGCAGGGCATCGTGTGTGTGTGTGTGTGTGTGTGTGTGTGTGTGTTGTAGAAGCTACTATATGAGAAATGTGGAGATACGCCTTTAGTTCAATTCTTTAGCTGCTAACTAATTTAGAGTTCTTACTGTTGTTTTAGTCAAGAAATAATGAAATATATCATCAATAAAAAGTTAAAGGAACAAGGTGAATCAGTCCAATGGGAGAATCTAAATCTTCCCAGGGATCTGTCCAAATCCATAAAGAGAGTACCATTTCATAGGTAACAGCAGGGGATTAAAGACTGAAGCAGTTTGCTGCAGGCTATGAATGACCTGATCCCTTAATCCATCTGTCTTTTTATATGAGAATGTTATGCTAATTAGCTGAGTAAATTGTTTCCTGATGATATTAATTTTGTGCCTTTTTGTTATTCTAGGCTTTGACTTTCACTGTGATAAAAATATACGAAGGGGCATTTTCAATTTAGATGGTTCCTATCCTGATAAATTCCAACACAGCAATGTTGTGGGGGAAACATGTATAAATAGCAAACTTAATCAATCCCGAGGATAGACACAGATGACTTTAGCTTCTTATATATTCATTCCCTTTAGCTTCTAAAGCATTACATTAACACACTTGAAATGTTAAAACATAATTCAAGGAGAATTTTAGGAAATGCAATTTTCATTGCCCCATTTTCTTTGGAGAAAATCAAGACTTGAATTCATTAACATGGAGGAAGTAATGGAACAGATAGTCATGATGTGAAATCTTATTAGTAAACAAGAGCTGCATCTGAAAAAATATTGTCATTAAAAGCTATGTAGTACTTAATTGAGTTTGATATGAAATTTAGTGCTGGAAAGTTAATGACTAATGCAGCTATTTCACAGAGCTTGGTTACTGCAGGCTCCATAATGATCTCCTTCTGCTTTGGAGCAACAATGAAATTAACCTCTCTTTTGTCCTGCAGGTGTTGTGTTCTGATAATGCATATCCTTTACAAGTTTGGGTAAATTATTTGCTTTGCATATAAATTAACTCCAAAGCTGAATCAACATTAGAATAATAAAAATGTAGAGAATATTTTTATTCCAAGGAAGCAAAGATTTATAGCAAAATATATCCAAATCCTAGATGCAATTTCAGGAGGATAGATTTAAAAATATTTATCATACTCCAAAAAGAAAAAGGAGAAAGAAAAAAGGATAAATACATACAATTGAGAGAAAGGAGGAATGGTTTTGGAAAATACAATATTATGTTATTATTGTTACATTAGGGAGAAAATAATTGAGAATCGATACATTTGTTTTTCAGTATAAAAACAAAAAGATGGCACTTATTTAACAATTCTTAAGTGATGTCTTCTGAGCTCCACTTTATTGGGTATGTATTGTTCCTAAGCTAAAATCTAATTTCAAAATATTACATATTACAGGTGTAGTGTTGTCTTGGTCTGTGTTGTGTTGCTGTAACAACACCTGAGACTGGGTAATTTATTAAGAAAAAAAGGTTTATTTAGCTTATGGTTCTGGTGGCTGGAAAGTCCAAGACTATGGCATTGGCATCTGTTGAGCTTCTGATGAGAGCCACATGCTATGTCACAGCAAGGCAGAGAAACAAAATGGAAATCAGGCAAATCATTGCTTTATAAAAGAGGCAACTTTCTTTAGAATGACCGGCTCTTATGAGAACTAATCCATTATCATGAAAAATAACCCAGTTTCACCAGAAAGTTATTAATTTGTCTTAATGACCTAATCACCTCTTCAAAGCACGATCTCCTAACACCTTACATGGGAAATTAAATTTCAACATGAATTTTGGAGAGAATAACCCATGTCCAAACTATAGCAAGGGTAAAGACCCCAAATTTACTTAGACATGGGGATTAATAATCATGTGTCATTGCCAATAAACGTTTTCTTTCTTTTGCACTTCCAAAGAATTTTTTCACCACCTATTTTCCTCTATGTTTTTCTTTCTCTAGTATTTTTTCTCTAAAAATTTGTGCTCGTGTAAATAATTTGCAAATGCAACTTTTTTCTTCTTTGAAATGATAGCTAAATTCAAATTACTTTTATCTTATTCAAAATTCAGAGAAAAATTCAGAAGTGACCTATTAGATGTTTGAGAATGTGCTATACTACATCAGGTGCACAAGTTCCTGTGAATAAGAAGCAAAAAAGCTAGCACTTTCCCTACTTCTGTTTTTAAAGAATAAGCTTATCAATGGATATTGAGGAAAAAAACTAGTAATATTTAAATGGTAAAATGGGTATGGTAAAATAATATTATGAGCATTTTTTCAAGTAATACATTTTGAACTTTAAGTTTTCTTCTGTTAATTTTATCTGTTTATAGGAATAATCCTGTTTTGTTCACTTCAGTATATTCACTATTCCTTTCCCTTTCAGTCAAGCATTGGACATGGCCTTGATATTGCTGGTGATTACCCATAGGGCTCAATGTTCATCTTTTGTTTCTAAATTCCAAAAGCAAAGTTGATTCTAAAGGATGATAATAATCATTAATAATTCATAGAATACCCATCTCCAAAACAGAATCAGGAATGCTATAGACAATAATAAGCACACATTAAACCAACTGGGCACAGTGCCCAGAAAATCAGCCAAGTACACACAATAGGCAAGAAAAGAGTTTGTATGTGTGTAAGGAGAAATAAGAAAGGGAAAGCAATGCATAAAAGACTTCCAAACAGAACAACCAGGGAGTCAACAGATTTTCAAACTTTCACAGAAACCACAAATATTTTGAAGTCATTTCTGCTGGGTCTACTAACTGTCTTACAATGTAAGATAGCCATGAACCCCAATGGAAGAAGTAGAAGCAAATTGAGTATATTCTAAAAAATTCAAAATTTGTAGGCATATTAAGTTTTAGGTTTTACAAGCTTACAAGTGGTGAATTACAAGACCACAATATAGGTGTAGGTTTATGGGCTTTTTTATTTGTGATGATGACTTAAACCAACCTTCTTTTTTCTATATGATTTGTTGAAATTAAAGCACTGTACATGTGATTATGACAAGGAACAAGGAGTCTCATGTATATGTTTTCTTGTATTATAAAACAGCACCTGAACTTTTTCATGTCAGATCTCTGCTGGCAAATTAAAGGAGGAAAATACCCCCATGAACTGAAGAAACCTATGGAAGTTAGCTTATTGAAATGCTGCCAGAGGCTTCATTTAGAGGGGTTTTTATAGGTAGTAGGTCTAAAGGATACTAGCAAACAAAAAATGCTAACAACATTTTTTTTTCCCAAGGGAGAAGTACCCCACCAAATTTATTCCATGTAGGCCTGAGGGTTGGATACTAATTTACTTACCATGTATTTATTATAAAACACTACTTAGGCAGGTGTGACCAAGCTATAATTGGCAAGAAACCAGGGATGTACATTTGCTTTTGTTATTATAGCTAAACTAGAAGAAGACTAAATCCTTTAATAGGAATAAAAAGTTAACACAATGATTTAATTTAGTTCTACTTAGTATAGATAACTTTTGGTAGAGCTTCAGGAACTTACTATATATTTTAGCCCTTAATTTGTAATGAAGGCATTGACAGTATAAATCTTGGGATAAACTAGGTAAATAAATTACTTTTTTTGAATATGAATGTTCTTTTTTATTTATCCTGGAGTCATATTCAGTGAACTGATAAATGCATTTTGTTAAACTGACACCTAGATTTCCAGGAGAATATACTCAAATGATAAAATATTTATATCAAGAAAATAACTTTTACTCCATGACATTATATTATTTATCAGATATGAGTGTCATTAAAATTCATTTTCAAACTGTGTAAAAGAGAATGATTCCTATGCCAATGTTTTCTTACAGTGTGAAATCTTATATTGATAAAAGTACAATATTTATATATGAAATTTTGGAAAGCTTTGAGCATAAAGTTCTCAGTCACATCATAACATTTTCTCTGACAGTGTGTGTGTCTTAGGGTAGGGAAAGAGAGTGGTTGAATGTCCATATCTTACTAACTAAGATGGTATGCCCACTGTCTTAACAATTTACTTCCTGTATTGACTCGACTAATTAGGCTGCCATAACTTTATTTCTTAATTGTTAATATGTTGGGGAAATTATCAATAAGTATAGAAAATGACAAAGTTATTGTTTCTGAAAAACTATGAAAAAGAGGATAGCCTTACTTATACAGAGCCTATTAAAAAGAGAGTACTTTTTCTTCTTAAAATGCATAGCTTGACCAGCTCCATTTAACACTGTTTTTTAAAAGATGTGTTAATATCCTAATGGTATAAATGAATTCAGTCATGACTAGTTGAGTCAAAGAGATTTAAAAATTATTTGAACTGTTTTATCAAATTTCTAGCTCATTGTTTAGTGCTAGCTATTCACAAAACAAATAGTTAAGTTCCTAAGATTATTGTTGCAAACTGTGGGAACTAAAAGTCTTTAATTACATTACTTTGAAAGCAAAAAGTGATTTCCATGCAAAATATTTTAAAGGATTTCTACCCAATGTCAAATTTTCTCATCTATTCATTTAATAAGCATTGATTAAATATCTGTTGTGTCTTAAAAATCGATGATGAATAACATTCTAAACTTCAGCAAGCATATGGTTGAACACTAAATAAAGAACAAAAACCAAAGTAATTACAGTAGTGTTTCAGTGATATATTACCACCAAGAACAGAGAGCTATAAAAATCACTGGAAGAACATCTAACTGAATCTTTGGGGAATGAAGAAAAGCTTTCTTTGGAAAATAACCTCTAATCTGATATCTAAAGGACCAGTAGGAGTTATCCATAAAAAGGAGGAAGAAAATTCCAGGTAGTTGAAATGGCTTGCTGAATTGCAAGGGCACAGATTACTAAAATGTTTAGTAATACTCATGGTAATTTTGTTTATATTTTTGAAACAGATATCATGTAGTCAACACAATAGGTCAAATCAGGACCTTTGGTACACATAACCCTTTTTCTGTAAGGTGTTGATAGGTATCATTTGAATAAAATTGGCGATATTTAGTGTTTATTGGTGTTTGGGAAAAACATGTGCTTCCTAAAATTTTAGCATATTTTCCTATATAATTTCTCATTAATAAATTAATGCACAAAGCAAATATCCAGGAGGTGTTAATAGTAAGCAGTAATTTCCAAAATTGCGTGACCAAGAAACTTTTTACTCATAGAATAACTGAAATACTTTTCTCAGGAATATACTTTGAGAAATATTGCTTAAATACATGTGGAAAAAAAGTGTTCTAAATCCAAGTTCTTTATGATGGAGATTACTGAATCCAAGTATTCTAAATCCAAGTTCTTTATGGTGGAGATTACTGAAAAAGTATGGGAGAAAATTATACATTTTGATAGAAAATCGTAAGAATTGAATGGTGTTTGCCCAAAAGGTTTGTCCACCCAGAATCTCACAGTCTGACCTCAATCGTAATAAGCATCTTTGAAGATGTAATAAGGTAATAAAGTGTGCTCATCCTCTATTACAATAAATTCTAAATCTAATGAGTGTCCTTATAAGAGATAGAATAACAGAAAGACACAGAAAAAGTGGGGAGGCATGTGAAGACAGAATCAGAGAGATTGGAAAGACAAAAACCACTAAGAATTGCTGACAGCATGGAATGGGTTTTTTCTGGGTCTCCAGTGGAAACCAATACTGCCAACACATTGATTTGTCTTCTGGCCTCCAGACCTGTGAGAGAATCAATTTCTGTTGTTTTAAGTTATCAAGTTTGTTGTAATTTGTTATGACAACCCTGGAAACCTAATACAACAATGTGATGCTTTAGAACCAGTTGTGTTCGAACAAATTTAAGCCTTAACTCATATTCTTACCAAACAGTCCCCAATGAATTATGGATGTCCTTTGATTTCATGTCCTTGCATTATCCTCCCAACCAGACAATGATTAGCCTTGTGAATTAGTTGAGCCATGAGAATGCAGCTACAGAGACACTGTATAAGTTTCAGTCCTAGGCTTAAGGAAGCTTTATAGCTTTTGTTTACTCTGTCATTTACCTTGAGCCACTGTGCAAAGATGTCTAGGTTAGCGTCCTTGTGGATGAGACACCTTATGATGAAAAAGACCAGGAGGAATGAAAGACTGGGAAGATAGAGAGGAAGACCCAGTTAGTTTCTAGTCATTCCAGCACAACATATGAATGGGGCCAGCTAGGATCCTCCAGTCCCTATGGAGCTGCCTCTAAATACAAACATATTAAATAGTCCAGCAGAAGACACCATCTAGGGAAGAGATGAGCCACCCAGCTGAGTTCAGCCCAGATTGAAGAATCATGAGCAGGTCCATCTGTGCTAGTTAGCTGTTTTAAGCTGCTATGTTTAGACTGGTTTATTATGCAGCAATAGAAAGCTGTAACCATCTAATATGATTATCAAGTATGTGTTTTTAAAACAAAGACAAAAAAGATGAGCAGATATAAGATTAGGTTGTGTGCTGTAGCAAAGGTGGATTTGACCTTTTTTTTTATTATTATACTTTAAGTTTTAGGGTACATGTGCACATTGTGCAGGTTAGTTACATATGTATACGTGAGCCATGCTGGTGTGCTGCACCCACTAACGTGTCATCTAGCATTAGGTATATCTCCCAATGCTATCCCTCCCCCCTCCCCCGACCCCACCACAGTCCCCAGAGTGTGATATTCCCCTTCCTGTGTCCATGTGATCTCATTGTTCAATTCCCACCTATGAGTGAGAATATGCGGTGTTTGGTTTTTTGTTCTTGCGATAGTTTACTGAGAATGATGGTTTCCAATTTCATCCATGTCCCTACAAAGGACATGAACTCATCATTTTTTATGGCTGCATAGTATTCCATGGTGTATATGTGCCACATTTTCTTAATCCAGTCTGTCATTGTTGGACATTTGGGTTGGTTCCAAGTCTTTGCTATTGTGAATAATGCCGCAATAAACATACGTGTGCATGTGTCTTTATAGCAGCATGATTTATAGTCATTTGGGTATATACCCAGTAATGGGATGGCTGGGTCAAATGGTATTTCTAGTCCTAGATCCCTGAGGAATCGCCACACTGACTTCCACAATGGTTGAACTAGTTTACAGTCCCACCAACAGTGTAAAAGTGTTCCTATTTCTCCACATCCTCTCCAGCACCTGTTGTTTCCTGACTTTTTAATGATTGCCATTCTAACTGGTGTGAGATGATATGTCATAGTGGTTTTGATTTGCATTTCTCTGATGGCCAGTGATGATGAGCATTTTTTCATGTGTTTTTTGGCTGCATAAATGTCTTCTTTTGAGAAGTGTCTGTTCATGTCCTTCGCCCACTTTTTGATGGGGTTGTTTGCTTTTTTCTTGTAAATTTGTTTGAGTTCATTGTAGATTCTGGATATTAGCCCTTTGTCAGATGAGTAGGTTGCGAAAATTTTCTCCCATGTTGTAGGTTGCCTGTTCACTCTGATGGTAGTTTCTTTTGCTGTGCAGAAGCTCTTTAGTTTAATTAGATCCCATTTGTCAATTTTGGCTTTTGTTGCCATTGCTTTTGGTGTTTTGGACATGAAGTCCTTGCCCACGCCTATAAACCACTGCTCAAGGAAATAAAAGAGGACACAAACAAATGGAAGAACATTCCATGCTCATGGGTAGGAAGAATCAATATCGTGAAGATGGCCATACTGCCTAAGGTAATTTACAGATTCAATGCCATCCCCATCAAGCTACCAATGACTTTCTTCACAGAATTGGAAAAAACTACTTTAAAGTTCATATGGAACCAAAAAAGAGCCCGCATCACCAAGTCAATCCTAAGCCAAAAGAACAAAGCTGGAGGCATCACACTACCTGACTTCAAACTATACTACAAGGCTACAGTAACCAAAACAGCATGGTACTGGTACCAAAACAGAGATATAGATCAATGGAACAGAACAGAGCTCTCAGAAATAATGCCGCATATCTACAACTATCTGATCTTTGACAAACCTGAGAAAAACAAGCAATGGGGAAAGGATTCCCTATTTAATAAATGGTGCTGGGAAAACTGGCTAGGCATATGTAGAAAGCTGAAACTGGATCCCTTCCTTACACCTTATACAAAAATCAATTCAAGATGGATTAAAGATTTAAACGTTAGACCTAAAACCATAAAAACCCTAGAAGAAAACCTAGGATTTGACCTTTTTTTCAGTTAAGAATTTTGATAATCTACCATACATTTTTAAATTCTTTCTTGCATTAACTTTTTCTCTGGATAAAAAATTCAGGCCACCTATAAGTAAATAGAAACAGTAGGCATAAATACACAAAAGGAAAGTTATATTAAAATTCTGCAGAAATGTAACAAGAATAAAAAAGCTGAACTGGATTTTTAGGATGTTCTACACTCAGCTTTTATGAGAAACAGACAAATGACAATCTCATGCCAAGGATTTGTTTTAAAAGGCTGTATAACAGGTAGACCATTGACTAACACATGTTTTACCACCTTTATCTTCAGAGTACTGCAGACAAATGATATTCATAATGACTCTACACGATATTGAAATGGTATCTGAATATTAACAACTAAATTCTGACCAGTTATGATTTAAAACATTTAGCTATTTATTGATTGTTATTTTTTTAAAAACTTGGAATGTGCATTATATGTATATTTAACTATAAAGTCACTGAACATTTAATTAACATATGTCCTGTTTTTCAATCATTACTAGGAGTAATCTTTATAGAAATACAAGTAGCAACCATTACCACAAATGAATTCTCATAAGAAACAGTTATTCAAGTCTTTTTCTCTCTCTCTTTGTCAAACGCATGTGCACACACACACACACACACACACACTTTGTTTGTATGCCTGTGGATTGTGAGAGAGAGAGAATGAGCCTGTAAATACAGAATTATATCAGAATTCTTGTAGCAAATAAGCTATCAGGAAAATTGAGCCAACTTAGTCTTGGTCTTGTGAAGGACATTTTCTCTTTTCTGACCTAGTCTTTTCTATTAAGTGAAAGATGTCACACAATGACCACTCATCTATTTTTGATGGATACATGAATTGTACATTACATGGAAAGAAGAGAGAAAATAATCCTAATTTTATATAATGTACAGGTTAGAAAGCCTGATACAGACTAATATAAAATTAATGCTTTGAATAAATTTGTTTATACTATTGCTCTGTTAGAGTGTTGCTACTTTTGGTTTGTTTTTCAATTGTTTTTCCAATATGTATTTAGTTTGATTTTTAATAATCTTATCTCTTTTTTCTTTTCTTCTCCTTTACCTCTTGCTCCTCTTCCTTATTCTCCTTGCCTTCCTCCTCAGTCTCCTCATCCTCATCTTCCTCCTCATCCTCTTTCTTTGTTTTCATTACAAAATAAAATAAGCAATCAGAAAAGTTCATACAGATATTGTTACTTATCTTTAGGGACCTGGATCTAACTTAGTGCTGTTGCTTCTGTTTCTTCTCTTTTGTCCTCCTCTTCTTTTTCTCCTTTGTGTTCTGTTTTACTTTTTAAAAATAGATGCCACAACTCTGATTTTTAATCTGATTGTGTAAATGATCCTTAATAGTAAAATCAATTTTAATCTTATAAAACAGAAGCACAGCAAAGCATTTTGCAGAATTTACCATAAAGTAAATAATAACCATTCCTAGTATGATAATGCTGCAACTATTTTTCTTTCATCCTCTGCAACATTTTTATCTGACACAGTCTCTGCTGTTTCCAAGTTCAACATCCTGCAGCAAGCCTTGCCAGCAATACAGAATACTTTCAATTAGTAGTTCTCTACTTCTCTGGTCACTAAGCAACTGACCTGTGGTGAAGAATACATAATGATCTGCATAGACACCTTAGAGCAATAGAAAGTAGAAGCTTCACAAGTTTCATTTGCTCTCTTGTGTTGATGTTACAATAACCAGTTAAATGCATGGAAATATTTGATAGTAGTTTGCTATAATAAACTTTAATAAAGATTAAAAGAAGCCTCAGAGAAAGGTAGAAATAAACACAACATAAAATATTGTATTTGTCATTTGTTCATGTATGTCATTTTATTGTTTATAGGGAGGGCAAGCAATCAGGTTAATATTTTATTAAATGTTTATATTCTAGCTACTGTTTAAGACAGAATTCATCAAGTAGCAGAAGTGATGGAAGGGCCAAGGGGAAGAAAGATGGACAAAACCTGAAAATTGAAAGTGCAATAAAATGAAAATTACAAATGAAAACCAGTATGCCTGAGATATACATGACTGTTTAGTAGAGTGTCTTCATGTGGGTTAAAGAAGAAAAGGAAATACCAGCTGGAATCAGCAGAACAGATTTAGCACTTGACCCTTGGATACTTTTCATTCTATTTATCTATCATATTTTTATTGGTTTGTATTCCATTGACTACTATATGCACCGACCCTCAGCAAATTCATTCAATAGAGAGGAGAGATTATATCTCCACTGTATCAGTGGAGCTGCTTAGGAACATTTCTCCTGCTTCTTGTATGTATTTTGTCCTATTTGTACATTGTATTTTATGAGCTGCTTTAGAATAGTAGAATAACTTTCCTTTATATGGTATAGAACTTTTGATATATCTCAAAGAAATTTTTAAAAAATGATCAATTGAAATGTATGTTCTCATACTGTATGTGCAAATATCAGTAGTACAAACACTAAGGATTAATGAAAATGAAAATCCTAATATATTAAACTTAGAAAAATAGACTAAATATTTACTGAAAAGAAACAGATAACCAAAATTTCGTGATACACAATGAAAAGCCTTGAGACATTAAAGAGGACTTTCACTGTCTTTGATGATGTCATCTTTTACATATTAAGTTCTTCTAGCATGGTAACTAGAACTAAACTTTTAACTTCCTTTTAAACCACACACTGAATGCATCTGTGAAAAAGACCTGCATACTACAAGATAACTTTAATTACATATCTTCTGTGGGGTCCGTGCTTTTAGTTTAGTATAGGTTTATGCAAAGTGATACTATTGGTAATGTGTAATTTAAACACAAACACAAACTAACAGGCCCTGCCGCCTATCAATATCTGGGTGATATCAGAGAAGGCCGTGTGGGAATCTAGAACTTTCTTCTCTGCCAGGTAGTTACAATGTGCCCCGTCCTTCTCCACCAGATTCCTTAGGTGTCAAAGTAAACTAAGTGAGAAGTTGGAACTTTCATCATCATCTAGTGGTAAAAAGGTCCAAGGCCTCCTGATGTTTGCCTTCCCTTCAGTGTAGGCCATAGTGGGAGCAGAAACAAGAAAAAAATCCCCCACTCTCCAAAGGTGGTTGAGCAGGGATAAATTTTTATCACCACCTAGCAATAACAAGGCACCCCCACTTTCACCATGTGTGGTGTCACAGGAGGTTTATTTCCAAGAGTTAAAATACAGAGCCTCATAGCATAATATCCAAATTACCCTAGATACATTGAAAATTACTCAGCATATCAAGCACCAGAAAAAAATCTCATCTTGAATGAGATAACACATGCCAACACAGTGATAACACATAAATTAGATTTATTCACAAGGATTTTAAAGCCACCACCATAAAAATGTTTTAATGAGCAATTGCGAATATGCTGAAACAAATGAAACAATGGAAAGCTTTACAAAGAAATAGAAGATGCCAAGAGACAAATAGAAATTTTGCCACCGAAAAATATAATTGAAACTTTAAAAAATACTTGATGGCTCAATAGGGTAATGGAGGAAATAGAGAAAAGAATAAGTGAACTTGAAAATAGGACATTAAAAATTTACTAATCCAAAGACCAGAGGGAATATAGACTGAAAATGAAAAAAAAAAAAAAAAGAACAGAGCCTCAAGGACCTATAAGACTATAGCAAAAAATCTACTATTCATGTCATCAGAGTCCTAGAAGGAAAGGCAAAAGTGGGTTGGGCTAAAAATATATTTGAAAAAATAATGTCCAAAACATTTTCGAGTTTGGCAAAAGACATACAACTACAGATTCAAGAAATGAGAAAATCTAAAATGGGACAGATACAAAAAAATCAACAAAGAAAGGTCAATTTCAGAAAACAGCAGAAGAAAAAATCTTGGAAACAGTGAGGTAAAACAATGCTTCATCTCTCCAGAAGAAAAACAATTTGAATGACAATGATTTCCTGTCAGAAATAATGGTGGCCAAAAGGAAGTGATATATTTCTCAAGTACTGCAAAACAAGAACTGTCAATCCAGAATTCTGTATTAGGCAAAAATGTCCTTTAGAAATGAAGGAGAATTAAATAAATTCTCAGAAGAAGAAAAATTAAGAATTGGTTGCAAACAGACCTACCCTAAAGAAAAGCAAAAAGTTCTTGAAACATAAAATGAATAAGGGGCCTGAAATCATCAGAAAAATGTAAGAGTAACAAAGAGCAAAAATATGAATAAGTACAACAGATTTTTCTTCTTGAGTTTTCTAAATTATGTTTGACTTTTGAATCAAAAACTGTAACATCGAAATGGTTATCAATACCTAAATGAAAAATTTAAAAAATTATATAAACAAGGATGGGTAAAGAGACTTCCAATGAGATAAGATTTTTACACTTCACTAGAAGTGTTAGATATTTTGATAGTGGTAGTGGTCACAAGAATTTACACATGTAATAAAATGACAGATGTATGCATACACATTTTTTCAATGTCAGTTTCTTGGTTTTAATGTTTTACTGTAGCTACAAAAAAAATGTAACCACTGGGGAAACTAGGTGAAGAGTATGAGAGACCTCTCTGTACTATATTTGCAACCTTCTGTAAATCTATAATAATTTCAAATCAACAGTTAAAAAATAAAAATATATCTAATAGACCAATAGTTTCATATGGAGGGCAGAATGATTTAAAAAAATGAGATATTTTGTTTATGCATACCTGTAAAGGCATCCATGAAAGGTATTTTTAAACATTTGAAATTATGTAAGTCCAATGCTGCAGGAACATGGGCATACTATAGCTTATTTTAGATGCTTTAGAAAGCCAAAGTCATCTCTGGTAAGTTCTACATTGATGATAATAACCTGAGAGACTTCTCAGTCTCTAAAATTGCACTATTTCTAAAATATAAGTAAATATTCCCTTCATCCTAAATCTTTCAAAGTTTAAGAATGTCATTGATAGTCTTTGCTTTAGAGGAAAATACAGAGATCAAGAAAAAAGGTCTGGAAAAATGAAAAAATAATTTTAAAAGCTTCCTCAGAGAGAAAGAGTTTCAGACGGATATAGTTTAACTATATTAACTCAGCCATGAATTTCTTACTTCTCTCCTAGTACCGGTTACTCTTTTGCTGAATGAATCTACCTTATGAACACAAGTTAAAAAAAAATGTACCCATGATAAGTAAAACATTATTAAATACAGCTATTTTTATAAAAGTTTCAAGTCAAAAATGGATCCATTTCTGTTCTTCTCCTTACAGGGAGTTGCTTATTCCCCATCCTTCATTAAAAGGGCCAAAAAGTATACTCATCTGTAGTAGAGAATATGCATAATGTTTATTAACTCATGCTTATTATAATGTTAACACATTATCTGCCACTCCAAGAATGTGGGCATATTTAGAAAATGTTCAATATGGTATCTATAAATTATTCTATGGCAGACTTTGATTTAATTCTTTTCATCTTCATTTTAATAACAGTGGAGTGGTTCTTAATATCATATTTTCATTATTTGCATGTCCTTTGCAAGAAGGCTTGGGAACCTATTTACCCCAAAATAAGTTCCAAACAGGTCAGACTTCTAATTGTTCATACAAATAACTAAGGATTAGAAATATAGATGCTATACAATTCTAACATAAATCTTTTGGTATTAACCCCTCACCATTGAAAACACATTAACTGACTTGTAGTGTTTGATCATTTCCACACAAAGAAGATGGATCACTGTATGTCTCTTAATATTTACATAGCCTTAAACCAGAAGATAGAACATGATTCTTCAGGAGAGTCACATGATTTCAATCAAATTATTGTAAGTATGTCATTTGAGCAGAAATAACACAATGTGCAGAATACTGCAAGTGAATTTTCTTTTCGCCAAATAGTGTGAGCTAAATCATGTTTACTATAGTGATAATATTAATTATTCTATGGATATGCTAGAATTATTCTACTGATCTTATGTTGTTTTCTGACCACATTTTCCAAAACACTTTAAATTGTGCTTTACCCTTTCATACACTTTTATTGTTTACTGATTCATTCCACAAATTAAAATTAACTAATTGGTACTAATGTGTACTGAAACAAAAAACAATAATGTCACTTCAGATTGTGACTGATTCTTAAAATATTCTCCATGGTCTTCATGGCCTAAAGGTTTTAAGTTATACACACAGTATTTCACTTAAAATATTATGGAAAGCAGCATCTGGAGCTTTAAGCAAGTTACTTAGTTTATATCTGTAGTTTATAAATCATGATGTGTTAAACTTTATTATGATCTTACAATTTGAATTTAATTCTTTTATAATGTCTCTAGGCTGTCTCTCCTGATGATCGATAGATACATAGATAGATAGATGGATAGATAGATAGATAGATGATAGATAGATAGATAGATAGATAGATAGATAGATATTTTCCTTTTAGAAAACCTCTTGCTTTTCTCATATCCCACTCTCTGACAGCATTATATTCAAGAGCAACAGTGGGAAATGTGTTGACTGCCAAGGTATTAGATAGCTAGGTTAAATGCCAAAATTAAACTGATATAAAAAGTAATACAGAAACAAGAAAAAAAAGTGGAAAATGAAAACATAACCTTGTAAAGTTTTTATTCTAATATACAGGTATGTTAATGAAAATAATAGAATGGTTTCTGAAAGACATAAATGGACAGTATTGTTTTATGAATACATCAGTAAGAAAATACTTTAACAGGAACGGGAAATTCTCCAGGTTCAGTGTGAGATTTCCACCTATAATTTTCATTTGGCTGGCGAGACTGACTTGCGTTACTTGAGTTATGCTATTTTAAAAGTATTTGTCACCAGTATGTATCCCTTCTTTGATATTTTTCCTCCTACAGTGACTTTTAAAATCCAAATCTAATCAAGCTGTCACTGAGGACATATTGTTACATTAAACATACAAATGTTTAAGCCTTATTAAATACAGACTGGGTTTCAGTAAATCAGAAATGGTTAAAAAAAAAAAAAAAAAGAGGCCAGGCGCGGTGGCTCACGCCTGTAATCCCAGAATTTTGGGAGGCCGAGGCGGGCAGATCACGAGGTCAGGAGATTGAGACCATCGTGGCTAACATGGTGAAACCCCGGCTCTACTAAAAATACAAAAAAATAGCCAGGCCTGATGGCGGGCACCTGTAATCCCAGCTACTCTGGAGGCTGAGGCAGGAGAATGGCGTGAACGCGGGAGGCAGAGCTTGCAGTAAGCGGAGATCGCGCCACTGCACTCCAGCCTGCGCGACAGAGCAAGACTCCGTCTCAAAAAAAAAAAAAAAAAAAAAAAAAAAAAAAAAAAAAAAAGTGGATGAAAAATAGTATAAAAGGAATTACTCCCTAATTATTTATATTGTGCTAAATAAAATTCCCAGTTCCAAAACCAAGATGTAATGACTGCACCATTTTTCACTTTTTCTAGATGTGGTCAGAGACTTTAAATGAGAGAAATGATACATGCATATACTTGGAGAGTAATAGGTATTGCTGAATAATATAAAGTTTGAGAATACACTTTTGCTTAAAACGTAAAATTGGTGATTTATATTATTTTATTTTTAAATGTAGAAATAGCTAAAGTATAAATTTTGTATAATGCAAGTGCTTTTCCTAGGTTTTAGTTTTGTTTTAATTTAGGAGTAAGGGTAAAGAAGCTATTTATAAATAGTACTAAGTCCGTGTGTTCTTTTCTCTAAATACATCTTGATGTGTTACGAAGATCAAATGTTCTGAAAAAGCAAATTTCCTCTAAACCTGAGTCCTCTCTTTCACTAGCAGAGAGAAAAAGTCTCTGCTAAAGTTACTGGATGAAAACAGAAACTGTATACTTGACTCTATTAAAGGAAAAAATAAAATGTTTTTTATAATATTAAGTCAACTTGAAATAAAAGAAAAAAGTTAGCTATTCAGGCCTGTCCCTAACATTTGTGGAAGTTCAGAAGTATTGCAAATCTAGACCCACATATTAATGACTACATATTTATAAGACATCAATCAAGCTTAAGAACTGTTAAAGTGTATTGAAATTCCTACATTGACAACTTCATAACAACTTAAAAAATTAAATTGAAATCTGCATTCTTGGACTGCCAGGAGAGGTCCACAATGGAATGTGAGGATTGGAAAGAGGCCCCAGGTCATAGTCAATTTCATTCTCTTTCCACCCCTCTTTCCATCTTGCTGGATGAGGGGTTTGTTACATCCAAGATACTGCAGCCTATTTGTCCAGCATCTCCTCATGAGACATCCCTTTGACCAAGGGTTGTACACACCAGTCCACCTTCAAAAAGGCTGGTGTAGGGAATGGCCTTGAATAGACCTTGAAAGCAATCTTAGGACCTTTTATTTCTCCTAAAGAGGAATCCAGAGTCTTGAGTATTGGTACATTGGCATAGCACATGGATGGGCATGAGTCTTGTTTCACATGAGCACATTCACTTGTTTTGTGGACTCATCGCCACTTCCCCTTCTACTCTCCTTCCCAGCCCCCATGGGAGGAAGGTGAAAGTGGTTTGTGGTTCACTCTAAAGGGCTGGCCTAGAACCTGAGTTCCTCTTCCCTTTAGTCTAAGTTTAGCACTGCAACTATCTTGTTCCACTGTTCACATTTACCACGAAATGGGTCAAACATACAAAGAGAGCCTAAAGAAACTTTTAATACATATTCATAAATGAAAGTTTATTAATAAAATTGAAGGAGACGTATCAACACATAGTCACTTCTTTTCTAGAAAACACTCCCTACTTTATAGAATTGCTATGTGTATAGTTCCTCAGTAAGTGCTATGTGTGAACAGAAGATGTAGAATACAGATCTTTTATCTTCAGGTCACTTAATATCCAAGTCTGAACATAAGAAACATAAACACAAAAAAGTAACTTTCAGAAAAGTGCTATGCAATATATATTGGGGATCTTCTAAGGAGGGAGATGCCATCGTGGACTATGATGATCAAAGAAAGGTTAATAGAGCTTCCTATTATGTGATACTCTTCAATAATATGGGGAAGAGGAAAAAGGCATTATGGATTATTCAAAAGACAAGTGCAAATTTGGTGATAAGCATAGAAAACATTCAGAAGTATAGAATGCATACATTAGACAGAATAATGTGATTGTTTCAGAATATTTGAATATACAATTAGAAGTAAATGTTGGGACAAATTATGAAGGATTTAGAATATTAGATGTGAGAATTTGAACTTTATTCATAAATAATCAAAAAAAGAAAATGATTGTAAATTGCTCAAAAAAGAGCTATCCATCAAAAGGAGAGTCAGGGAATAACATGTATTTTGTGCATTCAAAAAAAAAATCAAAAGACTGTCTTCCACTTTCACCTTTTAAGTGTAAGGGTCACAGAAGGTAAAGAAAGTAGAAATAAATTTGAGAAATCATTGAAAAAAAGAATTTAAGTATATGAGTAGGCATAGGCAAACCAAGGTAATGACAATGTCTGTGACCACAAATTTTTGATCAGTTTGACAATAGTACCTTTGACATAAATAGGAGAAACTTGAGTCAGGAACTTTGTCCTTTACTCTAGCACCTGGCATAAGAGCTGGAGCCAGTTTTATGTTTTTGCTAGTTTTTGTTTGTTTTCTTTATACATAAAACAAAGTAAAAAATGAAAATGGCCAGAAAAAAGTTGGAAATTTGAGACTGGATCTCAGGATAGGTATTATGATGTATTTTTAGTATACTCATTTACATAGAGATGATGGTTTACACTATTTTGAGAAAAAGTAATGGTTTAGATGGAAAGTTAAAAATCAAGAAAAGAAATAAAGCATTAGACAGAAACAAAAATATTCAGGATAGGTTCATGTTATAAAAGCCTTAAAAGGACAGGTTGATAGATTTTAAAAATATTACAGTAAATAATAATGTTAGAAAGAAATTGATCACAAATTTCTCTCACCAAACATGCTATCACAATCAGATTACCTCAAACCAGAATGTAATCAAAACCATTGCCTCTTTCTCTAACAACAAAGATTACTATTTACTACTGCTGTAGCATTTTGATACCTTCAGGTCTACAGGAAAGGAATAAAACACCAAATGATTCTCAGCACAAAAATGGATAATGAATATCCATTTATTGTTATTAAAATAATGGGCATGATTATGCTAATAGGTAATATTCTTTCTTTAGTTGAAATTGCATTGTATTGTGTCTAAGAAAAAGTGTTGGTTGTTTTTGCAAAGTATAATTCAGGAGATTAATTGTATTCACCAATCCACAGATTTCACTAATGAGAAGTGAACTGGAATTTGAAAGCACATACACTTTTCCCCTTAAACAATTGCCCACTCCATTTTGCAAGCTGAGAAATGGAGAAAGAGGGATATCAATCTAGGTAAAGTCTGAGGTGCTACTTGTATTAACAGGACTCAGGAATCAAAAATCTGTACTTCCTCCCATAAAAAGGGGTGCGATTTTTCCCTGTAGACAGTGAGTTAATGTGGCTGCCTTCAAAGGCAAACAGACTTCAATGTGACTAGAAGAAAAGGACAATGGAGTGTCCCCAAAAGAGAGGCATGTTTTTTAATGAATGAAAAACCAGAGATACTTTACAAAATAATAGAATAACTTGGCTTAGTTATTTTCATTACATTACAATACATTTAGTAGACTGTCCTGTCCTTCAGAAATAAGAGCCACAGTGAAATGACAATAATACATAGTAACCCTTTACTATGAGCCTAACACTAAAAATATTATTTTGTATTTATTGTTTTATTTAATTTTCACAAAAATATAATGCCTATATTACCAATACACACTTTTGCAGATGAGAAAATTGTATCAGAAGATGTAATGAAATTCTTCAACTTTACATACCTAATAACTGCTAAGATTGGCATTTGAATATACTTAGTCTGATTTTAGAGATTGTTACCTTAACCACTATGTCATACTTCCTTCCTGAAGTGTTACTGATTCACATAGACACACAAATCTGGGCTTGGCTAGGTTCCTTTTCCCAAAGAAAGAGATGGGAAAATCTACTCCTTAAGTGGACTATCAAACCAAACTTTAGATATCTTAGTCACAGAATACTATAAGTTAGTATATTTTATTTCTTAGTAGGTTATTAATGAAAAATTTTAGGAAGAAACTTAAAGCATAACAACACATTGTTACAATAGGGAGTTAGAGATGAAATATTTTTAATAAAGGAAGGACTATGTAATAGTAGCCATATCAAGGAGGTCTTTTGGAATGGACTAGCATGAGTCTGCATTAGTACAGGAGGAACCACAGAGGATTAACAGCTTAAAGCTGATAGAGAATATTTGATGCTAAAGATAAAAGGAATTGATTGAATTTAAAGTTCTAGTGGAAAAGTTAGTCTGGACAATGGGCACTGAAAATTCAAGAATGGGTGATTTCAAATGTAGGAAAATGTGAGCTAGGATGATTTATAGGTACATAAAGGAGCTCTTTATAGATGGTCACTGATGGTTTCAATAAAGTAGAAATGAGTTCATTTGTCAAGAATAAAGAAATTGGGACCATTGGGAGCTTAAGGTGGTTAGGCAAAGCTTGGCATAGATGCTGACAGAAGTGTATCAGAAAAGTAACAGGTCCAATCTTACTGATCTACCTTTATTGATTCATTTGTTTACTTGTTCATTCACTTTTCATTTAACAAAGAATTTAGTCATAACATTTTATATTATATTTATGTATATATTTAAATTATATTTATATTTATTTAGCTCCCCACCCCACAACAGGCCCCAGTGTGTGATGTTCCCCTGCCTGTGTTCATGTGTTCTCGTTTTTCAACTCCCACTTATGAGTGAGAACATGCGATATTTGTTTTTCTGTTCCTGTGTATTTTTGCTGAGAATGATGGTTTCCCACTTCATCTGTGTCCCCGTGAAGGACATGAACTAATCCTTTTTATGGTTGCATAGTATTCCATGGTGTATATGTTTCACAATTTCTTTATCCAGTCTGTCATTGATGAGCATTTTTGTTGGTCCCAAGTCTTTGCTATTGTGAATACTGCTGCAGTAAACATACATGTGCATGTGTCTTTATAGTAGAATGATTTATAATCCTGTGGGTATATACCCAGTAAAGGGATTCCTGGGTCAAATGATATATCTGGTTCTAGATCCTTGAGGAATCACCACATTGTCTTCCACAATGGTTGAACTAATATACATTCCCACCAACAGTGTAAAAGCGTTCCTATTTCTCCACATCCTCTCCAGCATCTGTTGTTTCCTAACTTTTTAATGATATCCATTCTAACTGGCTTATGCCAGATGGCATCTCATTGTGGTTTTTTTTAATTATACTTTAAGTTTTAGGGTATATGTGCACAACATGCAGGTTTGTTACATATGTATACATGTGCCATATTGGTGTGCTGCGCCCATTAACTCATCATTTAACATTAGGTATATCTCCTAATGCTATCCCTCCTCCCTCCCCCCACCCCATGACAAGCCCCGGTGTGTGATGTTCCCCTTCCTGTGTCCATGTGTTCTCATTGTTCAATTCCCACTTATGAGTGAGAACATGCAGTGTTTGTTTTTTTGTCCTTGCGATAGTTTGCTGAGAATGATGGTTTCCAGCTTCATCCATGTCCCTACAAAGGACATGAATTCTTCATTTTTATCTCATTGTGGTTTTGATTTGCATTTCTGTAAAGCCCAGTGTTGAATTTTTTTTCATGTGTTTTTTGGCCACATAAATGTCTTCTTTTGAGAAGTGTCTGTTAGTATGCTTCGCTCACTTTTTGATGGGATTGTTTTTTTTCTTCTTGTAAATTTGTTTAAGTTCCTTGTAGATTCTGGATATTAGCCCTTTGTCAGATGGGTAGATTGCAAAAATTTTCTCCCATTCTTTAGGTTGCCTGTTCACTCTGATGATAGTTTCTTTTGCTGTGCAGAAGCTTTTTAGTTTAATCAGATCTCATTTGTCAATTTTGATTGTTATTGCTTTTGGTGTTTTAGTCATGAAGTCTTTGCCCATGTCTATGTCCTGAATGGTATTCACTAGGCTTTCTTCTAGGGTTTTAATGTTTTAGGTCTTATGTTTAAGTCTTCAATGCAGCTTGAGTCAATTTTTGTATAAGGTGTTAAGGAAGGGGTCCAGTTTCAGTTTTCTGTATATGGCTAGCTAGTTTCCCAGCACCATTTATTAAATAGGGAATACTTTTCCCATTACTTGTTTTTGTCAGGTTTGTCAAAGATCAGATGGTTGTAGATGTCTGGCATTATTTCTGAGGCCTCTGTTCTGTTCCATTGGTCTATATATCCATTTTGGTACCAGTACCATGCTGTTTTGGTTACTGTAGCCTTGCAGGGGTTGCAATCCTAGTATCTGATAAAACAGACTTTAAATCAACAAAAATGAAAAAAGACAAAGAAGGGCATTACATAATGGTAAATGGATCAACGCAACAAGGAGTGCCAACGATTATATATATATATATATATCCAATATAGGAGCACCCAGATTGATAAAGCAAATTCTTAGAGACCTACAAAGAGACTTAGACTCCCACACAATAAGAGTGGGAGACTTTAACACCCCACTGTCAATATTAGACAGATCAAGAAGACAGAAAATTAACAAGGATATTTAGGACTTGAACTCAGCTCTGGACCAAGCATACCTAGTAGACATTTACAGAACTCTCCACCCCAAATCGACAGAATATGCATTCTTCTCAGTACCACATCACACTTACTCTAAAATCGACCACATAATTGGAAGTAAAACACTCCTCAGCAAATGCAAAAGAATGGAAATAATAACAAACAGTCTCTCAGACCACAGTGCAATCAAATTAGAACTCAGGATTAAGAAACTCACTCAAAACTGCACAATTACATGGAAACTGAACAAGCTGCTCCTGAGTGACTACTGGGCAAATAATGAAATTAAGGCAGAAAGAAATAAGATCTTTGAAAACAATGAGAACAAAGACACAACATACCAGAATCTCTGGGACACAGCTAAAGCAATGTTTAGAGGGAAATTTATAGCACTAAGTGTCCACAGGAGAAAGCAGGAAAGATCTAAAGTTGACACCCTAACATCACAATTAAAAGAACTAGAGAAGCAAGAGCAAACAAATTCAAAAGCTAGCAGAAGACAAGAAACAACTAAAATCAGAGCAGAACTGAAGGAGACAGAGACATGAAAAGTCCTTCAAAAAATCAATGAATCCAGGAGGGGTTTTTTTGAAAAGATCAACAAAATAGATAGACCACTACCCAGACTAATAAAGAAGAAAAGAGAGAAGACTCAAATAGACACAATAAAAAATGATAAAGGGGATATCACTACTGATCCCCCAGAAATACAAACTACCATCAGAGAATACTATAAAAACCTCTACACAAATAAACTAGAAAATCTAGAAAAAATTGATACATTCCTGGACACATCCACTCTCCCAAGACTAAACCAAGAAGAAGTCAAATCCCTGAATAGATCAATAACAAGTTCTGAAATTGAGGCAGTAATTATAGCCTACCAACCAAAAAAAAAAGGCTCAGGACCAGACGGATTCACAGCCAAATTCTACCAGAGGTACAAAGAGGAACTGGTATCATTCCTTCTGAAATTATTCCAAACAATAGAAAAAGAGGTACTCCTCCCTAACTCATTTTATGTAGTCATCCTCTTTTTAAAGTACATTCTTATCATGATAAATAAAATAGGAATTTCTTGATTTATTTTATCTAATTATTTTATCTTGCCCTAATCTCTAATCTCTATTTTTATTTCCTTCTGCTTCTCCCTCTTACTTCAATTGCATTCATGTGTTTGTGGTAGACCCTTGAATATGCATTTTTTGAAAACTATAAAATTTTGTGGTTGTTTTTGAGTTATATGTTGTATATATAGTTTTTACTTTTGTAAATCCAACACTATATTATTAAGACCTATTCTTGTTATCGTGTGTATCTTTACCTCATTTTTTTTTCATGCTGCACAGCACACTATTACTTCTTTTTCTTCTTTTTTTTTTTTTTGAGATGGAGTCTCGCTCTGTTGCCCAGGCTGGAGTGCAGTGGCGTGATCTCGGCTCATTGCAACCTCTGACTCCCGTGTTCAAGTGATTCTTCTGCCTCAGCCTCCCGAGTACCTGGAACTACAGGCGCGTGTCACCACACCTGGCTAAGTTTTGTATTTTTAGTAGAGATGGAGTTTCACCATATTGGACAGGCTGGTCTCAAACTCCTAACCTTGTGATCTGCCCGCCTCGGCCTCCCAAAGCACTGTGATTATAGGCATGAGCCACCACACCTGGCCTGTATTCCATTTTTATAAACAATTGTGTGTGTGTGTATTACAGTGATAGATTCTTTGCCTCCTTCCAACTCCCTGCAACAACAAATGTCTCTAATGGATATCATATCCTTTCATGAGTTTAAACTTATTTGCCATGTGGATCAAGAGTAGGATTGCTGGTTCATAGGTTTGGATTTCATTTCACTCCACATTGCTCTCTGGATAGTTGCATCAGTCTGTACTCCCATCAGCAGTACATGTGAAGTCTAGTTTTCTAAATTTAAAAAAAAATTTATTATTATTTGAACATTATCTTCCATCTCACTAATGAGCACTCCTCAAATTTAACCCTTCTGCTGTTTATACCATATATTTAATCCTTCATTTCAACAGATATGGTTTTCATACTGAAAAAATATTTTATGTTTGCTAATTTCTTCTTCAGGTTCAAATATTGTGCCTTATGTCTTTGAGAACATTTACTATACATATTTTTGGATTTATTTTAACTTTTTTTTTTCTTCAGAGACAGTGTCTTTCTGTTACTCAGGCTGGAGCAAGTGCAGTGGTGACAGCCTCCTAGCTAACTGCAGCCTTGACCTCCTGGGCTCAAGAGATTCTCCTGCCTCAGCCTCCTTGGTAACTGGGACTACAAGTGCATGCTGACACACCTAGCTATTTTTTTAAATTATTATTTATTTTGTAGAGACAGGGGCTCTCTTGGTTGCCCGAGCTGATCTCAAACTCCTAGCTTCAAGCAATGCTCCTGTCTTGGACTCCCAAAGTGCTGGGATTACAGACGTAAACCACCACACATGGTCACATATTTTAAACTATTGTTAATTTTTGTAAATCTGGTTGTCTTCGATATACATGTATTTTATTTTAGAGTCATTGAATTCCTTTGAGGCCTATTTTTTCCTAGTAAGATTTATTATGCTGATTAAGAATACATGGCACTAAAATCAGGCTCAAGATTGACCCACCAGAAGTGTTTAGAATGAAGGACTCCTTAGGAAATAACTGGATTCTGCCACCCTTTGTTTGCCTTCCTCCTCCATAAAAGTTGGTGTATTCACGTGTCCTGGGTGGTGCTGTTTACCAAGACTGGTCTCCCTCAGTTTTAATCACCATCCTAACACTCATTGTATGGAGTAGCTGGGTTAGAGGAGAATGCCTAGGGTTCAGATGGTCTTTCTGCATTTGTCACTATTTCCTCATTTTCCAAGCTAGGTTGAGTCATATTCTGCCTGACCGACTCCAAAATGGCTTTAAAGGAGTTAGCAGTGGTCTCTTTTCAACTCTAGTTTCGCTAGAATGGGAATTCCATTTGGTCAAAGTTTTGTCTTTCTGGCTCTGTAGTGTATTCTCAGTATTTAGAAGAGTGCCTTGCACACTGTGGGTACTCTAACTATTGAAAGAGCAGAAAAAAATACAGGAATGCAATGAAAAGGAATGATGACCACTAAAAACTTCCGCCCCAGCATATTCTGGTTTCCTTACATCTCAGTTTTCTGCTCTTTGCTGTCATTTTTTTCTCTACTCGCAGACTTTACTGTAGTTTGTAACTGCAAGGGTTTCTCACATCTTTTAGTATTAGATGCTGATTTCTGTGTCATTTCCAGGGTTGTGGTCACAGAAAGAAGCCCACATCATGTTAGTTCTCCATTTTACCAGATAAAGCTTAGCTTAATGTACTTCTATGCCAATTTCTTTGAATAACTAAACTTTCAATAATTTAATCAATCACTGATTAATCCAAGATTTGTCTCAGATGGGGCACAACTTCCACAACCTAATGTAGCTTCCACAACCTAATTTTTAATCCCCAAAAATGAAATTTACCGATTATTTTGTTAAATCATACAAATGTAAAAATTCTGAACAGTGAAATAAAGAAAGTATCTCAAAAGTAAGAGTACTCTTGGACAACAATCGCTAAAAAAGTGTAACAAATATGAAAATATGCAGGCTCTGTCTCTGACCTTTAATCATTCTATACTTCTGGGGAGCAGTTATTTTGAGACTCGGTTTTTACAGAAGTAAAATGGGAACAAAAACAGTTCCTCTGCCTGGCTCATAGAATTTCTGTGAGAATAAAAGACAATTAATCTTTCTAAAGATATATTACATATATTGTAAAGTACCACAATTATAAATACAGGAGAATACTTGCTTCTCTTCGTATCCATTTTTCTGTTTCCAATGCTTGTTTGGTTTTTAAAATTTAATAGTATTTTCCTGCTACTCAATGTTTGACTACTGAAATTCTTATATAAATGTTTTCTGCAAAAAAATTTTATGGACATAGAATAATAATTGTATGTGCTCAGTTGCTTGATTAAAATACTTTATTGTGATTATTTTGTAAAGAAAAGAATTGCACTATAATTTCAATTTTGTGCAAATTATAATAATTAAATATTTAGGCTAAAAAAGATAATGCAAGAAGGCTAAGTTGTATTGTCATATTGTTAAGATTACTTTTTATTTAATGTTCCTAATCAGAAGTGAACCATTATCTATGTAAAAATAATTTAATTCAGAAAATTTTGGTCTCAAATTTACATAATGCCATCATTATCCTTTTTATGTTCTGGAAAATTTATTCTAAATTACCTAGAAAAAAAGGTTGATTCTATAGTGTTATTTTTTACTCTCTATATCTCAGGTAAGAATAAAGGGAAACGAGTAAGTAAAGGAAAAACAAAGATGAAAAAGGAAATTGTACTCAAGTCACATAGACACTGAAGTCTCAGATGTATGTGGAACTTTCTGTTTGGTAGAGGATATAGAAAAGAGAAAGGGATATCGAATTTCTGACAACCTACATGCTTAGTGCTTTGTCTACCAATGTGATGAGGACATATTTATTTTTTCCTTGTGCTTTCTGCATTGAGACAAGTACATTATAAGCTTATCATACAAATGATTCAAAAAAAAATACTCGCCATTTATTTTCTATTAGTTCTTTTTCTCCCGAGGTTACTGCCCTACAAGGAGCTATTTTAACCTCCTCCTGTCTTTGCCAGTGAGAACATCTTGACATGACTCCAATTCCAATTCTGATGTACTGGAAGAATAAAAACACATTTATTTTAAAAATCTAAAGCATATTAATGATGCCATAGAGGGACATCTTGCTTAAGATAAGCCCATTAATTTTACCTTTGTAAACATGTTGTTTCAGCATGACTGTGTGATTAAGGCTTCATTCTGTGCAGACTACAACTGTAGCAACGGCAGCAGCCAAGAAAAAATAGCAAAATATTTTTAAAAACAGAAGCAAACAACAAGGCTTTCACAATCCATTGTTTAAATTCATCTTTTATATCTTGTTTTGTTACGTTTTTCTCTCTTACTTTATGTGTATAATGAAATACCATTATCACTGTCATCATCCCCAGATTAAAGCTTCGAGAAAGAAAGAAAGCCTATCCTAGAATTGATTTTTAGGCCATTTTACTTGAGATGATCGACAATAAGAGGATTTTCATTTGCTTTGTCAGTGTAAGCTGGCTGCTGTGCATCTGCAGTGAACGCAGCACAGGTCTCTGTTTGCATTCTGCGGTTTGTTAGCAGCAATGACCTGTCACAGAAAGGCTCTACAGCACAATATTTACACAGATCAGTAGCAGAGCAGACCCTGTTTGCCAGATCACTAATCAGTTTTGTGACTGCCCCAGTTTCATCAAGACTATAAATAAAATAAGCCATCGGAAAAAGCTCCAAAATGGGCATTGTCAGATCTGGTGACACTTCTGGCAGCTCTAGGCATATAAATCCTCTGATAATAATGCAGTGGTAGTGACAAATAAAGGACTGCATTTAAACTATGAGTCTGAAAATGAGTGTGTGTGTTACTGCAAGAGGACCTTCTTTTCTTTATACTCTGTCGATTTCAGCTTACTCTAGCCCTATGGTGTAAACAAGCTAGCAATAGTCAAGTAGGATTTGCTTTTTTCTCCTTTCACTCACGATTGAAATTTGCTTACTGCAGTTTGCGATGTAGAGTCCATGACATGTGAACCCATGGTGAAAAGCCACAAAAGAAGGGGAATTTGTAAGTGAGAGGGCACGCTGGACTTACTGGCCTGTCTGACCTCCGTTGAAAATATTACTCACAGAATCAGTAGCATTCAAAATGCTGACAGAAAGATTGTAAGAGGTCAGCAAAGGGTGAACCTGTATGAGAGCCTAGGGACCAACCTTTAAGAGTTATGATAAACTATTGGCTGTATGATGGCCACAATTGAAATGCAACTGTTTATTTATTTCTCTTTTTTCATTTTTTGATATGTGCCCAAATCAATAGTGATTGCTTTCTCCTTTGTTGTAGAAAAAAAGTATATAAAAGACTCAGAAGAGTCAAGCCCTGGGATGTCTTAATAAGAAGTTGACATTGAATAAAAACATTATTTGCAAAGAGAGTTTATTAAAGTCTTTCAGCTTTGCTCCCTCTGTCTCCTTCATCACTTGACTCTTACTGAGAACCACAAGGCCATCTAGTAAAGATTACATGGTAATCATTAGTAGACAGATGCAATTTTGTCTGCCATGTAATCTTTACTTTCTGTTCCAGGAAAATATGAGTATTTTTAAAGTTAGTGGAAATTTACAGATTTTCTATATACAGGGTATTGGCAGGCCAGAGAAACGCTAATTAATTCATGTCATAAATGTTTATTGTGCAGCTACTATGTGTACTGGATAGAAAGTAGTATCTGACAGACATGTTCCTTGCCCTCTGAAACTCAGTTTAGAAAAGAGAATACAGGTTCAAATATAATGAACATTTGTTTTATTTTATATTACGTAATATCTCTTTTTGTTGTTGTTTCTATCTTCATTTTCACCAGGGTAAGGGAATCTGTGTCTATTGGAACTCTTTTCCTATATTCGTTTTAGGATTGCCATACCTCTGGTTTCCCAGGTATAGTTCATCAAAACTAGGGACAGATCTAGTCTTTATGGGAACTGCAACTTATAAAATGTGGAGTTCCTCTTTAGGAAAAAGGATATGCAGCCCTAGAAAATGAAAGGATCCAAATTTTTGAAGAAAATGAACTTAGTATGGTATATTCTTACTTTTTTTCTGAGTGAAAGATACCTTATGTATCATACCAATTCCCAATAAGTTTCATCCTTTTGTCTGCGTTATTTTCAGTTTTCAGTAAAATAAATGTGTGTATACCACAACCTCTAAGTACTTCCTTTAGACCTTATGGTTTGAATTTGGTATGAAAGAGGAAGCTTCTAAAAGTGTTTTCTATGTGCATGATGATTTATAGGCAAATATACCAGCACATATAGTTACCTTAAAACTTAGATATTTAAGTATATGTTGGATGAATGAAAAAATTGAAGAACAGAAAAATGTAAAAACAAAAGAAGGTAAGTCAAACATTTTGAGAGAGTTCTTGGATGAAAAGTAGAAATTTAAAATGTAAAGTTGTAAAAAATAGCAATGTCCAGTAAATGCATGCACATAAACATGAAATAACTTAAATGTCATTATGCTAATTTTACTTGCATAAACTTTCAGGACATGAATACAGATAAGGACATAATTACAGTAGTTAGAATGATTAAAAAATATTGTGCCCCATACTATGAATTTCACACACCGTTTGATTACTAGGAGACATTTAGAGCAGCAGACTAAATGTATAGGTGCTATACTGTAAATTGTAAGTTGGATGGGAGGCCACCAACTTTGGTATTGGCTATAGCACTTCAATTAAAGAAAAGTGGCTGGGCCTGGTGGCTCATGCGTATAATCCCAGCACTTTGGGAGGCTGAGGCTGAAGGATTGCTTGAGCCCAGCAATTCAAGACCACCTTAGGCAACAAAGTGAGACCCTGTCTACCAAAAACTCAAAAAATTAGCCAGACATAGTGGCACGTGTCTGTGGTCCCAGCTAAATGGGAGGCTGCCTTGAGAGGATTACTTGAGACCAGAAGGTCAAGGCTGAAATTAGCTGTGATCATGCTACTGCACTATAGCCTGGGTGACAGAGTGAGATCCTATCATAAATAAATAAATAAATAAAATAAAAAATAAAGAAAAGTGTCATTTACATCTGTTTACGTTTTTTTAAATCCTGTTTGAGGTATTTTCTTATCACTGTACAAAGACACTAAACATATGCATTCTATAATAGGGTAATCAAGTTAAAAAAAGAGAAATTTATTTTTTCATAGTATTTTTGTTAAAATTCATTGAAGGATATCTTACAGAAAATGTAACATTCTTACATTCTGATTATCAGGGCACAATTCGATAAAATTTTATCAAGTGAACAATAATCTGGTAATCAGAATGCAGATTAAGAAAGAGAACACTAAAACCTCATAACCCTACCTTCCCTGCACTATTTACTCTAAACTCCATTCCATCCATTAAAGATAGTGATGACTGAATTTTTTTTTTTTTTTGGCTATTCTTCTGACTCTAGTTTCTGAGTTTTTTTTTTTTTATTATACTTTAAGTGTTAGGGTACATGTGCACAATGTGCAGGTTTGTTGCATATGTATACATGTACCATGCTGGTGTGCTGCACCCATTAACTTGTCATTTAGCATTAGGTATATCTCCTAATGCTATCCCTCCCCCATCCCCCCACCCCACAACAGTCCCCAGAGTGTGAAGCTCCCCTTCCTGTGTCCATGTGTTCTCATTGTTCAGTTCCCACCTATGAGTGAGAATATGCGGTGTTTGGTTTTTTGTTCTTGCAATAGTTTACTGAGAATGATGATTTCTAATTTCATCCATGTCCCTACAAAGGACATGAACTCATCATTTTTTATGGCTGCATAGTATTCCATGGTGTCTATGTGCCAAATTTTCTTAATCCAGTCTATCATTGTTGGACATTTGGGTTGGTTCCAAGTCTTTGCTATTGTGAATAGTGCTGCAATAAACATACATGTGCATGTGTCTGTATAGCAGCATGATTTATAATCCTTTGGGTATATACCCAGTAATGGGATGGCTGGGTCAAGTGGTATTTCTAGTTCTAGATCCTTGAGGAATTGCCACACTGACTTCCACAATGGTTGAACTAGTTTACAGGTGATGACCGAATTTTAACATAGACTCAGTTTGCCTGGTTGTACAT
Source organism: Homo sapiens (assembly GCF_000001405.40). Taxonomy (NCBI): domain Eukaryota; kingdom Metazoa; phylum Chordata; class Mammalia; order Primates; family Hominidae; genus Homo; species Homo sapiens. Next base: position 43,054,494 of record NC_000009.12, on the reverse strand, counting down.
TGACGTGTGTGTGTGTGTAACTCTTATTTTTATATACTATGTTTTTTTGAGATGGAGTTTTGCTCTTGTTGCCCAAGCTGGAGTGCAGTGATGCAATCTCGGCTCACTGCAACCTCCGCCACCTGGGTTCAAGTGATTCTCCTGCCTCAGCTTCCCGAGTAGCTGGAATTACAGGTGCTCACCATCAATTCAGGCTAATTTTTTGTATTTTTAGTAGAAACAGGGTTTCACCATGTTAGCCAGGCTGGTCTCGAACTCCTGACCTCAGGTGATCCACCTGCCTCAGCCTCCCGAAGTGGTGGGATTACAGGTGTGAGTCACCACGCCCAGCCATTTTGACATAATTTTAAACTTAGAAAGAAGTTGCAAGAATAGTAGAAGAAAGTCCTATATACCCTTTTATCCAGATTTTTTTTCTAAATTACATTTGAATATATTGGTAGTGTGCTCTCTCTCTCTCTCTCTCTTCTTTCTATACTATTTGCAAATTGGAGCCATCTTATTATTTTAATCCTAAGTACTTTATTGTATATGTCGTAAAAACCAGAACATTCTCTTAGGTAATCACATTTTATTATATAATTCCTACATAGTTTAAAAAATCAGCAAAATTTAGACTATATTTTAGTGTTTTTTAAAAATATATACTAAGTATGAATTATTTCTTAATGGGTTAGACATAGACTTGGAACTAAAAAACTCTAACTAGGGCCACTCTTTCTTTATAGAAGTTATTGACATTTTCTCAAGGAGAACAGATGAAATCCTAGGGGGCCTTGCAAATTCATCATTTAATATGAGAACTGCTACTGGTAGAGCAACAGCTATTTGGCCCTATATTTCAGTGAGGCCCTAAATGGCAACAATTTTAGAATTAATGGCAAATGTAGTCCCTGATTCTTTTTGTTTGTTTTTGTTAATAGACTCACTTCAGCGTCCATCAAATATTCCATTAAAGGTCGTCTTCTTGGTTTCTTGATGTAGTTGCTGTTGGTGATATTTCTTAATATATTAAGATGGAACAACTTACCATTCCATTTTGAGTCATATTTTAATTCATTAAGCTAAAATGTTTGAGTAAATACAGGGTTTAGCATAGTATTTTGCACAGAATACTTTAAGAAATACAGATGTTTAAAAAGCAATCTTGCTCTTAAGGACCTTCAATGCTAATAGAAAGACCACTCCTATAAGAAGAATATGTGATGTAATCCCAAGTGCACTAAGGATTTTGATGAGGGAAAAATTATTTCTCCTTGGGTTTATCAGAGAAGATCTTGAAAGAGCTGGCATCTGAGATGTGCTGTGAAGTTATGTAGGTTTCTACAGGTGATAATAGAAAAAGAGTGTATCGAAATGGGTATGTGTGTGATGCCACAAAGAAATTTTAGTAGAATTTAAGGTACTGAATAGTTTGATGAGAAGGTGGTTTAGCATGAGCAAGAAAAATGAAATATTACCGGAACAATTTTGAAAGGCTATAAATTACTGGTTAAGAGTTGGATATTTCTCAGAAAATGTAGGGAACCGTGAACATTATTTTATTTTTGGAACAGGTGATGCATTTACATGATACAGAATTGGAAAATTCCACATTCTATCCTTTTCTATTGTCTGCCCAGTTCTTACCTCTTAACAACAGCTTCTTGGTGTCTTAAGTATTTTATGTATATATAAGAAATAACAAAATACATTATTGATTTCCTTTATTTGGACAGCATAACACGTATCCTTTTGGCACATTGCTTTATTCGTTAGCAATTTATCTTGAAAAACTTTCCACGTTAATACATATAGAAAATTTTCAGTATTTTTACTGTTGCAGAACATCAAAGGGATGTGTCATCATTAAGTCGTACTATATTAAAAACTTTGTTGTTTTCAGAATCTTGTTCTTATATATTTTTCTGCAATGAATATAGTCATATATGTCGTTTTATATGTAAGTAGTTATTTAGGACAATCTGCCTAGAGTATAATTGATTGGACATGCACACATGCATTTTTTATTTGATAAATATGTACTAATTTATACTCCAATCATGTGGATGCATGAATGGTAGTACTTATTTCTCTATATGTTTGCTGAAGTTTGTGTTATTAAATATGCTATTCTAATAGGTGAAAGAATATTGATAGAGTTTTATTTGTAGTTTTGTTATGGTTGAACTTGAATACACTTTTATATACTTAAAAGTCATTTGCATTTACTTAATTTTTTATTTTTATTTTATTTATTTATTTTTTTGAGATGGAGTCTCACTCTGTTGCCCAGGCTGGAGTGCAGTGGCACAATCTCGGCTCACTTCAAGCTCCACCTTCTGGGTTCATGCCATTCTGGGCTCACTGCAAGCTCCACCTCCCGGGTTCACGCCATTCTCCTGCCTCAGCCTCCCGAGTAGCTGGGACTACAGGCACCCGCCACAAAACCCGGTTAATTTTTTTTAGTAGAGACAGGGTTTCACCGCTTTAGCCAGGATGGTCTCGATCTCCTGACCTCGTGATCCAACCGCCTCAGCCTCCCAAAGTGCTGGGATTACAGGCGTGAGCCACCGCGACGGCCTGCATTTACTTTCTAACAATTGTTTATATACTTGACTATATTTCTTTTGAGTTTGAGTCTTTTGCTCATAAATTTCTAGAAACACTTCATATAGTAAAGAAATAATACTATATGAAGACTAAATATTATTCTTTAATTGATTACTTGTAGTTTCAATTTGTTTACAATATTTCACTTGATCTTAGCCAAAAGACTGAGAAGTGAATGTTTACAATATTTTTTCATGAAGTTATTGTTACTGTATTCACATATACCCATTTTTTAATCTTTTAGCTTCTAGACTTTTAGTTATAATTACTTATACCTTAACCACTTAAAGGTTATAAAGGAAATGTCCTATGTTTACTTCTAGAGCCTTTGTGGTTTTATTTGCTACATTTAATGCTTTAATCTCTTTAAAAATAATCTTACACGCAGTAGGGGCATATGAATCTACCCATGTTATTTTTCCACAAAGTGGTAACTCATATTTCTTTACTGGTTTGAGCATTAATATACACTTTTTGGGATATTCTATTCTTTTTTATTCACCAATCTAGACTCTATTAAAATTCTCACAGTCCTGCTTTAAAAAAAAAACTTATTTTTTCTTTTATGCTGTCCTCTATCAGTCACATTTATTTACATCTTTGGCCCTTCTTTTATTACAGTTTATACCCTGCAAATAAAGCCCACCTAAACAATGAAGAGATTGTATATTATATATTAAGAAGTAGATAGGTAGAAAAGTTTTCAGCTCTGCTTGATTTATGGTTCAGAGAACTCAGCAAGGAAGCACATTCTTTCTGCCTCTCCACCCTGCAGTTCACCTATTAGCTTCATCCTACTTCTGCTTCCCCTTGTAGTATGCAATGGCTGGTAAGAGCAATGAGCAGTACAGGATTTCTCATTCAAATCCAGTGAATACAAGGGAAAGAGTTTTCCCCTTTTATGAATAGAAGTCTTTCCTTCTTTATATTATAATAGAAACTATTTGCACTGTCTGCTTATTCCAGATAACAATTTACAAACACAGGTACTGATTGATGTATGTCTGATTTTTTGAAACAACCAGGAGCAATGGGAAAATAATTACCCACATTGTCTAAGAGTAACAGAGGCCCAACTCTGGAACTGGGGAGTTCTGTTTATTTTATTCAGATATCCCTTCTATGGATAAAGCTGATCTTTCCCTAAACACAGGGACGATTTACAGATAGAATGGATATCTGAATAAAATATGGATTCTGTTAAAAAAAAAGAAAGATAAGGAAAATGTAAGAGGGTTAGGCAGCCAACTGTGTGCACTAGAAATTGTTTTCTTGAGAATTCCATCACGGGCATTCTCTGCATTCTCTACTTTATATTTGTGGTTAATCCACTATTCTGTCTCTCAAAGAATGTATCTATGTGTGAACTGGTTTTGTTACTCTAATTTCTGTGTGTCCAGAATGGCAGCTAATTACTTGGTAACTTTCTCTAACCTAAGATTTTGAATAGCTCATAAGACATATTTCTTTTAATTGTGGAAATGAGAAGCTAATGACTTGATTATGATGTAAAAGTGAGTTACTGTGTTCACCCACATTTTATGTTATAGTCTATATTATGACACATATATCTTAAGATATATTTGCTCAATCCAAAGCTATGAATAAAACGGTAAATACTTTTACTACAGGAGAAATACTTAAAGTAATATATTTTTTTGGATGAAAAGTTACTTCATTAGCTCCAAAGTGAATTTTATATTTTTAGTACACTTAAATTCAGGTTTGCATATAAATTGAGTCTGTGATATCATCTCAGAATTCACTAGGAGTAAGAGTTCTTCTTTAACACAGCCTTTGTGAAGCTTTGTCTCTTACTCTTCCTCATTACTTCCCACTTGTTCTTTTGAAGCTGCTCTATTCTACAGACTTTTGAGCCATTTAGGGGCTGAATGATTGAATTTATTTGCTCTCGTGAGATAAAATTCAAGAGTTTTTTGTTTTTTTTTTGTTTTTGGAAAACATAAATCCTTCTTCGTTGAGAAAGAAAAGGATGGGAAGCAGATCTGCTATCTAGGCTCTTCCTTTATATAGAGGACAAGTAAATAAAAGTCATATCCCTGTTGTTATTAAATAAATCAAGTTCCCCTATAACCTATATGCTGAGTCTCTAACCCGCAAATGACTGCATTTGGAGATATGGTCTTTAAAGAGGTAATTAAGGTTAATTAAGGTCATATGAATGGGACCCTAGTCCAATAGGACTGGTGTCCTTTTAAGAAGAGGAAAAGACACGAGTGAAGTGCTTGCATCAAGAAAAGGCAATGTGAGAACACAGTAAGGAGGCGGCCATGTGCAAGCAAAGGAGAGAGGCCGCAGGAGGAACCAAACCTGTTGACACCTTGATCTTAGACTTCTAGACTCCAGAACTGTGAGAAAATAAATTCCCACTCTTAAGCCACCTGGTTGATGATACTTTGTTATAATAGCCCTAGCAGACTAATACATTTGTAAACATGCTAAAAGCAGACTTTTTGCAAACAAGCTAGTTACGTTAGCTAGTGGGAGGGTTTTTATCTGCAAGGTGTTTTTAGAAGCATGTACTTGGTTGTTTAGCATCTCCTGTGTTAAAAAAAAAAAAACAACCCTAGAATCTATGGATATATGGGGCATCGCTTCCTGGAAAATATTATGCATCCTTTGTGCCTATTTGATTATAAAATGGAAGTGTTTATTACTGATACTTTTTTATCTTTTGTGTAAGTAATGTGCCAGAACTTATTTATTGTAGTAGGAAGAGATCCAGTGAATACTCAACCTCTCACCTTAGTTCTCCCTGAGCCTCTAGACACTAGACTTTTATATCCTAAAAATGATTAAACATTTCTATTTCATATGAGTCTAATTTGACAGTTGAATTCTTTGTACCATCTCACCGATGATAAAATTAGCAGTTATATTGTGTAGAATATGCAGATAGGTAGGTTATAATTTTTCTATGTTAAGTTTATATAGAGAAGAACAAATGCCACTGGTAACTGGTGATGAAGCATAGAACAATGACTTTTCTACATATCTAATTCAATAAAAGAGTTTACATGTGGAAATTCAACAAAGTAACTATACTCTGGCAATGCACATCAACTTAACTGGTGGGAATATTTCCTGAGGTGGAAATACTTCAGTTTTATGGCTAATCTACCAAGGATGAGTATAGTATAATCCACCAACTAAGATAAATTGTCTCCAGTTTTATTAATCAAATGAATATTATGTTGGAAGTGAGCATTTAATATTTATATAGTTGTCTACTTCAAGAGCTTCTGATTATATACATCAGAAAAATAAAATTTTTTATAATAAAATATATTCAAAGGACCCTCCCAAACATCCCACAGTAACACAGCACATGATCTAACAACCCTAATAGTCACAACAGTCCACATAATGTCTCATTGTATATGCTTCCGGTTTTAATTTGAAAACAGCCTGTACTTTCTCATCCCTAGTAGGCAGAAAAGAATAGCTGTTCACCATTTCAAGCCTCTTTATTTGTTTGAAAAATGCATTCAGTGCCAGTGAGATTTACATACATTTTTAGTAATAAAAAAGTAAAAGTTTTTTCCTTAATGGCACAAATCAACCTCAGTTACTGTAAACTACTTTATGAAATACTTTTATAAAGTATTAGTACTTGCTTTTAAAAGTTATGCTGTTCAAAGAGATTTTGAAAATACCTTAATGAAACACACAAAGTGATTACCTGTAGGTTAAAAGAACCATCCTAGATGGAAGAAACAATTTAATGTATGTATTTGTTGTTAAGGATTTCTATCTTGCCCATATCTCTATCTTAACCACCCTAGCTGTATTAGTCTGTTTTCACGCTGCTGATAAAAATATACCCAAGAGTAGGCAATTTACAAAGGAAGCAGGTTTAATGGACTTACAGTTCCAGGTGGCTGGGGATGCCTCACAATTGTGTTGGAAGGTTAAAGGCAAATCTCACATGGCAGCAAATAAGAGAAGAGAGCTTGTTCAGGGAAAGTCCCCTTTATAAAACCATCAGGTCTCATGAGACTTATTCACTGTCACCAGAGCAGCATGGGAAAGACCTGCCCCCATGATTCAGTACCTCCCACTGGGTCCCTCAAACAACACATGGCAATTCAAGATGAGATTTGGGTGGGGACACAGCCAAACCTTATCATTTCACCCTGGCCCCTCCCACATCTTATGTCCACACACTTCAAAACCAATCACGCCTTTTAAACAGTCCTCCAAAGTGTTAACTCATTTCAGCATTAACTCAAAAGTTCACAGTCCAAAGTTTTATCAGAGACAAGGCAAGTCCCTTCCACCTATGAGTCAGTAAAATAAGAAGAAAATTAGTTACTTCCTACATACAATGGGTGTACGGGCATTGGGTAAGTACAGCTGTTGCAAATGGAAAAAAACAATGGCTAAAACAAAGGCCCCATGAAATTCTGAAATCCAGCAGGGCAGTCGAATATTAAAGGTCCAAAATGATCTCTTTTGACCCCATGTCTCATATTTGGGTCACACTGATCCAAGAGGAGGTTCCCATGGTCTTGAACAGCTCTGCACCTCTGTCTTTGCAGGACACAGCCTCCCTCCCAGCTGCTTTCATGGGCTGGCATTGAGTGTCTGGAGCTTTTTCAGGTGCACAGTGCAAGCTGTCGGTACAGCTACCATTCTGGGGTCTGAAGGACGATGGCATTCTTTTTACATCTCCACTAGGCAGTGCCCCAGTGGGGACTCTGTGTGGGGGTGCCCACCCCACATTTCCATTTCTCAATATCCTAGCAGGGGTTCTCCATGAGCACCCTGCCCCTGCAGCAAACTTCTGCCTGAACATCCAGGTGCTTCCATACGTTCTCTGAAATCTAGGCAGAGGTTGCCAAATCAATTCGTGACTTCTGTGTACCCTCAGGCTCAACATGTAAAACCTGCCAAGGCTTGGGGCTAGCACCCTTGGAAGCCACGGCCTGAGCTGTACCTTGGCCCCTTTTAGTCATGGCTAGAGCAGCTGGGATGCAGGGCACCAGGTCCCTAGACTGGACATAGAGGGAACCTGAGCCTGCCTCATGAAACCATTTTTTCCTCTAAAACCTCCCAGCCTGTGAGGAGAAGTACTGCCACAAAGGTCTCTGACATGCCCTGTAGACATTTTCCCCATTGTCTTGGTGACTAACTTTCAGCTCCTTTCTACTTATGCAAATTTCTGCAGCCAGCTTGAATTTCTCCTCAGAAAATGGGATTTTTTTTCTATCACATTGTCAGGCTGCAAATTTTCTAGACTTTTATGATCTGTTTTCCTTTTAAAACTGAATGCTTTTAACACCACACAAGTCACATCTTTTTTTCTGGGGGGGGAGTCTCACTCTGTCACCCAGGCTGGAGTGCAGTGGGGTATGATCTCAGCTCACTGCAACCTCCCCCTCCTGGGTTCAAGCAATTCTCCTGTCTCGGCCTCCCAAGTAGCTGAGACTACAGGCACACACTACCATGTCCGGCTAAAAAGTCACCTCTTGAATGCTTTGCTGCTTAGACATTTCTTTTGCCAGATACCGTAAATCATCTCTCTCAAGTTCAAAGTTCCACAAATCTCTAGGGCAGGGGCAAAATGCCACAAGTCTCTTTGCTAAAACATAACAAGAGTCACCTTTGTTCCAGTTTCCAACAAGTTCCTCATGTCCATCTGAGACCACCTCAGACTGGATTGCATTGTCCATATCACTATCAGCATTTTGGTCAAGGCATAGAACAAGTCTCTAGGGAGTTCCAGACTTTCCCACATTTTTCTGTTGTTTTCTGAGCCCTCCAGACTGTTCCAACCTCTGCCTGTTATCCAGTTCCAAAGTTGCTTCCACATTTTCAGTTATCTTTAGAGCAGAGTCCCACCCCACTCCTGGTACCAATTTACTGTATTAGTCTGTTTTTATACTGCTGATAAAGACATACCCAAGACTGGGCAATTTACAAAAGAAAGAGGTTTAATGATCTTACAGTTCCATGTGGCTGGGGAGGCCTCACAATCATTGCAGAAGGTGAGAGGCATGTCTCACATGGCAGCAGACAAGAGAAGAGAGCTTGTGCAGGGAAACTTCCCTTTATAAAATTATCAGATCACATGAAACTTACTATCATGAGAACAGCATGGGAAAGACCTGCTCCCATGATTTAATTACCTCCCACCAGGTCCCTCTGACAACACATGGGAATTCATGGTGAGATTTGGGTGGGGACACATCACTAGATAACAGCAAAGCTGTACAATTCTTAAACATTGTCATGGAAAAGTAATTCCACAACTCTACTTTCAACTATATGTGATGTTGTTTACATTCATCATACCCTCTTTATGCTAAACTAAAATATTTAGCTGTAATTTATGATAACTATTTATAGTTCCTCTTTCTTTCCCTCTCTGAACTTCCTGCAATACCCTGCAGAGTTGGTATATTATCTACCTTTATCCTTTACTTTTACTATTTTTGTGAACAAAAATGTCAGAAGATGAAGTATTTTAAGTCAATTTTTTTTTTAAATGGTGAAAAATTTTAAACACTGTGAGGGGCCAATAAAAGAGATTATTTTCATTGTGAGGGACATTTTAGCATGAGTCAAATCACATGACAGTCAATTTTGTTCTTTGATTAATGTACAGGTACAATGAATTTCAGTTATGGGAGAACTTCTCTTTCTCCTTTGACTTATTCTCTCAATTTTTGCACTCTCATTTTTGTTTTTTTGTTGTTTTTTTTTTTGTAAAGAGTTTCTAGTAAGGACTATGTGTTAATCAGTTTTAAGAACACAGATTTTATCAAAGAAAATTATCTCTTTAAAATATTTGCACTAATGGAAAAATATGTGAACAACCCAGTCTTATTTTATTGGACCCCAAGTTAGTTTGTGTTTGTGTGTATGTGTGGGTATTTATCTGATATCAACCATTATCTTTTAACATCAGCATGAAACAACATGCTGGTCTGAAACATAAAAATATATATCACTCTTACCAAAGTCAGTCTGTATTTTAATTGCTTTTTCCTGAAAGTGGAATCATGTAAAACTTAAAAACAGATTGAAATGAAAGGGAAAAATTTGATTCTGTAATTAACTTACCATGTGACCTTCACCACACTGATGGTCCTTACAGATCTAAATTTCTATATCTGTAAAATAAAGAAGGTTGATTTTACATGATTTCAAAAACTATATCATTTTTTTGACAGTCATAGAAGTTTTATATAATTCTCTATTCTAGTCTACTGCAAAGGAATAGCAGCAGGTGAAAACTATAATGTTTGACCCTGAAGATTATTATGTGATATGTGTAAGGGTCTTAATGTGTACAATTCCATTTTTAGGGGCTCAAGAGATAAAATTTCTTTTCCAAAATGGATAAATACAAAATCATTTTTGCAATAAAAATGTATTGTGAGGGAATCTTTTGAATCAATGTGATTACTTATTGTGGAAGATACAGGCCATATCGCATAGCGTCTTGCCTCAAGGATCTTATCACTTAGTGAGTGAAATAAAACAATTACACAGATAACTGCCAGTAGGCAGCACTAAATGTCTTAAGTGATGGATAGACAGAGAGGTAAGAAGGGTCCAATCAAATGCTAAAATGTTAATAAAACCCAGATCACAGGCGGTGATGATCAAATGAATTGAACAGGCTTAGGAGAAATCCGTGAAAGAAATAAATCTGTATCCCTGGGATCTTTCCATTTTTGAGAATATATTACATTTGAATCTCTTAGGGATGTGTGATTCCCCTTCCCTTTAAAATAGTTACAGTATAACTTTCATTAAAATCTTGGATTTTGTCAGTCATAGCACACAATAGCATTTTACGTCCTGTGAAGAATTGTATGCATAATTTTGGAAACAAGACAAAGGAAAGAGGCTCTCTAAGCTGTTAGAAACAAAGGATTTTTAAAATCTTTCTTCTCTCATACCTCCATTAAGGTTGTCTTTTCTCCTTTAAAGCTATAAGAAATATTCTGAATACTAATGTGACAGAACCAGATGCAATCCCCAAATATCATATTTACTTAATATAAATTCATAGTCCTTACCTTTAAGGAGATTTGACAATTCACTTTGTCTTTTAGCCTTGGGGTAGTCAGGAAAGTTAGGCACAATGTTTTAATGCTCATTCCTTCTCTTTTGCTCTTAGCTATCATTAATCCCTAATGCCTGGAACTGCATAAATTTCTTCTACAAAGGAAGCCCACAGGTCGTTTTTATTTGGAGCACTTTTTTTAATATGCGCCACAATATATTCTGATATGTATTACCTCGTCTGAATGCAAAACTGTTTTATATGCAGATTTAAGGTAATGAGCAGTCAAGTTTAAAAAACGGTTCTGGTATCCTGTAGCTTCTCTAACATTCCAACAGAGAAGGATGGATTATGGGTTTTTCAATTTGCATCAGGCATATTAATTGCAGAGTAGGGCTTCCACATAAAATATCAATGTACTGGAACAAACTGTTAATGTACCAGAATATGAACACTTACATTCATTTCTGGAGCTTTAAAAGGAATCATCCCCCTCCCTCGCTTTTTAATATCTATACCTCTGGAGATGGTACAGTTTTTTAGTCAGTTAATGAGAACTATGTAACCACCATTTCTCCAAAAGTCCCTAATTAGATTAAGTGCAATAGGGCTATTTTAGTCATTTCTGCTGGGGAAGAATACAACAAGCCATTAGGGAAAGAGAATAATTTAGAAGGTTTGAAAGAAACTTATTTTAGAGTTACTTTTAAGAAACATGACATGGAAGATCAACTTTATGTCCTAGTTGGAGGCAGGGAGGCATACTCAACTTTTATTTGCATTATATTTCTCAACTATGAAGAGAATACCTAAACTAGTAAAAGTTTAATTGAAAGTTTTATAAGTAATTTTCAGCTGACCTTTTGCACTGTAGGTTTGATTATAGAGAACTGGTACTTTATTTCATGGGAGTACTTGAATTATATATTCTCTTGTAAGCATAAAATTGTGAATGTCCATATTTTAAAAAAGCATTATAATAATAAAAACTCTTGTGTTTTAATTTGTCTAATACATTTGGTAACTAATATAAATTATAGATACTCTGGTTAGACTAGAATATAGATGAAAATATTTTTAAATATGTTCTCTTTTTTCTTTAATGTGAATATTTCTTATTTTTCAAAAAATAAAGCAAGGGGAAGAAATAAAGTTGAGATTTAAACACGGCTACATTTTTTTCCCTGAGGCTTGTACTTAATATGCAAATGCTAAGTATTTGGTAAATATTCATTAAGTAAATATCAGACCTTTCACATTTATATTTCACTTTTCATTTTTGATACATGATAAAATTTGTGATTTTATTATTTTCTAACAAAAATAGAATGGGGGCCCACTTTTCAAATCCATTCTGCAAAAGACAATGTTTGAGTTTTTATACCACAGCTGTAAGTAATGAATTATCTCACCAGGGAAGAGAAGAAATGCTAACCACATAATCCAACAGGAGACTTGATTCATTTTTGTGTCTGGAACAGTCAGTGCAATGTTACAAACTGAAATGAGTTTCCTTTTCAATCTTCAAGTGAAAAAAGTAGTGAAAATGTCCTGCTTTAAAAAAAAAAAATCAATGTGACCTTTTTTTTTTTTCATCTTCCTTGAGAAATAATGTGTGTTTGTGTGGGGGTGTGTGTTTTATTTTGCAGTGTTAGTTTTGGCCTCATTATGCTCATTATGCTGTTATAAGGCTAAGTATGTCATGGGTCAAAATGAAGGCAAAATAGACCTTTCTCAGCATTAAAGCACAACCTAATTTATAGTAAAAGTAATTTCCATACTGTTTTAAAGAAATAGCCCTGGACAACATGAATCTTCCTTTGCTGTAGCATGCTGGCTGAAAAACGGGTTAGATATGCATTCCATGAAAAGAACAGGGAAAATCACTAGAACTGTAAACTCTGCATTTGCTGGGTGGTAACATTTTAAGAAATGCTGAAAGTGTGTTATTTTGGTTTTGTATTACATTTAGTAGGTATATTTTAAACTCAAAGAATTTGATTTCCAGTAAGAAGCCCAAATCAAGTGTTGCAATTGTTTTATTTAAGGTCAATTCTTTCAACTAAACACCTTTTATTTCCAGATGTGTTTTCCCTCTTGTTTGAAATGCCGCATGACACAAAATGCTGCCTGTTTTGTGTGCTTTTTTCTACTGCATGCATAGATAGAAAATAGGTTCAAGTGCCTCATTTGAAAATCTTTTACTTAATTCCACCAATTGAAACGATGACATCATGTTTTCAGAGTTTACCTTTCTTGGTAAACATCACCAACAAAAGGTTAATGTTTATGAAGTACATCTTAAATCTTAATTTGATGCATACAATAATTTAAATTTTTATAAACTTTTACTAAATTAAATAAAAACTGCTTTGAGGTTGTAAGTGATAATTCTAGAGGTAATGATTAATGGCACCTGCCCCTCCTCCTGATGCATCTACCTTCTGTATCCTCTGATAAAAATCAAATGAAAATAATCTCAGGTTCAAAGTGGTGTTAACTGTATTCAGGAGCCTTATGATGTCCTTTACTTCCTTTGAAGCATTACCTGATGACCTAGCTACAATTTCAGAATAGCTGTTGATTTTTGATTGTAGGTTTTATTTTGTTTTTTTTATTTTTACATTCTTGTGGGGAGGGGGATTTAATCTCTTAAACTTTGTTGGCAAATTACATTGATGAATGTGTTCTGACAGGAAGCTTTACTGAAATGAGAAGGAGTTGTGTAAGGGTGGGAATAACTATTCTAAGAGCTTTTTCATGGTTCTCGTTGCCAGGGAAACCACTGCTTTGTCTGTACATGTTTGGAATGGCTGCCTCATTAGAACTCAGGCTCCTAGACAGTCACTTGTAATACTGGTAAAGTGAAAGGAATGAACGTATTTTAGTTGATTAACTTCAAATTAATAAAAATAGCATATTTAAAAGATAGATGTTTAAAAGCTAAACATATAGAATTATGGGGGAACAATGAAGTTAATATTGATTAGGCCTATTCAGCCACTTGTGTGAGTGGAAGAATAATTTTATTTTTTACTTTCTCTTTGCCTTTTTACATATTTATGGGGAGTAAGCAAATGGACTCTTATATGTTAATGCCACCAAATAAACTTGGGATATGATAGATCCTGATTTTTTCACAAATATACAGATTTTTTTCTTATGAATTCATTTTTTTTTCCTTGCCATGACTGGCCTGTGTCATGGCTAAAATATTATCAAAACAGACTGGATTTACTGGCTCTCAGGAGCACAAAAGGTAGTGAAAACTTAGATTGGAAATCCATCTCTGGGTAGTTTCATTTTTCTTGAAAGAACAAAAGAAGCAGCACACTAAGAAATTATATGAATCAATATTAAAAACAGAGGATAATATAACAGATTATTGCTCTAAATTTAAATTATTTTTAAAAAGACAAGAAACAGGCATAGACAGAAACATCTCAAGTTCAAGGAGCTGAGACTAACTCTCAATATACTACTACTTCTTCCTTTTTTTTACTATAAGCCAAATTTCCTTTGGAAATTTATTGACATTTAAAATGTTTGTTTTTAACTCATGACAAAGAGATGAAATCTTTTTATAAGTTTTTTTCTTCCAACAACAGAAGTTCTTTAAATTTCTTGTTCTATCATTCTATCTAAATATACTCAAAGTACTATAATCTTAAATATTATTATTTAATACTCTTTCCTAAAGGAACAAAGAAAAACAAAATCCAAAGATCTTTTTAAAAAGTCTATATTATTCAAATAAGTTCGCTTCAAAAAATTGGCAATACTGATTTTTTATTTGTAGTACTATTTTAGGAAAAAATGTCAAAATGATATTTTGGACTTTGCAAGTCCTGTTTTGGGTAGAAATGTCAAAAACTTAATTTTATGTATGCTAAAACTTGAAATGGCCATTAGACATTCAAGGGAAGATGTTTAAAAGGAATATTTTGTAAATGTAGGATTCATGGGATGTGGATTTTATTTGAGTGTGGAATAAGAGAAAGGTGAGGATAAAGTCTGGGTTTAACATGACTCCCAGTCCTGGATGAGCAATTGTGTGGAAAACAGTGCCATTCATTGAGATGAAACTACTAAAGCAATGGTTTTCAACCTTGCCTACACATAAGCATCACCTGGGGAACTTTAAAAAAATACGAATTCCTGAAATCCAACCTCAGAGATTCTTATTCAGTTGAAATGGGTTTGGGTCTACAATAGTATTTAAAAATTGCTCTCCTGGTGATTCTAATATGAAACCACCTTTGAATACCCTGATACTAAAATTCATTCTTGTGCTTCCTAACTTTCAGATTGCCTGAACCTTAGGGGCACCTGAAATATTTTTAAAATCTCAATGTCTAGGTACCCCAGATCAATTACATCAACATTTCTGAAAGTCAGACTCAGAATTTTATTTTTATTTTTATATTTTTATTTTATGAGACAGAGTCTCTTTCTTCCTCTGTTGCCCAGGCTGGAGTGCTGTGGCACAATCTTGGCCCACTGCAACCTCTGCCTCCTGGATTCAAGTGATTCTCCTGCCTCAGCCTTCCTAGTGGCTGGGATTACAGGCGTGCACCACCATGCCAGGCTTAATTTTGTATTTTTAGTAGAGATGGGGTTTTACCACGCTGGCCAGGCTGGTCTCAAACTCTTGACCTCAGGTGATCCTGTCGTCTCGGCCTCCCAAAGGTGCTGCTGGGATTACAGGCCTGAACCACTGCACCCAGCCCAGTCTCAGGATTTCAAATTTCCTCAAGTGATTCTCATGAGTGTCAGGGCTGGGGAATCATGATACTAAAGAAAGAATAGTTCAGGTGGAGAAGCTGCTGTTTGACAGAAACGTGGTATTTGAGGTGGATCTGGAACAGCATTCTGGAAGGACTTAGTAGGTTCTTTTTTTTTTTTTTTTTTTTTGAGACAGAGTCTCGCTCTTTCGCCCAGGCTGGACTGCAGTGGCGCTATCTTGGCTCACTGCAAGCTCCGCCTCCCGGGTTCACGCCATTCTCCTGCCTCAGTCTCCCAAGTAGCTGGGACTACTGGCGCCCGCTACCACGCCCGGCTAATTTTTTTTTTTTTTGTATTTTTAGAAGAGACGGGGTTTCACCGTGTTAGCCAGGATGGTCTTGACCTCCTGACCTCGTGATCCACCCGCCTCGGCCTCCCAAAGTGCTGGGATTACAGGCGTGAGCCACCACGCCCAGCCATTAGTAGGTTCTTAAATATGAATCTGATGTTATACAGCAAAAGTCTGTACGGGCTACAGAAACAAAATGTGTAATAATGGAACCCTGCAAGAGGAGGGAGTCATGAGGGTGCTTACAAAGAAGGACGAAAAAGGAGCAAAGAGCAGAAGGTTGGAAAACAGTGGCCTTTGAGAGGAAGGAAGGAGAAAAAGAACCAGAACTGAAAACTGAGAAAAATATAGAAATGGATTTGGAAAGAATGATGTCATAGAAAGCAAGGCTTTTAAAGAAAAGTTGAGACTCAGTATGAAAAAATAATACAAAAACTAAAAATAATTAACTGGACTTGGAAATCAAGGGAGATATTAGTGCCCTTCAAAAGAACTGTTTTGGGGGAGAAGTAGAAGTAGAAAGTATTTGGAGTACATGAGAGAGGAATGAGAAACCATTGTCTGAGTTAGTAGAACAGTGGTTTCAAAATACGGCTGCGTATAAGAATCACATGGGAAGGGCCGGGCACGGTGGCTCACGCCTGTAATCCCAACACTTTGGGAGGCCGAGGCGGGCGGATCACGAGGTCAGGAGATTGAGACCGTCCTGGCTAACATGGTGAAACCCGTCTCTACTAAAAAATACAAAAAATTAGCCGGGCATAGTGGCGGGCGCCTGTAGTCCCACCTACTCGGAAGGCTGAGGCAGGAGAACGGCGTGAACCCGGGAGGTGGAGCTTGCAGTGAGCCGAGATCGCCCCACTGCACTCCAGCCTGGGCGACAGAGCGAGACTCCGTCTCAAAAAAAAAAAAAAAAAAAAAGAATCCCATGGGAAGTTTAAAAACAAACAAACAAAAAACAAAAGAAAAAACCACAACAACAACAAAAATTATGCCTGTCACTGTACCCTAGACCAACGGAATCAGAATTTCTTGAGGAGGGAAAAGGATATCAGTGTGGCTCAAAACTTCCCCAAGGTGACTCTAATGTGCAGCCAGATTTGAAAAACATTTCATAGAATATTCTTTTCAGAAACTTGACTGAAAATGAAAGGCGAGGATTTAGGGTAGTTTCTACTCGGAGGTGGAAATTGTGAGAGAAAAATAAGAGACTTGACTGTAAGAACTATGACAGAGCCACCGTGTCTGAACATTAGTTGAAAATACTTGAGATCAGAATTCAGGTTATGGTAGAAATGAAAGTATAGAAATCAAAGTCACTGGTGGAAAAATCCCCTCTAAAAAGGGAATGGTGAAAAGCTCATCCTGTGGGCCTATAGAAAAAGATGTGAAAATGAGTAAAATTCTAATTCGGTTGCTTTTCTTTTTATTTGTTATATAAAGAGATACAGACAGGACATTGAAGGAATCTTACTAATAACCACAATTTCCCATATGATTATATTCACCCTTTGCATTTGTAGCGGTGGAAATATGAGGGACTTGAGGTGCTTGGTATCCATTTGGAATAACTTATGTGGGAAATGGAAAAGGTGACTGATAAAGATCATGTTTAACTAGTTCATATAGACCAGATGAGGTTTAGAGTGTCATAATCTACACAAATACGTGGTTTCCTCTAATGGCATTCTGATATCAAGATACAGAAAGAGAAAAAAAATTGGTACAGTGATCCAGTACTTGTGATCATCATGGAAGGTAGAACATAAATGAAGAGATTTAAACACTAAGAATGTTGGCATGAAATTTCTGTTTTAAATGGTCCATCATTTGTTTACATGAAAGAAAAACTATGGGGGGTGCTTATAAACTGAGATAAAAAGGGAAGAATCTGAATCTTTCAATTGTACAAATAACAGATAGATACAGAAGTACAATCTTCTTTTAGTATTTGTGAAGTATTGGTTTCAAGACCCCTCAGATATCGAAATCTGCAGATGCTCTAGTCCCTGATTAAAAATGGTATAGTATTTACATAAAACTCACACACATCCTCCTATATAATTTAAATAAACTCTAGATTACTTATCATGCCTAATACAATGTAAATGCTCTGTAAATAGTTGTTATGCTGTATTTTTTGTATTATTTTTATTGTATTGCAATTTTTATTGTTTTTTCTCAAATATTTTCAATCTGTGTCTCTTTGAGTCCATGGATATAGAATCCACAGATAGGAAAGACCCACTGTAGCAAAGAGGTGAGCAGGTAAAATAATAAATTAATTTTACTAACAGTCTTTTAGAGATTGAAGCTCTAAATTTGAAATAGTTTGGGATAAAGAATACTCCAAGAATGTCTAGGAACACCATAATCCAAGATAATCGTTCTAGGATGTAAAGTATGAGAGAAAATTAATACATTTAAACCGAAGAATTTAGAATTTATATTACTGTACACTTATAAACCTAGATACTATTCATGATAAAAGCATAATTCACTGTGAAAAGAAATAGTAAATGATCAATGAGTGGTGCAGTGGGGGAAGGAGAGAGAGAGGAGATAGGAGGCAGGGGAATGTGAATAATCTGGGTTCTTGATGTTTCAGCTTCTGATAGCACCACAGCTTCCTGCAATGGATGATATACTGCCCCTAGAAAGATCAAAAATCACTGGGAGAAGCCATCTTTGGTTAGATCTATCTTTTTAAGTTTAGAAATATCCATAAAATACTGTTTTTCTCATGGAATAACAGTAACTCAAAGCAACTCTGAATTTCTAATTCAAAACTACTCTAAGTTTCCAGCAATAAGAAAAGGTGTTTTTTTGTTTTTTTCCCTGTCCCACGTATGTATGAGTTTCACTGATGGGAGTTTACAGGGCTTGATTAAGTAGGAGATTTTGATAATATATCTTAAGGTATTAGAGTGATATGAATTTCACTAGAAATATTGATAGTTTTGTTTTATTTTATTTTATTTTTTGAGAATGAGTCTCTGTCTGTTACCCAGGCTGGAGTGCAATGGGGCAGTCTCAGCTCACTGCAACGTCTGCCTCCTGGGTTCAAGCAATTCTCCTGCCTCAGCCTCCCGAGTAGCTGTGACTACAGGTGCACACCACCATGTCTGCCTTATTTTTGTATTTTTACTAGAGATGGGGTTTCACCATGTTAGCTAGGCTGGTTTCGAACTCCTAACCTCAGGTAATCCACCTGCCTCGGCTTCCCAAAGTGTTGGGGTTACAGGTGTGAGGTACAACGCCCGAACGATAGTTTTATAAAACCTGGATTTAAGGCAGAATTTAGAAACAGAAACTGTAATAGGAAAACCTTTTTCTATATTATTATTATTATTTTTAATGTAAAAGTAAACTTTAGTGTCGAAAATGCAAACTTGGGGAAGGCAGAAAGATCACACATAAGGCTGCCACTTCACACATGGAGGGTTGCATGGTGGTTGGGCAGAGGCACTCCTCACTTTCCAGGGACTGCGTATGAATCACAATGTAGGGGATAAAGCGGTTAGATAAAAATCTTGAAAGTAAAAGTGGATAAGAGAAAAATGCAAAAGAGTTTAGAGTGATGTGCGAAAGAATTCAATAATAGATTATCTTTTACAGACAAAAATGAAGATAAAAATATGGTTTCAAAATACCATAAACAATGTATGGATTTGTGTAACAGGTTATTGTATATGATAGTTGAAAGAAAATAATGATTTGAGATGGGAGGAAATCATTTTTATTAAGACATAATAACTTTGAATTTAATGGCTGAACATTTATGTGGCTTTTAAAGAGTCAGTGCATTTCCAAAGTGGTACTGCAATATATGGAAAATGCCAGTACTGGAGATGTTGCATGCCATCCATGCAGAAGTGGACATTCAAATCTTAAGAATGGATGAGATCTCTCAAAAGGCAATTATAAATGATGACAGTAAGAGAACTGAAGAACGTTGAACCATGGTATTAAGGGCACATGTAGCATGGCGTGACGAGAGAACATAGTCTTAGAAATCAGACTGCATTGTGTTTGTATTGTGGCTTCAGGATTTACTATCTTATCTTGGGCTTTCCTATTAAATGGACAATTTCATTGTATTCTTATTATAAATTAGAAATAATAACTTTCTAACAGGATTGTGGAAGTGTGTGTGTGTTTATGTGTACACACAGAGAGAATATAAATAATTATTGAACATTTCTATTTTATGGTAGATTGTAAATAGAAACTAAGTCAAAAGTTAAGTCAAAGTAGTCAAGAAGATTATAAGGTATAAGGAAAATTCAGTATTTTAGAAACCGAGAGAGGGTTTTAATGACAATGGTTGGTCAGCAGTTTCAAAAACCACTAAGAAAAATTGCTCCTAGAAGATAAGAGAATGAGTCTATCCCTTACAATAAGCCTAGGATCACATTTCTTAACTTATTCCTCTCAAAATTGAAACATAAAGTACTTCTATGCATATTGTCTTATTTGCCTTATGTAAAAGAAAAAAGGAAGCAAATGGTTTCCAAATGTTTAAAAACATATATTGTCTCTCTCCCCATTCTTCCCTCTCTCTCCTCTCTCGTCTCTCTTTTCTCCCCTTCTTTTCCTCTCCTCCCACTGTATTTCTCCACATTTTCTAGACCTATCAGTTTTACAATAGAGAAGTTGCATTTGAAGATGTATTAGAATCTTCCCAAACGGGATTGGTCGTGAGAAAAACTAATATATGGGATCCCTAATGCTGACCCAATTAAATTTGTGGTTTTGGCATAGCAAGATTTATTGACTGATCAATGCCATGTGTATGGTGGATATGCTTGCCTTGTCTCACAGAAAGGCAAACAAGCAGCCCATTATATTAAAGCATGTGGATTACGTTTTAGTCCCTATGGAAAAATAATATAACTTCCTTATTCTTACTCCAATCTTTAAGGATCTCAAGAGAAAAATAATTGCATAATTCATCGTCTTTTGTGATTTGAGACATACATGATCATGTTATTGGCAGAAAATGAATTGGTTTTATACATTTTATTGATAAGTGTTCCCAAACGTTTGTAATTAGTTGGCCATATTCTTGTTTCTCTACCTTCAGAAGAACTGGTTATTATGATTACTTTTTATGAAGGTGGTAATTACAAAATAGAATTGAGCTGAATGAAATTAAAGAGAAACTGAAAAAAGAAATTCCCTGCCAGAAAATAATTTCATTTGAACGAGTACAAAGTTCTTTGCAATTCTTACTTAGCTGAAGTGTATTTCTAGTTGTGTTTCCAGATTTATATCATTATGAAAATAGCCACTTCCTAGGTTCTCATTTTTCATATACAAACAATGTTCACTAGCAGTAAATTTCTTCCCTGGATTCAATTTCTGAATATTCACAAGGTGAAAATTGTGTTCATCTCTTTTCAGATGGAGATTCTCTGAACTGTAATTGGGTGACTATTTCATAGATGAAATCTCAGCACGTATCACTTTAAAATGATATAGTGTAAAAGGGCCCAAATTGTGTGTGTACACCTGGATGTGTGTGTGTCAGCATGACGTGGAAACTATGTGGATAGATAAATATCTAAAATAATAGGTATATAGATAGCATGATGTTCCAATAATTACCAATAAGATCATGTCTTCAGTGGAGAGTAATACATACCAAATTTTTAAATCTTTAATTTTTTTCATATCTGATTATTTCTACTATGATCTCTTTTTTATCAGAGGAGTTACTAAAACTACGAGTAGATAAGAATACATTTGAATTTTTATGTGTATGATAACTTTAAAATTTTGCCTACTTTATAGATTTCTCAGTTGGACTTACATTAAATCTCTATTTTTGTTTTTAACTTGGAATAAATTCTCTAAGACACTAATTACTAAATTGTCAGTATTTATAATGTAAACATTTTAAATCCCCTAAATGTCTACTACAGAAAGAATAAATGGTGATGTGTCTGTGTTATGGAATACCCTGAAAACCATGGAAAATAATAATAAAGCTCTACGTACATTGACATGGAAGGAATAAATTAATAAATTGTTTCACTGAATGAAAATCATCCAAGTTGTGTAAATAAAAATATGTACCTGTAGGGCTGCAACATTATGCAACTCAAGCAAGTATATAATTCAGCATTGCTATTAGGTATGCATTATAGATATTTCTGCATACAAATATACAGTGAAGAGAAATAATTCATATTTTAAAAATGTATATATGTTTATACATATGTAGAAAAAGTTATGAAAGTAAATACTGCAAATTACTAACAGTGGAAACTCTTTTAACAGGTAGGTGTGAGGTTAATTTTGCTTTTTATTTTGCGTTACACACTTTCGTATTGACTGAATTTTAAAATTAGATTTGCATTACCTTTTTTCCTAAAAATATAACTATAATTGAAAACCTAGTTTCTGAATTGTACATTCTGTTTAACTCATGTTCTTTCTCTTTAATCATCAGTTTCTTCACTGACATCACAAAAATACTAGGAATTTTCCAATTGAAACAAAAAACCTAAAAATCAGGAAAATAAAGAAGTATTTTAGAACCAAACCTTCTCTTTTAGTGTCATCAGTCTTTATTCCAGGCCTTGAAATGAAATGGCACAGACTGTTTTTGTCTCCTCTCCCGAAGATGCTTGGTTTATTCAGTAATCACCTCCCAACTTTGCAATGGCCCAGAAAGATAGCCTTTACTTTGCATACCTTCTAAAATACTAGCCTGATTCAAGTATTTATCATTCTTGAATTATAGCTAGTAACTTCTTCACTGGTTTCCTTGCCTGTAATTTCTTACCTTTGCAGTCATCCCCAGATATTGCCATAGAGCTATCTTCCTAATGCAGAGATCAAATCATGTTGTTATACTTAAAATATTTTTGGCTCTATCATCCACAGAGTAAGTTTCAGATTTCCAGACATAGCATCATGACCTTTCATGTCCTATTGCCAGATTGCTCTTTTAGCATCACTTCAAACTTCACTGTTTTTTATATATATATATAACTTTTAATTTAAGGGATAAAGGTGCAGATTTGTTACATAGGTACACTTGTGTCATGGGGATGTGTTGTACAGATTATTTCATCACCCAGGTGTTAAGCCTAATACTCATTAATTATTTTTCCTGATCCTCTCCCTCCTCCCAACTTCTGCACTCCAGAAGGCCCCGGTTTGTGTGTTGTTCCCATCTACATGTCCATGTGATCTTATCAATACCTCCCACTTAATAGTGAGAACTCCAAGTGTCCATAAATATAATATACCATTTTATGCCTTTAAGTCTTG
Source organism: Homo sapiens (assembly GCF_000001405.40). NCBI lineage: Eukaryota > Metazoa > Chordata > Mammalia > Primates > Hominidae > Homo > Homo sapiens. The sequence goes on along the minus strand of NC_000009.12, from coordinate 43,031,503 downwards.
TTGTTTACATCTCTTATTCTTCTAGTCTTTCAAGGCCCACCACAAATATCATGCTTATATCTGACAATGGAAAGAAATATTCCTGCTCTCCTAGGGCACTTTGCTTTACCTATATTACAAATCTTATTTCATTTATACTTACTTTAGTTAGCTTTCATTTGTTTCACTCAGCACAAAATAATGTAGTCTTGAAATCAGGACCCACTTTCGATTGATCTCTGACCTAGAGTCCTTATCTGAATTCAATAAATTTTTTTTGCCTTGCTTTTAACCAAATATGTTTGGAATCCGTTTATTCATACACTTATGAGGAAACAGTATTGAAAAGGTTGCTATCCATTAATATGGCTGTGGAAAAAAAATGTCACCTTAGTTCTATTTTAAGATAGGAAAAAGTCTTATCTATTTTTAGTAGATTTGATAATACTCGTATGAGTTTAAATCTTACTGATGCTGTACAGTTGTGCTATCCAATATGGTAGCCAATAGATGCATGAGGTTATTTACATTTGTATTTAAATTAATCAAAATAAAATAAAAGTTCCATAAATATACCATTGTATGCCTTTAATTCTTGTTCCAAGGTTTCAGTATATTATAGAAATTTTTATTGTCACAGAATTTTCCATTTAAAAACTCTGCTCTAAAGTTTAAACTCAAAATATAAATTACTCCTGTGCTAACTTGGTAAAATCCTGATACAGAAATGGCATAGTTTACAGTAGATTTTTTGCATTGTTTTGATCTAAGTTGAATATAGTCACCAGGCAATTGTTACAGGGAGTCATCATTTCTTTTTTTTCTTTTTTTTTTGAGACGGGGTCTCGTTCTGTTGCCAGGCTGCAGTGCCGTGGCTATCTTGACTCACTGCAACCTCCGACACTCCCAGATTCAAGCGATTCTCCTGCCTCAGCTTCCGGAGTAGCTGGGATTACAGGCACCTGCCACCACGCCTGGCTAATTTTTTTTGTATTTTTAGTAGAGACAGGGTTTCACCATGTTGGCCAGGATGGTCTCGATCTCCTGACGTCCTGATCCGCCCACCTCGGCCTCCCGAACTGCTGGGATTACAGGCGTGAGCCACCACGCCCAGCCTCATCATTTCTTTAACACTTTAAAACTTATTCTAATGAACTCAGTTGATTGCATATACCCCTTTACCCATCCAGGTCATATGAATCACTGTACTAGAATCAGCTACTCTGGGGGAAAAGAGGAGAAGAGGTTGTGCATGTTTGTGGAGTATGTATTATTAAACAAAAGTCCCAGTTCCCTGTGGTAGCAGATCTGACCATTCTGACCATCCTGTGGCTCAATTTTAGGAAATAATGTCTAAGAAGGAATCAAGAATGAATGGATGTACTACACTCAAAATATAAATTTGTTCTCATCACTAGTGTGGATGTGTTCCATCCTTACTCAGTAATTGTATACAGTGTCATGCCTTCAAACCTTACATAGTAGTCTGTACTTCATTCATTCTCATCCTTCAAGGTTCACCTTAAACTTTTTTTTTTCCCTAGGTTTTCTCCACACTAGCTAGGAAGTTTGCATGTACAGAATGTAATGAAAAAATGAAATTTCTCTATGCAGGAATTCGACATTGTGTGTTGAATCCTGTGATAACAGCATTTCCTATGCAGACTCAATATATATTTGATCATCTAACATGAAAATTGAAACTGGCATCTGTTTGTAAACCACCACTTTGCTGGCTCAATTTTAAACCTGCAAAGGAATTTGCTGCCCTTTTGTTAACTAGATAAGCTATATATTTCACTTTGAAAAGACATGTCCCTGCAACTTTGATGGTGAGATACTGCCTCATAACATTCATTTTTCTCTATTAAGGTATTATAGTTTTGATTTAATAATTTTCAGCGAAGATTCATTTAACACTAGAGTGAATGAAAATCTAAAAGAGGATCAAATGGTTATTAGTGGAGACAGAATGACATTTACCAGTTGACCTTCTGTAATGGAGAGACTCCTCAGTGGGAAGAAATCTTTCATGTTGAAACTTTCCTGATAGAGAACTCTTTGCATATATAATCAATAAGGTATGGGCATAGCTTCATCTTTGGTATGAATAACAAAAAAGTTGTCATAGAAAGCTGTAGAATTAAAATTTATTTTTCAGAAGGAGTATTGTTTGCTTCTTTCAAAAGTGGAGGTAAAAATGATACAGGGGAAGGTACCCTCAAATAAATTAGTATAACCAAGTAATAGTTTTTCAGAAATAGATTAGAAAATATTCATCCCCCAAAATTAATGTTTGCTAGTTACATTTATCAATTTCCTTTCTACAATGCTAATTTTAACATCACAATGCTTTCATTAGTGCATTATATAAAATATCAGGTATATGTAGATTGATGTTGTTGAAATAAGGTTTTGTTGTTTAAAAATAAGATATCCATTCAATATACATGTATTAACACTAACCACAGCAAAAAATCAAAAAGAAAAATTAAGAGCACTTTTTCGCTACTCCCCTTGAACACACTTATCTCTTATGCCTTAAATTAGATTGTATATAACAATTCTAATATATTGGTATATATATAATTATATAACTTAATTTTAATCATGGAAGCAAATGAATATTCCTCATCATTTTAAACCTTTTTATTGTTATACCATTTCCTTTTTCCCTGTTTTTATGCTTTTGCATGTTTAACATAATATGAAACCTCAAAAGATATCTCTGGGCAACTTCTGAAGATTGCTATGTTAGCATTGCTAAACAAATGTATTCAAATGCATTTTCATGAGTGAATATTATGCAAGTTCAGTGTTAACCTTTTCCTTGCTTCTTTGAAAATTGTTTTAGGATGTTTCTGAAAATAACATCATCCAGATTAAAATGATGAAAATACCCCAAAACATATAAGGCTCATAAAGAGTGTGGGATATAAGCGTGCCAGCTAATCTAGTTCTCATTCTCATAAAGGGCATTAGTGGCACTTAAGAGCCAGTATACCTATTCCTTTTCATTGTAATAAAACCATTCCTGAAAGTGACTTTGTCCAGAGCAAATGACTCTAACATGTTGTACTTCAGAGGTAGATTGTCATAACTCACTAAAGAAAGTGACCATTGTATATCTTAATAAAAAAATTACCTGTTTATTCAAGTATTTTTTTTTCAAGCTGAAGATATTTTCTCCTGCCCTCCCAAAACTTAGCACAACGTTTCAGTAGAAAGGGGTATAATCTAACTGCTGTCATGGCCAACAAATGGAAAGGAATGCAGAAGAAATAAAGAAGTTTGTGTTTTTTCTGTTCTAATAGAGAAACAAGTTAAATACATTAAATCATAAAAACAAAAACAAAAAACACCCTGACAATATAAAACACTGATGAAAAGTCTACTGTTTAAAAGTGAAAATTTTGAAAGCAGTAGTTGTATATAATCAGTGGATATGCCTTGCTTCTTTTCAAACAAGTCGTTTTTAAAGGTGTATTGCATTATGCTCAAATGATATGTATTTATTTCATAAATTATATAAGTCTTCTTAAGCTGAATCACTCAAATACAAAAACTTGGGCTTCATTTTAATGTTTTTGTAAAATGGTTTTTTCACATGGATTGCAAATATCATATAAACCGATGTTTAACATGAATATATTAAAGATTTCTTTGGATTATAATTATATGAAAGAGTTATACATTTGTGTTCTCAAGACCTTTGTTATACATTGTATAATGACACTTTTTACCAAATATGAATGAGAAATAGTAAATAACTATTAAGGCAAAAGACCAGAAGAGGAAAACTGTGAGGAAAGACAATATAAATATTCCTAGTTTTTAAATTAATTTTTAATTCTGTTCTTTCTGATGACTTAAAACAATGAGGATCTGCACACCTGTAGTCTGAATTCAGTGTTATCCTCTTTTGTTAAATTGAAAAAGAGGCAAGGATAGAAAAATCATTCACTGGCTAGAGAATGCTTCTGGTCAGGTCATGGATTCATGCTGTTTTCAGTATATAATTTCATTGTCAATTGAAACAAAGTGCTAATTGAGCACAATATTGATGGGTGGTTCAGAGGTGAGACTAGTATAGTTCTCTAAAAGGGATTAATAATAACCACTCCTGTTGCAGCTTCCACCAACATGTCTAGGAGAGGCATGCAGGCAATTATCTGTTCCTCAAAGACATTTCTCCTGGTGCATAAATTATCGGGGGCCTAGACTAGTGGCCCTATAGACCCAACCAATAGCTCTTACTGTCTCAAAGTGGTTTATATCATGAATGGCCTTTGTTCTGATTTGGTCAAAATCTTCATATATTTTGAAACTGTTATAATTTAAAGACTTCACAAAGGGACACAATACTAGTCTCTCATTACATTCAGTTCTGTAAAGGCATCTACTGTGTTACTGCTGGATAATAATAACCTTCAAATGATTCTATAATTTTAATATGTTCATCATCACAGATTTCAAACTTTGGTTTAGGTTTGCCTTCTGAAGCAATACTGAATACATTGTTTCCATTTTGACAAGTCAAACAACCTTTCAGATATTTGGGGAAAACTAAGTTCTGTGGTTGATTGATAACTATAATTTTGGTACCCCATATTCTTCTTCATTTTGCATTGTCTTTTAACATTTCCTTTGGAGACCTTATCCCAATGCCGGGTGCTTCAGAGGAAGTTTTCTCAACCTCACCACTATTGATATTTCAGACCAGATAATTCTTGGTCATTGGGACGTGTCCTGTGTATTACAGACTGCTTATGAACATTCTTGGGAGTGTTTGTGGTGGTATGAAAATGTTGAGAAAACTATACTTCCCAATTTCCTGAGCAGTTGGGAGAAGCTACTTGATGCAACTCTGGCAAATGAGAAGCAAACAAGATACTAGCCGATGCCTCTGAGAAAGCTCTTTAAAGGATATAATCACTCCTTGTTTGTTCTTTCTCACTGAATCTTATCCCGTAAATGCATTGTCAAGTGATGTGACAACAGTGTTATGCTTCAAGCCTAAGCAAGACTCTAAGAATGCTGGAGTGAGAGGATTCCACCAGTCTTGGTCCTTGAATCTTTCTTTGCTCATTTTGGCACTCAGTCTCCAGATATCTTGTTGGGGGAAGAATAGTGGCAGGAACTAACTTTTTTAATCTACTAGTTTTATTTTGTCTTCTATAAAGAAATTAAAATCTACATAATCTCTAACTAATAGTAATAGCTTTGCTTTAGGAAAAAAACAAGTGTCCATATTATAAATATCTCAAGCTTCTTCTTATGTTCAAGCTGTTTTCAAATGTATTTTTTTTCAGTCATTCCTATTTATCATTTCTCAACTACAATGGGCAAGGTACCCTACTAAGCTCCAGAGATAAAGATAAAAGAAACAATAAACAATATTATTATTTCCTCAGAAAGTCTCTGAGGATAGTGAAGACAAAATTAATGGAACTGCTAGTGTTTTGTGATAATTGTGTGTAAACTGTCAGGAGAATAGGAGAATATTAGACAAGATAGGAAATGAATCTCAATAAAAAAGAAAATACAATAAAATGTCACTGTTAAATCATTTAAAACATATGATAAAGGCAGGAGGAGCTATAGCTGACAAATTCTTAATTTTATATCTGTTACCTCAGCATTATATATGAAGACATAAAACAAAACCTGGGTTTTAAATTTCCAAAACTATCTGTTGCCTATCCGCATGATTTTTCTTTTACTGTGTCACAGACTAGTATATTTTCAAGTGCCTAGCTAGGCTCAATTTTATTTTTGTTTCAGTTTTATAGTATTTAATAACATCTTTTCTCCCCAAAGACATTTGCTTAGAAACCAAGAGATACACCATGAGGAGCAAGTGTTGTGCTAAGTACCCCTCTGTGGCACGACCTGTGGGCATGCACCTGCCTTCCTCCCAGTGTGCTGATTGCATTCCTCTCACTCCCGTTGTCAGATTTGCTTCCTGAGCTCTAGATTTTGTCATTAGTTATGACTCATCAATTGTGGCATAATCATATCAATTCCAGCCCAGTGTCTTCTGTCCTCATTTAAATACAAATTTTTCTTCTATTGCCAAGCTATCAAATATGTTTCATTCACTGAGTCTTTGTAATAAAAGGTGAAACAGCACAGTCTGCACTCAACAGCCAGATTTTTTTTTAAAGGTTGTAACATTCAAATGATTTGCAGGCATTTTTCTAACACATTCTTTATTTTTGAAAACCAAACATCTATGACACCACATATGTATATCTGCTGATTGTAGTTAGCAGTCTCATTCAACACTTATTAAAAAACATGAAATTGTCAATCCTATCAAGTTGTTTTTTGGTTGTTTTAAACAGCTTCTCAGCCATCTTGGAACTGACCCAGAGTGTAAAGGTCTTGAGGATTCTCTTCATCAGTATTACCTGAATACAAGCCTTCTGAAAGGAAAAAGAAACTCTAGCTTTTCAAACCAGAAAGTCTAGTAAAATTCAATATTGTAAATTGAATTTCTTTATTTTTAACAAAATATAATAAATGGTAGACAAATCCATTCTTACAGTTCTATTTACAATCCTCTTTCAGTTTTATCTATGTTAGCACTACCATGTAGGTTTATTATATTTTCTGTTCACATTTTTTTTCCTACATTTTATTAGTTGCATTTCCCCCTACATTTTTATTTTAGTGCTGACCTTCAATTCCTCAGGGGTCAGTTCCTTGTACATAAATAATACTTCCATGTTTCATGAGGTCAGTTACCGCTCAAATTGGCACAAATGGCAGAAAATAAAAACAACAGAATCCAAAACTTCTCCCTGAGATTTTATCACATGTTATAATTTTAGAATTCCCACTTAGGTAGCTTTTACTTTATTGACAGATTGAAGTTTAACTGTAGCCAATTTTAAAAGACAGAAGTACGACTGAGTTATCATATAGTTCAGTGACAAATCATATTAACATTATATTTTGATATATCTCAATACAAATACAGATAATTCTCTGATATCTTAGACCCATCTCAGATACTTTTGTTTCTACATTAAAAATAGAAATAATTCAGGAAAATAAAATTGGTGAAAATTACAAAGCAAATATCCAATTTTTTCAAAAGTAAAAACTTGTCTCTAATTGTCATTCAATGCAATTTCATTTTTGTCTTCTGTAGTTCTTTAAATATGTATTCAGGAAAAGTTTCCAGATCTGTAAAAAAATCTAGCAGCTTTCATGACTTCTTTTGGTTATTGGTATTTAACAGATAGTTATATTATGTTGTAAACCACAATTTTATTTCAGAAATTAGAATATGAATTTCTATATTTTAATTAAAATATAATTCAGATCTGTTTTCTCCCCTACCTCTTTCATCTGTAGGCTGTGGGAAGGGGTCATTCTTGGTTTCTTTTCCTTTCCAGCGGTCTTCACCTTACTTACCCCCTCTCCTATTGGATAACTGCTTCTACTGACCACTCTAGGACTGAAGTCTGGAAATAGGAGTGGTAATGAAGAGAGAAATTTCTTTCTTAACTGATAGTAAGTGATCATTTAATCTACAACTGTCAATTCCCATGAAACTTTTCACTTTCTAGAATAAGCTTGTCCAATCCACAGCCCAAACGCCACACACAGTCCAGGACAGCTTTGAATGAGGCCCAATAGAAATTGGTAAACTTTTAAAAAACATTATGGGATTTTTTTTGGTGATTTTTTTTTTCTTTAGCTTGTCAGCTATCGTTAGTGTTAGTGCATTTTATATGTGGCCCAAGACAATTCTTCTTCTTGCAGTGTGGCCCAGAGAAGCTAAACGATTGAACACCCCTGTTCTAGAAGTTCATTCCATGAAATGGAATCTCACCCAAGTGTTCTTAAAGAACACTTGGCTTCAAGCTATCTGCCATCTTTCGTTGCTCATGTGGATCATTTCCGATCTGGGTTAAAAGGTAATGCATTCGTGGGCCCTGAAATCCAGAAAGTGAAACCCCAGGTCAGCTACTTAATTTGCAGGATCCCTTTTACAAACAAAAGAAAATATAATAGAATTTTTCTTCCTATGGTTTCTTTCTTGACCTGTCATGATGTTTTTTCTTTGCTCTTAATTTCACTCTGCCTTGGAAACAGGGATGCTCACAGAGCGCTCAAAATTACTCAGGATATGACCCTGAGTCTCCTTGTATTTGGCCTCAGACCCCTGCTGGGTAAGAGGTGGTGTAGTGGTCTCTAGGTATCAGTGGGGGAGCAAGATGGCAAAAGGTGAGATCACATGTGAGCTGAGGCCCCATGCTCCTGGCTCATGCTCCATTGTCCCATCAGAGTTCACTTACAAAACACAAATTCAAAGATAAAATTATTAAGGATTTCAAGACAGTAACAGTAAAGTTTTGAGGGATCCACTGAATGTGGGTTCTTATACAACTACAGTGGTCACAAACCCATGAAATTGACAATCTAAATGTATTAGCAGCTGTTCTTTAATTTACCAGCAAAACAGCTTATCAGCCTTTGTCTTTTACTCTAATTCTGGAAAATAATTAATTAAACATCAGACTCCTGTGCCACTCCTAAATTTTGGACATATTCATCGAGCTTTATAAATACTCTCCCTTCATCTGAGTGGAGAAACATTGCTACCCTCCCATCCAATGTGGCTATTCTAGAACACCTTTCCCAACTAAACTTTTCATAAGAAAGAAAATTCTTATTTTCCTCAATTCTGGTAATTATTTGTGGTGTTTTGCATTGCGTCATCTTGAGTAGGCAAAAAAGTACATTTTTTTCAAGATGTCCTTCTCTGTATTATCCAAAAGAGGAACTTGTATGTAACTAGGAAAAAGGAAGTAAGGTGGTGGCCCTTATTCTCTGAAGGTCATCATAATCAAATGCAGTATCGGATCAATGCAGAAGTTCCAGCTGGCTTGCAACCTGTCCTAAATCTGCTCTATTCCACGTTCAACACCTTTGCCAACTGTTGCCTCTGTCCATCAACAGCAGCCCAAGACTCACCAAAAGATTCTTAGATGTGAATCAACAGAGGTTGTAGCTACACAAAATCACAGCCTCTCAAAGGGCATCCCAGAAGCAACCCTTACATAAAGAGATATGTTTGGTATTTCATATTGACTTGTTAGTGAGAGGTCCTCTGATTCTTGAACTTCCCTTTCAGACCTTGAGTTTCCCAGCTACTTGTACAGCTCTACACATCTAATTCCTTTAATAAGTCCTTTATCCCATAAAACACATTACTAACTTTGCTCCCCTGTCTGACTCCTGTCTGATATATCATTTTGTACTTGTATTTTGAGTTAAGCAAGTTCTTACCAAGTAATTTTAAAATCTACAACTTGTAATTCTATTGATTTATTTCCTATGGTCTTAGTCAAATTTTTGATTTTATAATCTAACTATACTGGCACTAATTCTTTATGCTGTGGTCACTGTATCGGAGACAAAATCAAAGTGTCATTCATCAAAAAAGCAATGTGGAAAGGAGTAAAGAAGTCCCTGGAAATACTAGATGCTCATATTGTAAAAATTTACCTTGGGCAGTTATCCCTAGGCTTTCTACAAAAAACAGGTTGACATTAGATCTAGCAGTTTAATCTGTATTGTCTTTTATTTGTCACAAATGTGTGTCATGCCTATAATTCCCAGAAATTACACTGCTTCAGCCTCACTGATAGTAAACCTGTGTGCTCATAGCTCTTATGATATATATCTAATTAGTGCCTGCAGGGAAAATACCCCTAAACGTTCTGTCCTATGTTCTGATAACGGATTCTTTCACTGTTACTTCCATGAAAGACGTTTTCTTCTCTTACAATAAGAAGACCAGGATATTCTGCCTCACTATCAGTTTGTGTAGAGGTTGATCTGTTCTCCATTTTAGAAAATCAGAAGTTGGACCAATATTGCTTCTGAAACAGTGATATATGCACTTTGCATTTTATAATTTTATTCATTCTGAGAACATCAGACATAAAGATTTTGCTTCATCATATATCCCCTGACTTTCTCCCCATTTTTTTTTATTCCTTCCTTCAGCTTGACTCAGGCTATGCACACTCTGGGCTTTGAAGACATGGCCTAGCTTTGGTCTCTGGGGACTGGTTGTGCTGTGCCAAACATTTCTTGTGCCATGGTCCCTCTTTCCAGAATAACTTGTTTTTACTTTTATTATTGGAAGTGATTGTGCAGAATCGATATAATTTCCTGATTAAATGTTTGGTAAGATTTAGCAGTGAACTTATCTAGCCCTGGTGCTTTCTGTTTAGCAGGGTATTAATTATTAATTCAGTTTCTTTAATAGATAAAGTCCTGTTCAGATTATCTATTTCTCCTCATGTGAGTTTTGGTTGATTGTGTCCTTCAAGGAATTGGTACATTTCACCCTCGTCATTAAATTTTTGTGCATAAAGTTGTTCATAATATTCCTTTACTATCCTTTAATGTACATGGGATCACTAATGATGTCCTCTCTTTCATTTCTGGTATTAATAATTTATGTCATCTCTATTTGTTTTAGTTAATCTTGATAGAAGTTTATCAATATTATTGATGTTTTCAAATAACTAGCTTTTTTCTTTCATCAGTTTTTTTTCTATGTATTTTTTGGTTTTAATTTTATTGATTTCTAATTCAACACAATTTTGAAAATGCATAAAGGAAAGCACAGTATTATAAAAGGTACCAATTCTGTTGAAACATACTTAAATATTTTTTAAATAATTTTTAAAATTATACTAAAAGGTTTTTTCTAATGCATTAATAAGACAACATGTATGAACTATAAGCAATAAATTTTATTTGTTAAAGGCAGATTAGTGTTAAGGTATTCTCTCTAATTTGAAGAAATTATTAAACCATGAGGTAAAATTTGATAAATCCTCATATATATCATGTTAGATATCTAAATGATTTATTTTTGTTGTTTCTTTATAATTTATTTTTATTGCTTGTCTGTTTACCAATGTTAAATATATTGATTTGTAAGGATTTACTCTTCCAAGTGTAACTAAGGTTTTCATAATTCACACCAGATGAAGGCAGGTGTCTCTCAAGAAAACTTCAAATTTTACAAGATTATTTGGTGAAACTCCAACTAGAGTAATTTTTTTCTGCTAGGATTTAAAATGGAAATTCTTAATATTTTGCAGCTTGGAAGAGTAATTTCTAAAACCTCAGTGTGATTTTCAGCTTCTGATTAGGATGTAGAAAGGTGAAAAGAATGATGCTCCCACCCTTAAGGTGGGAAATATTTGAATTATCTACAAAGTCATAAGTTGTTTTCAGCCCATCAGAGATGAAGTTGCATGGCAACCAAGTAAACTGATTCCAGAGAGGGACAAGCCCTCAAGGATGGAAAGGACACAAAAAAGTTTCATCTTTGACCAATCAAAAAATGAAGAGGAAGTCACCATATAATCATATAAGAAATCAGCTAAACTTTAGTAAATTCTTAAAGGCTAAATGTGGGTAAATTGTAAGTTTAGAATAGCAGGAGGCCTCAGGCACAAGAAATGATCATTTCTTAAACTCTTTTACACGGACCTTTGTCTGTTGAAGGGAAAGACTGGGAACTGGGCAGAAGATGAGAGAGACACTGCTGCATAGTGCAGGCTTGGGGTAATAATCAGTTGCTGCTGGGGGACTGGCAAAAAGCCTTGCCCACTACCCCAGAACATTCTTTCTTAGGAAGCAAAAGCTTTAAGCCACTATAGAAGAGACAGCACAACTGTCATTTCCACTAATCACAGGCAAAGATGCACTGAGGCTTGGGAACAAGTGGAAGAATGCATCCTATATCTTTGGAAGAGTGCTAGGAAACAGTTGTGGCTAAGATTCTATACCAATAACAAGAAGAAGCCTTTAACTACATAGAGTGGTAAATATTTCCACCCAAAACCAACCACAGATCCAAGACAGAGTTTCATTGTCATAGATGAGTTGGACACAATGCAAGAACACTAAGAATGCCCCATTTTGAGAAAAAAAAAATCAGCTTAATTCAATGACAGTAGTCTAAAACCAACATAACAAAAAGACAGAAAAAGGAATGAAAACTTGGACTTTTTTCACACAGGACATACCTAAGATTGAATGAGGCTGAGCCAGGGCAACATAAAACACACCACTTTTTACCCCTATGCCAAGCCTGATACCAAATAATAAGCATCAGCTGTCTACGTATTGAGTAAGGGAAAGAGGAAAGACAGAGAACACCTCGGCAGTGCAGGAAGGTAAGGATGCTGAAAGCTGAGAGGGGAACAGAGGTACTAAACAAAATCTTCCAGCACCCCAGGACCGACCTTAAACCCAGCCAACATCAGCCATTCCTATGGGAATTTGAAGCCTGTGTGGACTGAAGGTAATGATAATCACAATAAAATCTATATCTAGCTCAAACCCCTGACTAAAACAGTTTGCTGTCTCATACAAATTGTCGGACAAAATGATGTGCTCTTTTGCTGGCATAAATATTATTTTAAGAGTAATTACTGCTACCTACTTGATTTTGGAATAAAACATATGCTAGCCTTAGCTAGGCAATTTGTTTTTCTATATTTGGAAGTAGCATAATAAATAACAGATTCTTAAAATTCTGATAGAATTTACTTATCTGAGGATTTGAAGGAATGATCTTTAATAGACTAAGAAATAAATATTGAAATGATTGTTAGATACTTCCTGTAAAATCCTATATTCTTTATCTTTAGTTCCTATTATTAATATTTCTTAGTTGTTACAGTCCTTACATCTTTCTGTCTCTAGCATTCACATTTATTACAATGAAGCTATTTTAATACTTAAAAATTTTTAATTGTGCATATTACACAGTCTCTCTTATTGTCTTGGTTAACCTTCCACAGGTTTCTGTATCCTAAATGTTTTCTCAAAAACTAACTTTTGGTTAGATTAACATTCTTTGTTGTTGCTTTAAGATTTTTGTTCATTAACTATTTCTATTGGGTTTCCTCCACTGCTCTTTCTCCAATTTTTAATTGAAAAATAGAGCTCGTATAATTTTAATCTTTAATAATAAATGTATTTTAATGTACATATTTTTACCTTAAATTATATTATGTCATGTTGTCATGTAAATATTGCCCCTCTAGCTTTTTAGTATTTAAGCCTGGTGTGTTATAAAATAATTTTAATGTTAGTAGTTATATACATATATATTTTCTTGTAAATTTTAACTTATGTCAACAACATGTTTTGGCTCTTATTAAAAAATTTATAAAAGTCAGGATCCTTTAATTACTGTTTTTAACTTATTTGCATTTATTGTCATTATTGTTACATTTAACTTAGTTCGGCCAATTTATATTATATTATACATTTACTCACATTTTTTGTTTTTTTCCTTTCCCCATTTCTTCTATTGTTTGTCTATAGAATAGCTCACTATATTAGTTTAACAAGTATTTAAATTTATCTCTGTGGTAATTATCTTAACATTTTAAATAAGAAAATAAATATTACTTTCTTAAACTATTGATATCTGTATATTGTATCTAAAGATACATTTGCTTTGTCATAGTCATGTGTTTCTTAGATTTCAATTTCATCTTTCTCATTATATAGATAATTTCTATAATTTCAATTCTGAATTGCTTTTGTTTTAAAATTTGCATTCTCTTTATTTTTTTCCTTGTTTTTCTCTTTTCTCTAAACTATAAACTCTCTACTCAAATCTCTTCTTATGAAAATTGTATAAAATATGCATAGAGGTATCAAAAATACTCCAAGGCATTAAAGATTACAGGGCTAAAATACCGAAGAAAACAGCACTTCAGAGAATTGAGAACAGTATGGACTATCCCTTGACCCATGAAAGATTTTCTCACATGTATGTGGCTATTGATAGACCAAAAACCTAAACAGAAATATTCATAGTCTTATAGTTTTAAGAGAATAAAATATATGGCTCAAGACTTATCAATGAGAAAGGCCGATTTATACACCCCAGGCTTCATTTGACACTTCAAAGGTTTAGGAATATTAATGGAAATAAATAGATTATAATTCACAATAATTGCAGTTTGGTCTCAAACCAGCTTAATCACTGATTATATGAATATGATCTGTAACACACCTTAGATAACCCTCCAAAAAACAGAGTTAGAGTTAACCAGAATTAACTATTGGCTGCAATTTCATTAGAATATTAGAAATATTAAGGGCAAAAGCCACATTTAAATAGGTAAACTTAACATTTTTCAAAAATGTTGGAAGCCAGGCATGGTGGCTCATGCCTGTAATCCCAGCACTTTGGGAGGCTGAGGTGGGCAGATCGCCTGAGGTCAGGAGTTCCAGACCAGCCTGACCAACATGGTGAAACCCCGTCTCTACTAAAATACAAAAATCAGCCGAGCGTAGTGGTGGGCACCTGTAATCTCAGCTACCTGGGGGTTGAGGTGGGAGAATTGCTTGAACCCAGGAGGCAGAGGTTGCAGTGAGCCGAGATCGTGCCACTGCACTCCAGCCTGGGCAACAAGAGTGAGACTCTCTCAAAATAAATAAATAAATAAATAATTTTAAAAAAGATGGAAAAACTGTAAGTGACAGTCTCAGGAAGTGCCAGAGTGAAGCATGATAAATATGGAGATAACTACATAGCTCATATTAGAGAATTAATGACAAAGAGACTATCTCAAAAATAGTTCTAGAAAAAGGCATATTATCTTCAAAAAGTGGCAATATGACTTAGGGATGACTTCTCAAATGGAAGCCAACTGGTAACTAGAATTTTATTCCTAATAAAATATTATGGAATATGAGAAAAAAATAAATTCATGTTCAGGAAAACAAAAAAATAAGGGAACTATCTATATCATTTATACATTACACCAAATGAAATAATAATGTCTTTCAAGCAGAAGAAAAATTATTTTAGATGTAAATGTAGAAATTTAGAAATAAAATCAAGAAAAGGAAGGACAAAACATCTGAATAAATCTAAATAAATAGTGACTATATAAATAAAATCCATCATATAAAATTTAAAATAAATATCAACAACACTACCTAACAAAATATCAAAAGTATTATAAGATCTTCATAGTCTAAGAAAAGTAATGAAAATTTTACTTTATACTCAGACACTAATAAGTCAAGGAATCATGAAATAATATCTAGGGCAAAATCAAAAGATATTTAAACTTATAGGAGATTATAAGGGCATATTGGAGAAAAAATGCTTAATTGAGAAAAAAGGCAAGAAAGAGCAAGTCGAAAATACAACAGATGGAAAAATAGCAAAGTGGTAGACCACAATCAAAATATCTTGAGCTAAATATAGATGATTTTCATACCTCGGCTAATAAAAATATCTAAAATGAATTTTAAAAGTAATTGAATGTGTTTTATTAAAAATAAGAACTGAAGAAGTCTGAAAAAAAATGTAAAAATGGTCTGTTAGGCTGACATAACCAAAAGAAAGCTGAGATAGATGTACTAACATCAGATGAAATAAATTTAGTGGCAAGAAGCAGTACTAAGACAAAAGAATACCTTTCAAAATGATAAAATGAGCAGTATACCATGATGTGACAATTTAAAATTTGTATGCATGTAATAATGGGAGAAATATAACGCATCCATATCATACTGGGGACTTTTGCCCACTTTTCTTACACGGTTGGAAGAAGTAGAAAAAAATGTAATTAAGAATAATAAAGAATTAGATATCTCTATTAGCAAATTTGATCTAATTGATATATATAGCATAATATTAAACTCGATAAACTTAAAATTGAATATGTAATGTGAATGCACATTTAATATTTATTCAAATGCTCTGTATTGTGTCATAGATCAAGCCGTGACAAATTTTCATAATTGAAAATAGAAATAATACATTTTCTGACATCAGTTAAACTGTTAGAAATCATTTACAAAAGGACAACTTAATCCACAAATATTTTAAAATCGAGCAACATATTCCTAAATAATTCACAAGTCGCAAAATTAGTTTCAATGGAAATTAGAAAATATTTTTAGAAAATGAGAATAAGCCGGGAGCGGTGGCTCACGCCTGTAATCCCAGCACTTTGGGAGGCCGAGGCGGGTGATCACGAGGTCAGCAGATCGAGACCATCCTGGCTAACACGGTGAAACCCCGTCTCTACTAAAAATACAAAAAATTAGCTGGGCGTGGTGGCGGGCGCTTGTAGTCCCAGCTACTCGGGAAGCTGAGGCAGGAGAATGGCGTGAACCCAGGGGGGCGGAGCTTGCAGTGAGCCGAGATCGCGCCACTGCACTCCAGCCTGGGGGACGGAGTGAGACTCCGTCTTCAAAAAAAAAAAAAAGAAAGAAAAAGAAAGAAAATGAGAATAAATGTATGACATATTGAAACTCAAGAAAATGGATATCCTTGGTTACACAAAGTCATACAGATG
This sequence comes from Homo sapiens, assembly GCF_000001405.40. Taxonomy (NCBI): domain Eukaryota; kingdom Metazoa; phylum Chordata; class Mammalia; order Primates; family Hominidae; genus Homo; species Homo sapiens. Next base: position 43,015,136 of record NC_000009.12, on the reverse strand, counting down.
GTAAAATGGTCATTGGAGACTCAGAGCGGGGAGGGTGACAGAGGAGGGATGGAAACTTGCCTAGTGGGTACAGGGTACACTATTCACGTGATGACTATATTAAAAGCCCAGACTTCACCACAATACAATAAACCATGTAACCAAAAACCTTTAGCCCTAAAGCTATTGATTTTTTTAAAAAAACTATAGCCTTAATGGTGATATTGCAAAGAATAAAAGATTAAATACCAGTAGTCCAAATACCCACAGGTTGAAAACAGAACATGCTTAAAAATGGTACATTTAAAGAAGCTGAAAACCAAACAGTAAACCAAATCCAATGAAAATAGAAGTCATACAAGAGATATTAATGGAAAATAATACATTCAAAAAGAATCACATAATCAAGGGGATCAAAAAAAAGCCAAAAGTTTTTCCTTGTAATAATGTTAAAATAATCTTTTACAAAATTCAGAGACCAAAAAAAAGTGTGAGAGAGAGAGGGAGGGAGGGAGCACAGTAATATAAAAAGAAAACGTATTACTACTGATCCTACAGAAGAAAGAAATTCAAAGTTATGAGCTACATTATTGCAGTACATATTTGACAGTTTAAATAAAATTTGTAAAAAACTTGAAAAAGTCACTTACCAAAACTGACATGAGAAGACATAAAAATCGGAATATTCCTGTAACTATTTTTAAAATCCATAATAAATAACTTTTTCTCATATATGTACAAAAGTTCTAGGTCCAGGTGTTTCACTAGAGAATTCTCCAAAACATATTAACAGGAAAGAAAATTAACATTACTTACATATTTCCCCTATTGAAAAATTTCTCAGCTTGTTTTATAAGGTTACCGATAATTTTAACATAGAAATGTGACAAGGACATCAGAAGAAAAGACAGTAACAGTCCAGTCTCTCTTACAACCTAGCTAAAAATAATTTAAATATTATACATAAAACTCCGCAATATGTAAACCACAAACATAGGTTGGGCTTGTTACAGGAATGAACGTGTTTTAATATTCAAAATTTTAGAACTGCAGTGTGTTTTTCTTAACAGAATAAAAGCCAAAAATCATATGACATTCTCTATAACTAAAAAAAAAAATCTCCAAAGTCTATGAGTGACAAAACCTATTACCTAAGTTGCAATGATGAAAAAATATTTAAATTATTAAAGGCTACCTCCAAAATGACTGTGATGAACACCTCTGTAATGGCAAAGTGTTGAACATTTTCCTACTGACATTGGGAATGAGAAAATGATACTGACTATGATCAACTTTGTTCAACCTTACACCTGACAAAATTGCTAGTGAGAAAGTAAAGAAGAAATAAAAAATATATAAGAACTTGAGGAGAAGTAATTAAGATATTTTTTCACCAAAAAAATGAACAATTTACAGATAAACTCTTATATGAATACATTTGGTATGTGCCTATAAGATAATATTTGAAATCAATTGCATTTCTTTTTTAAGGAAAGAAGAACTTCTAAAATTGAAATTTGAAAAAAAAAGATACCTCTAACAATAACATCAGAAACATCAATTATACAGGAATTAATTTACTAACTAGAATACAAAATCTGAAAATGAAAACCCAGAAAGCATTATGAGAAAATTGTTGAAAGTCGGGACATTAGTTACTTGGAAAAGGTAGGCAAGTATTATCCTAGGAATGAGTTTAGGAGAATTCTGGGTTGTCAGTAATAGCTAATTCCCTAACCTGCATGGTTATTTATGTTTATTGCAAAATAGTAGCTTACTTTTTTTAATTTTATAATATCCATTGAATGTTTATTATGATATACCCATTGAGATCTATGTTTATGATTTGTATATTTTTTAGGTGTGTGAAACAACAATAAAACATTTATTTAAAAGAAAATTAATGAATAACAGTAAATTTTATTATGACATCAGATGATTTGCACATCCGATAGTTCTTGACATATCATCTATATTTGACTTTCTTGTTTGAATAATTTCTCTAAAAATGTTTTTAGTACCCTGCTTTGGGTAGCAAACCACTTGAGGGAGGATGAGTCTGGGAATATTTTTTAAAATGCTCTCAATGTTCAACAGCATTTTATTTGGATATAAAATTCTACATTATAGCTGTTTTCCTTCTATAATTTTTTTATAAAATATATTTCCATAGGTTATTGGGGAACAGGTGGTGTTTGGTTACATGAGTAAGTTCTTTAGTGGTGATTTGTGAGATTTTGGTGCACCTATCACCCGAGCAGTATACGCTGCACCCTATTTGTAGTCTTTTATCCCTCACCCCCTTCCCACCTTTTCCCCTTGAGTCCCTAAAGTCCATTGTATAATTCTTATGCATTTTCATCCTCATAGCTTAGCTCCCATTTATGAGTGAAAACATACAGTGTTTGATTTTCCATTCCTGAGTTACTTCACTTAGAATAATAGTCTCCAATCTCATCCAGGTTGCTGCAAATGCCATGAATTCATTCCTTTTTATGGCTGAGTAATATTCTATTGTGTGTGTATACACACACACACACACTACAGTGTCTTTATCCACTTGTTGATTTATGGTCATTTGGGTAGGTTCCAGGTTTTTGTAATTGCGAATTGTGCTGCTATAAACACACATGTGCAAGTATCTTTTTCGTGTAATGACTTATTTTCCTCTGGGTAGATATCCAGGAGTAGGATTTCTGGATCAAACGGTAGTTCTACTTTTAGTTCTTTAAGGAATTTCCGCATTGTTTTCCATAGTGGCTGTACGAGTTTACATTCTCACCAGCACTGTAGAAGTGTTCCTTGATCACCGCATCCATGTCAACATCTGCTGTTTTTTGATTTTTTGCTTAGGGCTATTTTTGCAGGAGTAAGATGGTATCGCATTGTGGTTTTGATTTGCATTTCCCTGATCATTAGTGATGTTGAGCAATTTTTCATATGTTTATTGGCCATTATGTATATCTTCTTTGGAGAATTGTCTATTCATGTCCTTAGTTCACTTTTGATGAGATTGTTTTTTTTCTTACTGATTTCTTTGAGTTCCTTGTAGGTTTTGGATATTAGTCTTTTGTCAGATGTATAGATTGTGAAGATTTTCTCTCACTCTGTGGGTTGCCTGTTTACACTGCTGACCATTCCTTCAGCCTTGCAAAGGCTTTTTAGTTTAATTATTTCCCACCTATTTATCTTTGTTTTTATTGCATTTGCTTTTGGGTTCTTGTCATGAAATCCTTTCCTAAGCCAATGTCTAGAAGTGTGTTTCCAATGTTATCTTCTACAATTTTTACAGTTTCAGGTCTTAGATTCATTTATTTATTTGTTTATTTATTTTTGAGATAGAGTCTTAGAGTCTTGCTGTAGCCCCAGGCTGGAGTGCAGTGGTGCAATCTCAGCTCACTGTAACCTCTGCCTCCTGGGTTCAAGCGAGTCTCCTGCCTCAGCCTCCCAAGCTGGGATTACAGGCACATGCCACCACACCTGGTTTACTTCTGTATTTTTTTAGTAGAGATGGGGTTTTGCCATGTTGGCCAGGCAGGTCTTGAACCTTAGGTGATCCGCATGTCTCAGCCTCCCGAAGTGCTGAGATTACAGGCGTGAGCCACAGCGCCCAGCCAGATTTAATTTCTTAATCCATTTTGAGTTGATTTTTGCAGAAGGTGAGAGACGAGGATCCAGTTTCATTTCCTACGTGTAGCTAGCCAACTATTCCAGCACAATTTGTTGAATAGGGTGTCTTTTCCCCACTTTGTGTTATTGTTTGCTTAGTCAAAGATCAGTTGGCTGTTAGGTGTTTGGGTTGATTTCTGGTTTCTTTTTTAATATGCCATTACCTTCTTGCAATCCAGTTGCAGTAAAAGTTTGATAGAATGCTTTGGTCCTCTGCAGGTGACTATTTATTCTCGGTTATTATTATCTTATAGTTAGAATTTTGTTTTGGCTTAACCGAATTGGCTTAGAAACAGAAGGCACATTCTTTTCAAGAGCATATAGGATATTTTACAAAATAAAACAACCATATGCTGGCTGTATAGCAAGTCACAGTCAATTTCAGGGAATTTAAATCATTCAGATTATGTCCTCTGGCCAAAACATCTGGAGAAAAGCACCATATTTTGTTTCTTTGTTTAAAATTCGGTAGAGCATATATGTATAATTTCTGTTATTTCTGATAAATGTAAGATAGTGTTAAAGTGGTTTAGTACTTCTTTTCTGTCCTCCTTGCACAGTCACCCTTACTGTTTTTGGATTTCTTGTGGTTTGTGTTGTGACACAAGCCTAACTTTTCCTCAGGTTTTAAAGCCTGCTACTTGTTTCTGAAGTACTGAGTCATTGCTCAAGCGAATATTTTAATATATATATCCATATCTTATCATTCCACCAAATTTAGATAGTTAAAAATTTTCAAAGATGGCATTGATACATTTCTTCCAGTAGTTACATTTATTATGCCTTAGAAAGTAATAAGAAAAGGACTAAAAAACAGACTGGGATTTGGCAATTCAGGAATCAAATAATTATGTTTTAAAAAGATATTGTCGATTCTCCTGCCTCAGCCTCCTGAGTAGCTGGGACTACAGGCGCCTGCCACCACGCCCGGCTAATTTTTTGTATTTTTAGTAGAGACGGGGTTTCACCGTGTTAGCCAGGATGGTCTCGATCTCCTGACCTCGTGATCCACCCGCCTCAGCTTCCCAAAGTGCTGGGATTACAGGCGTGAGCCACTGCACCTAGCAGAGCTTACAGTGAGCCAAGATCGCGCCACTGCATTCCAACCTGGGCAATAGAGCGAGACTCCATCTCAAAAAAAAAAAAAAAGAAATAAAAATAAATAAAAAGACATTGTCTAAAGAAATGTAGACAAGCATGACATTTGTCACTACAATGCTTATTCTTCACAATTTAGACATTGATTAGGTAAGGGTTATGAGAGCAGGAATGAAATAGAGACAAATTAAAATAATATGAATGTAAACTTAAGGTTGACTGTAGATTTCCAAACCAAAGAAACTGTTACTTATTATAATGAAAAATGAAGAAAAGGTGAAAATTGTGAGTGAAGTGAATTTACAATAGACGAAAACACTGAGCCAAGGGAATGTCTCCCGGACTCAAAATAATGAAATAAAATGAGCCAGTGAATATAACAGTGAAAACTTCAAAAATTTGAAGCAGAACTGTAAATCTGCAATGTCACAGAAGACAAAGGCTTCCATGAGTATTGGCTATAGCAAATAAGCAATTACTTATGAACGTAAAGAATAACTGACTTGGGAAAGTAATGACTATTATTTCCTAGTTCCTGAATATTTCTGACAAGAAAAGCAATAATTTGGATCAACCGTTATATTTTGATAAATACTTTACTTTCTAATTCTACATATTTCTGTATTTCAATTTAGGTGGGATGGCTATAGTAATTTTTAAATTACCTATTATTTCCTTTCTATCTAGTTGAATTGTTTTTGAAGTCAAAGTCAAACCTCTTTTGACTTTATGTATGCCATCTAGTTCTTACTGAGGAGCATCAGCATGCTGCTGAAACCTCTATTTAAATTACCTATTTTTAAAGTTTTTCTAAAATCCTTTCATGAATATTATTTCTTTTACTAGAAGTAAAAGAAATATGTAGAAGTGTAGAAGTGTTACTACATCACACTTATGTAGAAGTGTTACTACATCACACTTCTCAAAAAATTATATACCAAGAAATACAGCTGGGCACATGCACAAAGCAATGCAGTAGTATCAAGGAAGGAAATTGAGGAAGAAATACATATATCTAAAACAATCCTTCATTAAACCAAGATAATTAAAAGATAGACTAAATTTAATGAAATTTTAAAGTCACATATTACTAGATGATGACTGGAAAAGAAAACGTTTTGAAAAATAAAGACTCATAATTTTGAACTACTTTATATTGAATTAGAAGTTCGGTTAACAATAACCAACCAAGTAAATTTTAGTAATTGAAATGAAGTACCAGAAGGAATAAGTCAAGAAGGAAAGCAGAGAAAATTTAGGATAATTAAAGAAAATTATGATTCAAAGTTAAATAAAATTTAGGCATTGAGTCTATGTAAATGGAATAGAATTAAATAGTAAAGAGAACAGAATGTAAGCAATAACAGGTAAAACAGGCACAAGGCCGGTCGCGATGGCTCACGCCTGTAATCCCAGCACTTTGGGAGGCCAAGGCAGGCATATCACGAGGTTGGGAGTTCGAGACCAGCCTGGCCAACATGGTGAAACCCCATCTCAACTAAAAATACAAAAATTAGTCGGGCACGGTGGCACGAGCCTGTAATCCCCACTACTGTGGAGGCTGAAGCAGGAGAATCACTTGAACTAGGGAGTGGAGTCTGAGGTTGCAGTGAACCGAGATTGTGCCACTGCACCCCAGCCTGGATACAGAGTGAGATTTCATCTAAAAAAAAAAAGTAGCTTAATGTTATATTTTAATATCAAATGGAAGATACAGAGAAGAAGGATTTTTTTAAAGAAAAAATAGTTTTATGAGACCTCTTTATAGCCCACTTACAGAGTAAATATGTCAAAGAAAAGTTTGCCATTTGGTTGTTTTTATGTTTTGGTCCTATTGTTCAACACGAAAAAGGAAAATAACATTTGCACAAAACAATTGTACAAGTCATTTTACATGAAAATTCAAATTATAGTTACCAATTGGCTTTTACTTACAGAAAAAGAAGTTTAGAGTAGTATAAAGTTTTGATAATATGGGAATATAACTGTAAGTAAATGTGTTGGTTAAGCTCTATAGAAGTGGTTCATCCTTTGAGAATGTCAATAAATGCTCCAGGAAGAACTTTTTTATTTAGGAAGATAAAATATAAATAAACTAAAATACTAAAATATGAACTAAAAACAAAAGTGTGAAACAACTGAAAAGTTGAAAGGAGTAGATTAGTAAGTGGAGAGGGAGGCAATTTGATGGGGATATTTGAAAAAGTTGGAGGACACATGGATTGAGAGAAAGAAAACCCAGTTTGGAGGAAAACTTTAAAAACACTTGAAAACCACATAGAAAACACACAAGAAAAATACGAAAGAAAATATAAAACCACAACTGAGAACTATAACTGAAATTATAATCATTTTTCACAATATAATAATATATGTTTTTACCAACCCTTGGAATAAAGTTTTTTAAAATTTGAATTTATTTATATAGAGAATAATACACAACCTTACAACAAAATATATAATTTAAAAATCCTACCTATTTGATTTGAAAGACTTGTAGAAATTAACAAAATTATTACATAGGTTTGACTTCTCATATTTTTTACTTAACATTAAACTCAATTATTTTCTAACAGTTTTGTACATCAAAAGTCCAGGCAGACTCCACCGGTTTTTTTACTTAGGAACTCACAGGGTGATACTGAAGATATGGCTAACTTTAAGTTTTTATCTGGAAACTAGGGGAAAAGTCACCTCTAAGCTCATTCAGGTTGTTGGAAGAATTCAGTTTCTTGTGATTGTAGCACTGAGGCTCACATTTCCTCTGGATGTCCACTTGGGATTGCACAAGCTGCTAGAAGGCACCCTTTGGTTCTTGCATGTGGCCCCTTTCTGTCTTCAAAGGCAGCAACAATACACTGAACCCTTCTTGTGATTCAAATAACTTTGACTTCTCGGGATGCAAGCCAGGTAAGACTCCTTTTTTCCTTCTTTTAACTTTTATTTCAGGTTCAGTGGTACATGTGCAGATTTGTTATATAGGTAAACTCGTGTCACGAGGCTGTGGTATATAGAACATTTCATCATCCAGGTACTAAGCATAGTACCCAGTATGTATTCTTTCTAAATCCTCTCTCTCCTTCTGCCTTCCACCTTCTAGAAGGCCCCAGTGTTGGTTGTTTCTGTCCATGTGTTCTCCTTATTTAGCTCCCACTTATAAGTGAGAACATGCAGTCTTTGGTTTTCTGTTCCCGCATTAGTTTGCTAAGAATAATGGTCTCCAGTTCCATCCATCTTGCTGCAAAGGACATGATTCCATTCTTTTTATGGCTGCATATATTCCATGGTGTATATGTACCACATTTTCCTTATCCAATATACTGTTGATGGGCCTTTAGGTTGATCCATGTATTTGTTATTTTGAATAGTGCTGCAATGGACATATGTGTGCATGTATCTTTATGGTAGAACAATTTGTTTTCTTTTGAATATATATCCAGTAATGGTGTTGGGTCAAATGGTAATTGCGTTTTTAGTTCTTTGAGGAATCACTACACTGCGTTCCACAATAGCTGAACTAATTTACACACCCACCAGCAGTGTGTAAGTGTTCCCTTTTCTCTACCACCTTGCCAAAATCTGTTGCTTTCTGATTTTTTAATAATAGCCATTCTGACTGGTGTGAAATGGTATCTTGCTGTGGTTTTGATTTGCATTTATCTAATGAGTGGATGTTAAGGTTTTTACATATGCTTGTTGGCAGCATGTATGTCTTCTTTTGAAAAGTGTCTGTGCATGTCCTTTATCCACTTTTTAATTAGGTTGTTTTTATTTTTATTTTTTGGCTTGTTAATTGGTTTAAGTTCCTTATAGATTCTAGATATTAGACTTTTTTCAGAAGGCTACTTCGCAAAAATTTTCCCCCATTCTTTAGGTTGTCTGTTTACTCTGCTGACAATTTCTTTTGCAGTGCAGAAACTCTTTAGTTTCATTAGATCCCATTTGTCAGTTTTTGCTTTTGTTGCGATTGCTTTTAGCACGTTCATCATGGAATCTTTGCCAGTTCCTATATCCAGAATGGCATTTCCTAGGATATCTTCCAGAGTTTTTATAGTTTTGGGTTTCACATTTAAGTATTTAATTCATGATGAGTTGATTTTTATATATGGTATAAGGAAGGAGTGCAGTTTCAATCTTCTTGCATATGACTAATCAGATATCCCATCACACTTATTGAATGGGAAGTTCTTTCTTTATTGCTTGTTTTTGTTGGTTTTGTTGAAAATTAGATGGCTGTAGATGTGTGGCATTATTTCTGGGCTCTCTATTCTGTTCCATTGTTCTATGTGTCTGTTTTTGTACTAGTGTTATGCTACTTGGGTTACTGTGGCCCTGTAGAAGAGTTTGAAGTCATATAATGTGATGGCTTCAGTTTTGTTCTTTTTGCTTAAGATTGCCTTGGCTATCCAGGGTCTTTTTTGAGGGCTAGGTGAATTTTAAAAATAGTTTTTTTCTAGTTCTGTGAAGAATGTTGTTGGTAGTTCTATAGCAATAGCATTGAATCTGTAAATTGCTTTGGGCAGTATGGTCATTTGAATGCCTAAATTTATTGAAGGTTATTTAACATGTAGCAGTGTTGAATGCATCTATTGTGATAATCATGTGGTTTTTGCTTTTTATGCATCTATTGAGATAATCATGTGGTTTTTGTCTTTAGTTTACATGATTAATCACATTTATTGATTTGCATATATTGAACCAACCTTTCGTCTTTGGGATAAGGTCTACTTGATCATGATGAATTAGCTTTTTGATGTCCTGCTGCATTCTGTTCACTAGTATTTTGTTGAGGATTGTTGCATCTATGTTCATCAAGGATATTGGCCTGAAGTTTTTTTTTATTTTTTTATTTTATTTTTTATTTTGCTGTTTCTCTGCCAGGTTTTCATATGAAGATGATGCTGGTCTCATAGAGGATGATGCTAGTCTCATAGAATGAGATTGAGAGGAGTCCCTCTTCTTCAATTTTTTGGAATAGTTTCGGTAGGATTTGTACCAGCTATTCTTTGAATATCTACTAGAATTCAGCTGTGAATCCATCTAGTCCTTGGCATTTTTTTTTTGGTAGGCTATTTATTACTGATTCAGTTTTGAAGCTCATTATTGGTCTGTTCAAGGATCAATTTCTTCCTGCTTCCATCTTGAGTGGATGTATGTGTCCAGGAATTTATCAATTTTTCCTACATTTTCTAGTTTGTGTACATAGAGGCGTTTAAAGTAGTTTACGGTGGTTATTTTTTTTTTCTGTGGGATCAGTGGTAACATCTTCTTTGTCATTTCTGATAGTATTTATTTGGAGCTTCTCCTTTTCTTCAAAGTCTAGGTATCCATATATCTATTTATTGATTTTTTCAATGATCCAACTCTTGGATTTGTTCATCTTTTTATTTTTTTTTTTTATGTCTCGAACTCCTTCATATCAGCTCTGATTTTTGTTATTTCTTTTCTTCCGCTAGTTTTGAGGTTTGTTTGCTTTTGCTCCTCTGGTACTTCTAGTTGTAATGCTGGGTTTTTAGTTTGATATCTATCATTTTGATGTGAGCATTTAGGACTACAAATATCCCTCTGAATACCACTTTAGCTGTGTCCCAGAGATTCTTGCTTGTTTTATCTTTTTGTTATTTTCAAAGAATGTCTTGATTTCTTCCTTAATTTTATTGTTCACCCAAAAGTCACTTAGGAGCAGGTTGTTTAATTTCCATGCAATTGTATGGTTTTGAGTGATTTTCTTTGTACTGAATTCTGTTTTTATTGCACTGGGTTTTTTTTTGTTTTTTTTATTATTATTATACTTTAAGTTTTAGGGTACATGTGCACAATGTGCAGGTTAGTTACATATGTATACATGTGCCATGCTGGTGTGCTGCACCCATTAACTCGTCATTTAGCATTAGGTATATCTCCTAATGCTATCCCTGCCCCCTCCCCCCACCCCACAACAGGCCCCAGTGCGTGATGTTCCCCTTCCTGTGTCCATGAGTTCTCATTGTTCAATTCCCATCTATGAGTGAGAACATGCGGTGTTTGGGTTTTTGTCCTTGCAATAGTTTACTGAGAATGACGATTTCCAATTTCATCCATGTCCCTAAAAAGGACATGACCTCATTATTTTTTATGGCTGCATAGTATTCCATGGTGTATATGTGCCACATTTTTTATTGCACTGTTGTCTGAGAGTGTCGTTTGTATGATTTCAGTGTTTTTTTTTTTAAATTTGCTGAAGATTGGTTTATGTCTGATTGTGTGTTCCATTTTACAGTATGTGTCATGTGGTAATGAGAAGAAAGTATATTTTGTCATTTTTGGATAGAGCGTTCTGTAGAAGTCTATTAGGTCCATTTGATCAAGTATTGAGTTCAAGTTCTGAATATCTTCATTAATTTTCTTCCTTAATGATCTGTCTAATACTGTTAGTAGGGTGTTGAAGTCTTCCACTATTATTTTGTAGAAATCTAAGTCTCTTTGTAGGTCTCTAAGAACTTGTTTTACAAATCTATGTGCTCCTGTGTTGGGTGCATGTATATTTAGGATAATTAGGTCTTTTTGTTTAATTCAACCTTTTACCATTATGTAATGACCTTCCTTGTGTTTGTTGGGTTTTGTTGGTTCAAAGTCTGTTTTGTCTGAAATTAGGATTGCCACCTCTGCTTTTTTATGTTCTCCTTTCGCATGGTAGATTTTTTTTCCATCCATTCATTTTGAGCCTATGGGTGTCATTGCATGTAGGATGGGGCTCTTAAATTCAGTATACCATTGGGTCTTTTTCTTTATCCAGCTTGCCACTCTGCCTTTTCTTTGAGGCATTTAGGCCATTTACATTCAAAGTTATTATTGATATATGTGGATTTGATCCTCTCATCCTGTTCTTAGCTGATTATTATGCAGACTGGTTTGTGTGGTTGCTTTATAGTGTCACTGGTCTGTGTACTTAAAGTTGTTTTTGTAGTGGCTGATAACAGTCTTTCCTTTCCATATTTACTACTCCTTTCAGGAACTCTTGTAAGGCAGTCTGGTGGTAATGAATTCCCTCTGAATGTGTTTGTTTGAAAAGATCTTATTTCTCCTTCACTTATGAAGCTTAGTTTGGCTCCATCTGAAATTCTTGGATGAAGATTTTTTTTCTTTAATAATGTTGAATATAGACCCCCAATCTCTTCTGGCTTGTAGGATTTCTGCTGAAATTTCTGCTTTTAGCCTGATGGGGTGCCCCTTGTAGGTGATCTGCCTTTTTTCATTAGCTTACTTTATCACTTTTTCATTCATTTTGGCCTTGGAGAATCTGATGATTATGTGTCTTGGGGATGGACTTCTTTTTTAGCATCCTGTAAAGGTTCTCTATATTCTTTGAATTTGAATGTTGGCCTTTCTAGAGAGGTTGACGAAGTTTTCATAGATGATATCCTGAAATATGTTTTCTAAGTTGGTTGCTTTCTCCCCATGCGTACAGCACACCACAGCCACCATTTAGAGAAAAGCCCCATTTCTTGCTGCTATGGGCCCTTGACCCCCTGTTCCCCAACAAGCAGAGCCTCTAGCTCAGGCAAGCAGTGCAGCTGCTTCACCCTCTGGCTGAACACTCCCAGTAGCAGCAGCTCCACATTTCTCAGAGATGGAGCTCCCAGGGGCAACCAAAAGTCCCTCTGCCACTGCCTCTCCAGTTTAACTTCCCTGTTTACCCTTGAACTAGGGAAGGAGCAAAGACTCCGAGTGCTTTATCCCGCAAGTTGTAGTTGCTCTAAGGAGAGGAGACCAGTCTGTCTCCCACGGGTCCTACCCACATTCTCTGCTAGTCACCAGACAGGATCCCCCCAGCGTGGGCTCACAGTGCAGCTGCCCCATGCCAGGCTGATCATGCTAATTGATTGCAGTTCTGCATCTTTCTGCAATGGAGCCCCAAGTGACAAGAAAAGACGTTGAGCCACAGGGTCTCCTCTGCTGCTTCCAAGCTGGGGAAGTAACATAAAGCCTATGATCATTTCAGAACTATGGTGTGCAGCCTGGATGCACCAAGCCAAGATCTGCAGTGAGCACTCAAGTGGGAGAGGAGCCTACACTGACTTTCAAAACATTGAGAGGAAGCATAGCTGCAACCCATGAGGAAATACGGAGGAGCCACATGACTGAGCAGGAGCCTACACAGTGACCATTACACTTCAGCACCAGCTACTAGATCACACCCCAAAACTTCAACACCAATAATACTTTGCTATCATACCCTGCTGTGAAAAGAAAGACAAGAATTTAGCTACAAATAAAGGCCCTAAACAAAGCCTTAGGACTCTGAAAACATGGAAAGAAGTCTACTGACTGTACTCAATTTACACTGCAATTAAAGGAACACCCACACACACACACACAGATGAGAAAGAACCTATGCAAGATCTCTGGCAACTCAAAAGGCCAGCATGTCTTCTTTCCTCCCAAAGATCACACTGGTTCCCCAGCAAGGGTTCTTAACTAGGCTGAGATGGCTGAAATGACATAAATTGATTTCAGAATATAGATAGGAACAAAGATCATTGAAATTCGGGGGCACATCGAAACCTAATTCAAGGAAGCTAAGTGTATTAGTCTGTTATCACCCTGCTATAAAGAACTTCTGAGACTGGGTAATTTATAAAGGAAAAAGATTTAATTGACTCATAGTTCTGAATTGCTGGGGAGGCCTCAGAAAACTTATAATCATAGCTGAAGGTGAAGGAGAAGCAAGTAACTTCTTCACAGGGTGGCAGAAGAGAGAGAGAGTCAAGGGGGACAGTCACTTTTAAACCATCAGATCTCATGAGAACTCACTCACTATCATGAGAACAGCACGGGGGAACCACCCCCATGATCCAATCACCTCCCACCAGGTTCCTCTCTCAACACATGGGGATTACAGTTCCAGATAAGATTTGAATGGGAACACAGAGCCAAACCATATCACTAAGGAACAAACACAAAAAATAATTCAGGTGCTGATCGGTGAAATAGCCAGTATAAAACAGAACCAAATTGACTGGCTAGAGTTGGAAAACACACCACAAGAATTTCATAATGCAATCACAAGTATTAACAACAGAATGGACCAAGTTGAGGAAAGGACCTCAGAGCTTGAAAACTGGCTCTCAGGAATAAGACAGTCGGGCAAAAATAAATAAAATTTTACAGAGCTCATTGTATTAGATTAGGTACACTTGGATAATCTTCCTGTTTTCACATCAACTGATTATTAACATTAATTACATCTGCGCAATCCATTTTGCCATGTAATACAATATAATCATCAAAGTAACACTGGGAGGCTAAGGTCATGACCATCTAATATTCTGTATACCACACAATTGTATTGCTTTCTGAGGTCATTGAACACTTTCAGAATTCATGAAAGTTGGATACTCACTATAAATAAGATAGATATGGCTAGCAAGAAGAAAAATATAGGGATTCTATACTTAAAAGATACAGCTATTTCCATTTATATAATTGTCACAATAAAAATTTAAATGTGAATAAGTGAATAACAAGTATAGAAAGTTTAGCAAAATAATGAGAATTAGATATATAAATGAATTTTTAAGATAGTCTCAGAAAAAGTGTAATATTTGTCATTTATCCTGAAATGTCAAAAATTTTCCTAAGCAGAACTACTCACCACCAATTTCTCAGTTTCATCCCTGAAAAAAAAATCATTCAAGTGGATTTATTTTGGCAAAGTGAAACTGTGAATTGCTTGGCTCCAGAACAGCTGCCCATACTCAGCAGGACTGCATTCCCACACTCCATTCACCCTTACCCCATCCCTTCCAGGAACACTTGGACTAGGATCCAGCTCTAGATCTGCAAGAAGTTGTGTTCCAGCTCTTAAATCATTAGTAGGACCAGATTTTACTCAAAAAACTATTCTAGCATTTGAAATTATTTCCACTGCTTTGTTGCTTACACTGAAATCGTCCCTCAAAAAATATAAGAAATAGAATATGAGCCCTGCTTATTCTTTAGGACAAAATTTAGGATGGTGTATCTAATAAATGGATTGTAATTATGAAGATGGTTTTACATTTGTCCCTAGATTCTTCTGTTTTTCTCAGGCCTCTATGAATCTTTCTCTCTGAGAGATCCCGACTTGCTGAGAGCAAGAACTATTGAAAGGAAATGAAGTAAATAACTGATGGTTGCCCATGGCAATTAGGAAAATAAAGAGCAAACTTCCCTCTTTGAATATTACTTAGTGTCAAGACTTAATTATACTCATTGGTTATACAAGTCTAAATATTTGGGCACTTGTATTTTTGTATTTGGGCATATGATATTACAAAATAATTTTGAGAGCTAAGAGACATACGTATGTATTTTAGAACTCCAATAGCAGTAACTTTCTCAGTAGCATATAGTTTTCCAATCTGTTGGAAAAAGCTTGGCTTCAACTAGGAGAGATAAGTAATAGAGCTAGAGTTTCAATTCTGTTCAATATGAATAATAATATTTCACCAGTAAAAATTAAATATGTATAATCATGTGACACTTAGTAATACTGATATGATCTGAGAAATGCATTATTAGGCAATTTTGTCATTATGCAAACATCATAGATGTTTACAAAACCTTGACAACATAGTCTGCTACATATCTAGGCTACATGAGATATAGCCTATTGCTCCTAGGCTACACACCTGTACAGCGTGTGACTATACTGAACATGTAGGCAATTGTAACATAACGGCAAGTATTTGTGTATTTAAACGTATCTAAACATAGAATAGGTATAGTAAAAGTACAGCGTAAAAGATGGAAAATGTTACGTCTATATTGGGAACTTACCATAAATGGAGCTTGAAGACTAAAAGTTACTCTGGATAAGTCAGTGAGTGAATGACGAGTGAATGTGAAACCCTAGGACATTACCGTATATGACTGTGGATTTTATAAAAATGATACACTTAAGGACCATGAAATTAACATTATCTTACTATACCTTTTAATCTAATATATTTTAACGCTTTTATATGTTTCAACGCTTTGATTTTTTATAATAACATTTAGCTTAAAACACAAACACATTGTGCAGCTATACAAAAATATCATCTTTTATAGCTCTGTTTTATAAGATTTTTTCCTTTTTCAGCTTTGTACACCTTTTTGTTAAAAAGTAAAACGCAAACACACACATTAGCCTAGGCCTACACACGATCAGGATCATCGATATAATTGTGTTTTACCTTCACACCTCATCCCACTGGAAGGTCTTCAGGGGCAATAACATGCATGGACCTGTAGTCTTCTGTGATAACAATGCCTTCTTCTAAAATATCTCCTGAAGGACCTGCCTGAGACAGTCTTACAGATAATTTTTTTTAATAAATAAGAGTATACCCTAAGATAACATTAAATAGTAAAGTATATACATAAATGAGTAACATAGTAATTTATTATCATTATCAAGTATTATGTGTTGTACATAATTATATGCACTATTCTTGTCTATGATTGGCAGCACGATAGGTTTGTTTATATCAGCATCACCAAATGCACTTGAGTAATGCATTGAGCTTTGAAGTTATAATGGCTATTATGTCACTACATGGAAGATATTTTTCAGCTCCATTAGAATCTTATGGGACCACTATTTTAAATGCAGTCTGTCATTGACCAAAGCATTATTATGTGGGGCATGACTGTAAACGTTTCAAAGAAATTGGTTTTCCCTTTCATTCTATTACTGTTCCACCACTAGCTGTTTTGTACGTTTCTCTTTCTGTGCTGTTCCTTAAATGTAGAACTCCTCTAAATGTATTTCTTTTATTTATCCTGTCCCAGAACAATCTCATTAACATTCCTTGGAAATGTTTCCTCTCATCAGGAATGCTCTTCTGAGGCCTGTACCTGAATGACCATTTGTCCCCATTAAGACTCATTTGGGGGCAAGTAACATAAATGGAAAAAAAAAGTAGACTAAAGTAACTAAGCCCAAGGGTAGTATGATTTAAGCTAAAGGTGATTTCAGGCTCCAAGTAAAGTAATCAGGGTTCAGCTTATCTCCATTTGTTATCTCTTCTTCTAGTGGGTTGGACCCATTTTCAAAGAATCCCTTCCCTTACATAGCAGTCCATATAGAATCTCACTTCAAATACAGTTTAAAGAAAAAAAAAATTATCTTCAAAGGCAAAAGCAAAGTCTGGAACCAGATTTCCATTGACCCAGCCTGGATGCTGGTATTGGATGCTCTATTACGCTTAAGTGAGATAAATAGCCATTTCTGGCCCTCTTTTTATTTGTTTACAATGCCCCACTTTGGAGAAATGCTGGAGTGCATTTAAGAAGGTTCTATTCATGAATAGAAGAATCTCAGTTGTATAGAAAATGATTTATTTGAAATTACCTGCTATAAAAACTTCCCAGGCTCATTGCTTTTTGGATCAACTCTGTCTCTTCTACTTCCTTGTACTGCTGTCTGGAAGAACCCTGGCTCACAATGGTGCAGAACTTTTTATCCTGATATCTGAAGTAAATTGATCTGAGTTTATATTAGGTTGGATCTTAGTGCCCATATTATCTACTGGGAGTTTCCCAGCCTGGTATGATGGAGCTTAGAAGAGAGTAAATTAGCTTTTACAAGTCAGTCTCTCAATATTTATTTAGTGAGTGAGTGGACAAATGAATGAATATTTCTTGGAGGTATTATTCATTTTGTGTTCCCTTCATACTTCAAATTATTTTTTACCTTTAGTAAGAAATGGATACTGACATGGCTTTAATGAATCTCCTCCAAAATTCAAGTGTTGCCAATGTGATAGTCCTAAGAGGTCAGGCCTTTAAGAGGTGTTTAGGCCATGAGAGATCCTCCCTCATGAATGGGATGAGGTGGGTCTTGACAGAGAGAGTTGGTTCTCTCTTGCCCCTTCCACCTTCCACCATGTGAGGATGCATCAAGAAGACCTCAGAGCCTGGTATCTTGATCTAGGACTTCCTAGCCACCAGAATGGTAAGAAGTAAATTTCTGTTCTTTATAAATTACTCAATCTATGGTATTCTGTTTTAGAAGCACAAAATGGCCTAAGACACGTAATTTTACCCTTTCTAAATCCAAATTGAATGCAATTTTATCATAAAGTTTTATCATTTCTCTAATAAAAATGTTTTTAAATTTTTTGAAAGTCCACAAATGCATATATATTTACATGCATATCTATATGAAGGTCCAACTTTGATTCTGCTTTGTTTTGGCTTTCTTTTTTGTATTACTTTTCTCCAAAGAGTAAAATACACACTTGTTTTATTCTCTTATTCCTACAACACCTAACATAATTCTTACTAAAAAACATTATTTAATGAAGAAAATTATTATATAATACATTTTGTTGATACATTATTTTCTACATATTATGTGTCAATTTTGTTCCTTACTATCCTCAGCTGGAATCCATTTGAAGAGACAGAACTGTATTGTGTAGATTCAAGCAATACATAGTAGGATACCATACATACTGTAGGGTTTGGCTCTGTGTCCCCACCCAAATATCACCTTGAATTGTAATCTCCATAATCCTCATGTGTCAAGAGCAGGACCAGATGGAAGTAAGTAGATCATGAAGGTGGTTTCCCCCATGCTGTTCTCATTATAGTGAGCGAGTTATCTTGAGATTTGATGGTTTTATAAGCATCTGACATTTCCCCTGGTTGCACTCATTGAGTCTTGCCACCCTGTGAAGAAGGTACCTGCTTCTCTTGCATTCTGCCATGATTGTAAGTTTTCTGAGGCCTCCCCAGAACTGTGAGTCAATTAAACCTATTTTCTTTATAGATTACTCGGTCTCCAGTCTTGGGTATGTCTTCATGGCAGTGTGAGAATGAACTAATACTCATATAATGGATACTAACAAGTAAATCTTTATTTACCACTTATTAGAAGCTTGACTTAACCAATTATCAAATTTTATATAAGCTTTAATGTTATTGGGAAATATCCTTTTCCTGTAAAAATAAATGAGATTACCTACCTGAAGTACCTTAGGCCTTTCTAATATTTTCAATTTTCAGTAAATGTTTATTTTTATGTATCTATAGATATCTTGAATATGTATTGTAAATATTATATGTATGTAGAATATATGTATTCTAGTATTTCTTCCAGATAGCACTTAAAAACCAGTGTTTGCATTTTTGCATGTGAGCAAGCAATTCCTACTTACAATGATGGAAGAAATAGATACCCTGGAAGAAGGAAAATTAAATTCATGCTTTCAAAGCATCCTTCCCAACAAATCCAATTCATCTTTTGCACAGAAGGAATAATTAGATGAAGATATATTTTAAGTCAGATTGTTAGTATTTTGGCCACATGGCTACATCAGAAGTGTAGTTTAGAATTCTGTTCATTTTTATTTTTTTAAATCAAAACACTCATTGAACTGTACTTAATTTTTAAATGCAAAATACATAAAACTCTTGCATTTCTTGGAAACAAATTCTCTTTATTCTACTAATAAATAAACATTGTTACCACCATTGAGGCAAATGACAGAAATTCTTACAATTGATTATCCTATATGGGTATGAAAACTTTAACATGCTCCTCTAAGTAACTGAATACTACAGAGTGATTTTGGATCAATGTGGCCTTATTTTGAAAATAACATACAACACCATTGAGTGTTTTATGATTTATCTTCATTTTAACTCAATCTTTGGGATATATGAAGGCAGAAGATAAAATGTGTCATGTATTATATTTTCTGAAGTTATTAATATATATTTAGCAAAAGGTAAAATAGCACAGATATACCAACCAAATTTTCATGTGAAGAAAATATTTTATATAAATAATATTTCTTCTTTTATATGAAATCGCTGCAAAAATGAGAAAGCTACTTTTTATATTCCCCAATGAATATTCCCCAGTCCTGTGATTCCAAGTTCAGAAAAATTTAGAAAATTATGGCCAAGAAATTTAGTAGACTGAATGTACTTTCACTTTCTGGAATGTACTTGTAACCTTACATTCACAGTTAGAAATTTGCTTGAATGAAAAATTGTTCAAAGTAATTATTATCTTGTATTTGGCTTCTCTGGGTACCTGTGTGGCTTTTATTTCTAAATAAAAAAACAAAACATGCACAATGTAAATATTTTTAGTTTGTAAAATTTTCTTTCCAATTACATATTTTGAGATGTTGTATATACTGTAAACATTTTGAAGTAATTTTGCCCAAATTAAGAAAAAAAATTCATTCATCTTTTTATCTTCTTTTTATTTTGGTTCACTTTTCACCTGGGTATTAATATGGATGTTGCAGAAAGAATAGCTCCTATAAATGATAGGTTGCTGTATGGATCTGCAACAAAACCATCTTTATTTTAC
Organism: Homo sapiens; assembly: GCF_000001405.40. NCBI lineage: Eukaryota > Metazoa > Chordata > Mammalia > Primates > Hominidae > Homo > Homo sapiens. The sequence continues at coordinate 42,995,053 of NC_000009.12, read as the reverse complement.
AGAAAGGTCTCATTACTCTAAAAGAAGGCCAGTGAAGAAATTTATATTGACCTTTTGGCATGACCTTTCTAAACCAACTGTTCCCTAGTACATAAACTAGTGAGTTTACTGCATAGAGACACCCAAAGGAGTAAAACATGAAGTGGGAGACTTTGGCCCTATTAGAAACCTTAGGGCCAGGTTCTGTTCCTTATCACCTATGAGATTTCCCTTGTTAATGATGCTGAGTTGGGCATATTTATTTTTTAGCCATTTCATCAACAACTTTTGCTTATGACTAAGGATGTCATTTCTTGTTCCCATCACATGGTGTTTTAGTACATTCCTGCTGCTTTAACAAAATATCTTACTTAGAGTAATTCATAATTTATAAAAATTCCTTATACATTCTTTATAGATTCTGACAATTCCATGAGTGTCATGAATTTCACTAGGGAAGTGACTTTTCAAAGTGAGCTCTGGACAGGTAGCCATAAGTAAGACTACGGTGGCACGGATATGCTGTGCTTTGATCAGTTGTGTGGTATGCAATTTTTATTATAAATAACACTGAACTCCATATGACAGAAATTACTCATCAACTTTTCTTTTTTTTTTTTGAGACGGAGTCTCGCTCTGTTGCCCAGGCTGGAGTGCAGTGGCGCGATCTCGGCTCACTGAAACCTCCGTCTCCCGGGTTCACGCCATTCTCCTGTCTCAGCCTCTCCGAGTAGCTGGTACTACAGGTGCCCGCCACCACGCCCGGCTAATTTTTTTGTATTTTTAGTAGAGACGGGGTTTCACCATGTTAGCCAGGATGGTCTCGATCTCCTGACCTCGTGATCTGCCCGCCTCCGCCTCCCAAAGTGCTGGGATTAAATTAGATGTAAAATGTTGTTCAGGTTTATTAAATAAAGAAAGAAAAAGATTGTTAACTAGATGTCTTATTTTGTTTTTCTCTGACAACAGCTGTCTTGTAAATTGGTATACTTAGATCATGCACATTTAAAGTAATTATTGGGTGGTAAAAAAGTTGGGCTGGTATTTATTATGTTTATAACTATTTTCTATTCATATCAGTTATTCTTTGCCTCCCAACAATCACTCTTTTTCTTATTTCTATTGTTTTAATTGACACTTAAAATAATCCCATTACATTTCCTCTCCTAGCATGTCAGTTATACTTTAGAACAGTTTTAGTGATTTATGTGAGTTTGCAATACACATTTTTAACTAATCTCAATCTACCTTTAAATAAGACTTTGAATAACTCAACACAAATATCACTTTACAAGAGTGTTACAGACTCAATATTTGTATTCCCCTATTCCCCCAAAATGTGTATGTTGAAACCTAATCCCTATGGTAAGAGTATTTGGAGATGGGTCTGTGGGAAGTGATTAGGTCATGAGGGCAAACTGTTATGGATAGAATTAGTGCCTTTACAAAAGAAACCCTAGAGAGCTAATTTGCTCTTCTGCCACGTGAAAACCCAGTGACCCATCCTCTATGAACAAGCCCTTGCCAGACACTTAATATGCACATGGCTTGACCTGGGACTTTCCAGTCTCAGAACTGAAAACTGCATTTTTGTTGATTATAAGCCACCTGGTGTATGGTATCCTGTTATAAAAGCCTGAGCAAACTAAGATACAAGTAATCCCAATTCCTACCATTATTTATGACACTACTGCCATTTATTGTATTCATTTATATACTATATTCATTCAATACATTGTTACAGTTACTCCTTTTAAACAAAATATTATCTTTTAGGTCAATTAAGAATAAGAAAATAAAACATTTTATTTTAGTTTCATTCATTCCTTCTATGATATTCTTCCTTTCTTTATATAGACCAATTTTTGACCTATACCATTTTTCTTCTCCCTAGGAACTTCTTTGAACATTCCTTGCAAGGCATGTCTACTGACCATAAACTTTCTCAGTTTTTGTTTGTCTGAGAAGGTCTTTATTTCTTCTACACTATTGCAGGATAATTCTATTAGATATAGAAATGTAGGCCAGATGCGATGGCTCACACCTGTAATCCCAGCACTTTGGGAGGCCGAGGCGAGCAGATCACGAGGTCAGGAGATTGAGACCATCCTGGCTAATACAGTGAAATCCCGTCTCTACTAAAAATGCAAAAATAATTAGCCAGGTGTGATGGCATGCGCCTGTAGTCCTAGCTACTTGGGAGGCTGAGGCAGGAGGAATTGCTTGCCCAGGAGGTGGGGGTTGCAGTGAGCCGAGATTACACCACTGCACTCCAGTCTCCAAAAAAAAAAAAAAGAAAAGAAATGTAGATGGTGTGTGTGTCTCTGTGTGTTTCACTTTCAACACTTTAAGTATTTCCCCCCACTCTCTTCTTGCTTTCATCTAATGAAAAACCAACTGTAATTCTTAGCCTTATTTATTTACAGGTAAGTTTTCTTGTTTACCCTTGGCTCCTTTCAGTATGTCTCTCTGTCTTTGATTTTCTTTGGTTTAAAAAATATATACCTAAGTACAGATTTTTGACATTTATTCTGCTTGGTATTCTCTGCACTTCTTGAATCTGTATTCAGTATCTGCTGTTAATTTTGGAAAATTCTTAGCCATTATTACTTTAAATATTTATTTGGATCTGTTCTTCCTTTCTTTACATTCTGGTATTCAGATGTACCAGCTAATATTCCACTAGAAAGAAAATAAAATATAAAATTGAGTAAAATAAAACAAAACAAAATAAAATAAGGAGTAGCAACACAATGCATTAAATTCAATGCAACGGATTAAATATGTTTTGATCTGTTAAAAAATCAATTTGAACAATGATGTGGTTTACAGTTAGTATGCAATATAGAACTCTGAATTTAATTGAGTTTTTATTTTTCTACAGTGGTTTTACAGTAAAAATAATTTGAGTTTAAGTTTGGATTGTTACTTTTAAAAACAGAGCTAATTAGCATTGTTTATTACTTTCTCACCTTAATTTTCTTATATATATGTATATGTGTGTGTGTGTGTATGTATATATATATATATATATATATATATATATATATATATATATAAAGAGATTATAGATCTGTAATGCTTAGCATAAGTCCTGGTAAATTGCATCTATTCAATGAACATTTGTTCTCCCTTTAATTCCTGCAATCTAGATGGTGGTTCATGGATATAGTTGCTCTCTAATTTTTTGAGCATATTAAGGACTTAAAAGCTAATGATGGTGTATTGTTATGTCAAGGCCAGAAGAGCATATCACTTTAAAAAACTGGCAATAGAAACTTCTCTTTAAAAATTGTAAAAGTAAGTAAAGTTTAGAAACCAACCAAGTACGAGCAATGCAATGTTAGCATCTCATTGGTTCACACCAGTGAAAAGTATTTAAGAACAAAGAAATAGTATACTGTACCACACAGAAACTTGCATGCAAATGTTTATTGCATGTGCAGCTATATTCTTACTTACTAAAACTTAGAAGCACCCAGCTTATCCTTTAATAGATAATCATTCCTTAATTAGATAAACAAACTCTGGTATATCCATACAATGACATAATTATCAGGGGTAAAAAAATAAGCCATCCAGTCACGATTAGACATGGAGGAAATTTGAATGCATATTTCTATGTGAAAGAGGCCAGTCTGAAAAGTCTACATATTGTATGAGTCCAAGTATATAATCTTCTAGAAAAGGCGAAACTATAGAGCTAGTGCAAAGTTTAGGCATTACCAGGAGTTGGGCATGTGGGGGATAAGTAGGTGGAGCACAGGGAATTTTTAGGGCAGTGAAATTATTATCTATGATTCTGTAATGGTGGATACATGACATCATGCATTTAGCAAAACCCATAGAACTGTATAATACAAAGAGTGAACCCTAATGTAAACTCTGGTCTTTAGTCAATAAATACATCAATGTTGGCTTCTTAATGCAATTTCATTTTAAAATATAAATTTTCTTATTTTTTCCACATATTTCTTAGGGACAAAATTTTAAATAATTTCTAGCTTCACTGTTTTCTAATGGATAAAAGCATAAATTAAATATGCTTTTATTACTGAGAGGATATGACATTATAACAGATTTATTAATAATCAAGAGTGTATTAACATATTTATATAAGGTAACATTCTGTGGATTTTTGTTTCCAAATAACTCAGAATTGACAAAATAAAAATATAATTATTCAATGATGAATATCCAATGAGCAATATTGATCTATTTCATAAACATTTCATCCTGTCAATCACAGGGATACTCAGTTCAAATACATCAAAAGAAAACATTCTTCAGGTAAATTGAAATTACAATAGTTTCAATTTTTACAAAAGTTTAGATGTTGATAACAGTTTCAGAGCCACTTCTCTGTATAGAAAAGCTTTCTGGGGATGTCATGGTTGTAACTAAAAGCAAAAATACAGATTTATAGATAACAAAATGAAGAGAAATCTGTTATAAATATTGATTGTATGATTATGAGGTCTTTAGAAATTACAAATTATTTTATCAGTATATTTTAAGTGTAGGATATACTTAATTTGAATACTAATATTTATTACATATGAGCTTAATTGTGTCTCTTCAAAAGATACAATGAAGTGCTAAACTCCAGTACCTTAAAATGTGAACTTATTTGATAATAGAGCTATTGCAGATGTCACTAGTTAAGATGAGGTCAGGTGACTGCTGTCCTTATAAGAACTGGGCACAGAGATACAGACATATAGGGAGAATGTCCTGTGATGACAGAGTCACAAACTGATGCAGTTGCATGCCAAAAAATGTGCCAAGAATTGATAACTGGCACCTGAAGACAAGAGGTAAAGAAAGATTCTCTCCTTCAGGTTTCAGAGGGAGCATGGTATTGCTAACATCTTGATTTTGAATTTCTGACCTCCAAAACTGAGAGAATAAGCTTTTGATGTTTTAAGCTACCCAGTTTGTGGTATTTTGTATGACAGTCTTAGAAAATGAATACAAATAGTAAACCATAAGCAAAACTACAAGCATGGAAATTTACCCTAATTCACTTTCTGCATAACACTTATGATTCAAAAATTGATATTATATTTTATATTTTTAATTATCTTTCTCACATAGGAGAACATAAACATCCTGAGGGCAAAATCTTTATTCAGTTTTTATTTTACTCATAACACTTAGAACATCGAGTGGCAATTGATGTGTTTGCTAGTCAGGATATTATTCTGGTGAATACTGTTCATTCTATGTAACAAGAAACCACTGATGTATCAGTAGTTTATGAAAGGTTTAGTTTAACTGATGCTACCTATCCAAAACAGGCAAAGCAGTGGGACTTCCCCTTCCTGCGAGTCAGGTAAAATATTTGATACATGTTTTCATAGCCACAGAGATGGGGGGAAACAGAACATGGCAAAGAATGACTGGACTCTAAAAAGTTTTATATTCTGGATTAGTCAGAATTTCAACAGAAAGCAGTGGGTAAATACAACCAAGAATAATTTGAGGAATGCTTCCATACAAAGGAAGGAGCATGAAAGAATTGTAAGCAATAAATCTGGAACTGGCATTCAGTGAGGATAAAAACAAAACCTGGAAAAAGAAGGAGTAGAAGATCAGACCACCTGGAGAACAAAAGTGACCTTCTGTAAAGAGACACATGTAGGGAAGACAGCCTCATGGGGAAGAGACCAACAGAATAAACACCGTGACCCTTTTCTCCTCTTCCTTTCTGCCTTCTTACAGGGTTCTCCACAGGCTGAACCTAACCTGAAGCCAGAGGGTGAGGGAGACTCCTAATGTATTCGTGAGAAGTCAAAAAAAAAAAAAAAAAAAAAAAAAAAAAAGGCCAATGAGAGTCAGGAAGAGTGGAAAGGGTTGCATTAGAAGATATTTTACACATTACTTTCCTTTTTTTATGTTACCATTATAAAGTGATATATCTAGAAGCAATCTTGCATGTCAATCTTTATCTACATCTCAGATTGTGTAAACTTTATAGCTTACTGTTTCCCTCATGAAAAGGAAAGTATCCCATTGTAAGAGTAAGACAATATACAACTATGTTATATAGTGTTAACTTCTGTTAATTGTTTGTAAGACAAATTATTGGGGTGATTACATGAAATAAGGAGGTCTAAATTAAACTTTCAATGACAGAAAACCAGCAATATATAAGAAACAGAACAAACATTCTTAATGTATTTAATGTATTTCAATCTGTGTATTTAGCATCTACTTATAATTTTTTAAACAATTTAACTCTAGTTTTTAATATAGAGACCATTACGACATTTCTTCTTATATTTTTTAAATTATATTTTATATCATCTTTATCATTAGGATAAGCAGGGGAGAAATGTTGAATATATTGATTTATGTATCTGATATATACACTCATGTGCCACATAATTATGTTTTGGTCAATGACAGACCATATATGTATGATGTTGGCCTCATAAGATTCTAATGGCCCCGAAAAATTTCTATCATCCAGTGATATTGTAAGCCACCCAACATTGTAGCAAAATGTATTCCTAGTACTTGTGGTGATGATGGTATAAACAAATTTGCTCTTCTTTCAGTGATACTAAAGTACACATGCAATTGTGTGCAGTACATAGTATTAGATAATGATAAACTCTGTTACTGGTTTATGTGTTTTATATACTACAATTTTTATCATTAGAATTACCCCTTCTACTTATGGAAAAAAAGTTAAATCTGTGCAATAGCCTCAAGCAAATCTTTCAGGAAGTATTACAGAAAGAACCATCATTACCATAGGAAATAACAACTCCATGAGTGTAACTACCTCTGAAGCCTTTTCAGTGGGACAAGATGTGGAGGTTCAGACAGTAACATTGATTATCCTGACCTCATGTTGACATAGTCTAATGTGTTTGTCTTTTTTTTTGTTTATTTTTACAAGAAAGGTTTACAACATAAACGAAAAAAAAAGAAATACCAAAGTGGTTCCCCAAGACACCAATTTAAAGTGTATATGTGCAGTGCAGGGTTACTGGACCAAGGCACAGTGTAAACAGCGAAATTTTATTTTTTGTTTTATTTTTCCTAAGATGTTCCTTACTCCCAGTTACATAAAAATGTGTATTACAAGCAAACAAAAATTAACAGGAATAGAAATAACTATAAAGTATATTCACATTAAAATCAGCTTTGCTTTATCTATTAAAGGATGTAACACAGTTGTGGCTTTCAGAACCTTGTAACTCCTGGTTCATTGGAAAGCACAGAAATTCTTCAGAGCCTCAAGAGTTGTGTTTAATGCATTATTTAAATAGTGTCCAACCACTAGTTAGATAGCTTAGCACTCAAATAGCCTTTGAAATCTCTGTAGACTCACCTCAATTGAAGAGTCCTGATAATTTACAGAAGTGTGTAGTGCACTAAGAGATCCCTGCTGTACGATGTCTGCCTGTGGAGTGTTTTATGTGTTGATCCACTGGAGTGTGTGTGTGTGTCTGTGTGTACGTGGGTGAGTATGGGTGGGTGTGATTGTGTGTGTGTGTATGTGTTTACATTGTGGTATGTGTCTGTTGGGGTGCCGCCATTAGGGATTTGGAAGAGTGAGGACCATAAACTTGTCAACATTCCTACATGCCTGCTTCATAACAAGTGTACTGAACATGGCCAAAATAACTAAACCAAGTAAACAAATTAGACATTAATTAAATTTAATGCTGGGCAGGAAAGAAGTATTCAAGGCCAGGTAAAATGAAGAAATATAACCAAATGAATGCAATTTTTAGATTGATTCGTAGAATGAGACATGAATATTTTTTAAAATTTGTAATTTCTAATGACTATCAGTATATAAAACTAAGAATTATATGGGTGTCAATTGATTAAAAACTGTACATAAGATTTGAGCTAGTGAAACATCCATATATGAACTTCTATTTCCACTTTTCTGTCTCAAGAATGACTTGTGAAAATGATGTTTTTTTTGAAATTTTACATTCTCATTTTGAAAGAGCTTCACAAAACTTACATGAGAATCTGGATGCTCATAAGAGGTCTGATTTTTTAATGGTATGTTTGTATTTTTGTTATGTACATCAATGTCAAGCATTCATTTCCTGAGCTGTTCTCTACAACACAATTTAACTTGTAATGGACACTCAATAAATGGTCGGTTGGATATTCAAATCAACACCTTAGTTCCATCAATTTTCATTTCATATAAAAATGCCTGATCTTCTATACTCACCAATGAAACAGAGAGCGATGAAGGAGGGAGAGCAGTTGAGACTGAGAGGATGACAAGCAGACCTCATTCTGCAGTGGATTTCCCACACTCTCCACTTCTGAATGCTTGGAAACACTTGCCATGCTTAGAAAATATTGGTATTTCCTAGGCAGCAAATGGGAGTTAAAGAAAGTCCATATTTCTATATTACAATAACTTACACTATAATACACAGACAACATACATTTCTAAGCTATTTCAATTCATAGAAAATGTAGATAAATTTAGGTGAGCAAGGTGTAGGAGAAGGGTTAGTAATCAAGCTGAGTGTGATTGTGAGATTAAATCTAATATTATGCAATTATTGTATAATTGTATCAGTTGATATATCTGTTGAAACAGAAGGTGGGAGAGTTTTGCATGCGCTTCCGAAATGTACTGGATGATGTTAGGAGAGAGGCGGGTCAACGTGGCTAGGCCAGAAGTGTTTACTAATTGAGGCTTAGGAAAGTTAAGTTCCTAACCAGAGACTGGGAGATAGAGGCGCTAAATTGTATAACATTTATATTTAATATATGTTTAATAATATATAGTAAAGTCTTAAAATGCCAGTTTTAAGTCTTTTCATTTTCTTCTTAAAAACAGAGGTTTTATTGCGTTTGGTCCACAGTTGGTATTTCACATTATCTCATAGCACAGGGCCCCTGCGGGGAGGGCTCTGTGCAGTACTTGGCGTGGCCTGGGGCCGGGGGAGATAGAGCAGTAGACCTGGTCAGGCCCAGAAGGGGAGAAGGAGGGCCGGGGCTCCTTAAGACCTACTGAGGGCCTGGGCGCGGTGGCTCACGCCTGTCATCCCAACACTTTGGGAGGACGAAACAGGCAGATAACATGAGGGCAAGAGTTCCAAACCAGCCTGGCCAACATGGTGAAATCCCGTCTCTACTAAAAATACAAAAAATTAGGCAGGCGTGGTGGCGGGCGCCTGTAGTCCCAGCTATTCTGGAGGCTGAAGCAGGAGAATCGCTTGAGCCCAGTAGGCCGAGGTGCAGTGAGGTGAGATTACTCCAGTGCGCTTCAGCCTGGGCGACAGAGTGAGACTACATCTCAAAAAAAACAAAAACAAACAAAAAACCCTACTGAGGGCCACGGAGGTGGGGGAGCTAGGATGGAGATGGGTCAGGCTTAACCCTGACAACTCAAAATTCCACTACCTTGTACGGGCCTCAGTTTCCTCACGGGGTCCCAGTGTAGGTCTGAGGTCTGTTGGTCTGAGGGTCCTAGGGAAATCCAGCCACTCAGGAGCCTGAGATATTTTAGCATCGTGGCTGGGCCCCCTCTCCCAGGGGACTCATTTCCTAGCACCCTCTCCACTGTCCCCGCCCCATTCCTCGGGAAAAAAAAATTTTTTTATTTTGTTAATACTTCCTGAAACTTTTGCGGGTACAGAAACCACTTACTGATAGGCTGAGAAAAGGGGAAGAGGAGAGGCAACCAGAAACCTTCAGGGACCAGTTCCCTCCATGTCCAGGTCTCTTCTCTCCAGCACAGCTCAGCCCACAGCCTGGAAGTGCCAGCGGGGACCTTCACCCTACACGCATCAGGATACGGCCTTGATCCCTTCCCCCACAGCCCGGTGGCTCAGTCCTGAGAAGGAACCAAAGCAAGGGGAGGTGGGGGAAAAATCCCTGCTGCCTGATCCCACGCTGCCACTCACAGACCCTCGGTTGACTGGCAGCACTGAACAGGTTAAAAAAAAAAAGATGAAAACACAGAAAAACCCAAACACCCAGAGGGGAGATCATGTGTGGAGAGAGCGTGCTGGGAGCCTCAGTAGCCGGTCTCCTCCTGGTAGTAAGGGAGATATTCAGGGGCCTCCCCTGGCCCCGGGCAGTCGCCGGAGCCCGAGGGAGCACCGTGGGCCACTGGGCCTCCCCAGTAGTACTTGGGGTCGTATATCTGCGGGCCCAGGCCAAAGGCCTGGCCGCTCTGATGAGCGCCCTGCGTGTATCCCATCTTCAGGGACGTGGAGGTGGAGGAGTTGTCACACTTGTCGATTCCCAGCTAGGTGTCATAGGTGTGCTCATTCCTCCTATCTAGCTGTAAGTTTGTATTTGTTAACCAACCTCTCCCTGTCCTCTCCTCCCTGTTGCTCTCCCCAGCCTGTAATAACCAGAATTCTACTCTCCACTTCCATGAGTTCAGTTCGTTTTTTTTTTAGCTCCCACATATGAGTGAGAACATGCAAGATTTATAATTCTGTGCCTAGGTTATTTCACTTAATATAGTGTTCCAGGCTGATCCATGTTGCAGCCAAGGACAGGATTTCATTATTTTTACGGCTAAATAGTACTCCACTGTGAATAGACACTACATTTTTAATCGATTATGTTTTTGGACATTTAGGTTGATTCTAATCTTGGCTACTGTGAATAGTGGCTGCTATAAACATGAGGGTGCAGGTATCTCCTAAATATGCTGATTTCCTTTCCTGTAGATAAATGCCCCACAGTGGGACTGCTGGAAAAAGAAAAAATTCTTTTTCGTTAAACCTGATCATGTCTGTCCTCATAAATGCATGTTACACCCATCTCTCGCCATCAATGCAACCCCACCCCGAGCAGTTGTTCACTCTTCTTTTCCCTCGTTCTCTGCACAGCGTGTGCCTCCATACCCCAGCCTCAGGCCTTTCTATACTACTTCCCATTTGAGGCACTGTGTTTTTATTCAACTTTGGTACTGTCCTTTGAGAATCTTCAACGTGATTTGGATATGACACTTTTTATCAGGATGTTACGTCAGAGTTGATAAATTCAAAGTAATATCGTTCTTTTTCCTGCCAAAGTCAGCTCCTCCTTTCCACTGCACTTTCCTGCTGATGCCACCACTCTTTCTCCTGTTGTGTAGGGAGAACACAGGTCACCTCCCTGGCATGAAATGTGCAGGTGCTCAATAAAGATTTTTTGAATACATGAATGAATGTTCTTAGAGGACACCCTTGTACCTGGACTGGTCATTACATAGGTGTAAGTTTTATTCTCTAAAAGGGGTGAGTGAGAGTTTATACTAAGGTTGTAAGCATCCCTCAGGGCAGACTCTGGATGTATATTACAGAACTGCTGAACTTGTGGAATGTGCATGTTTAATACTGAAAATATTTAATGCCACATGTGTAAGACTTTTGCCAACTGGAATCTGAACATCAACAACTTTGAAGGGCTTATTCTACCTTCTCAGCACAAAAATACTTTCTACGAATGCACATATTTATGTGCAAACGTATAGAAAATTGACTTTAAAGTGTACAACAAATTTATTTTAGCAATTGGGCCTGGGGGACCTAGAAGGAGAATGAGATTGGAGTGGTAGGGGTGGAACATTAGCTAATAATGCTTTATTTTATTAAAAGTAATTACTGAAAACCAATGCAATAAAATATTAACATGTTAATTGAAGGGGTTGGGAGTATAGTGCTTATATTCTTCTTTACATGTTTTAATATCTTTAAAATTCCTTTTTTTGCTTTTGGTAAGGAAGTCACAGTTTAATTGGCAGTATATCTCTAATGGTACATGAAATAATGTCTGATTTCTAAACATTGACATTCTACATTAGATGAAATATATTAACTATTAAGCTTTGATATTACACTATAAAATTAATTGAAGAAAGCCACCCCTCTTTGTTTCTTTTTTTTTTTTAGTTATTATGTGCCCCATATGATCTGCAGGAGTTTTTTTTCTAGGCTTTGATCATTTTAAATAAAATCAGAATTTGTTCAAGTTCAGTTAACACTCAACTGTGAACCCTATGGTACTGGGGTCTTTTTCAATGGGAGATCTCTAAGCATTATTCCAAACTATTCTATGCTAATTGATCTATTGATAACTTATAATTTATTATGAAATACATTAAATTTCTTAAAAAGAAAAAGGAAAGAAGTAAAGGGAAACATTTATTACAATTTAAATAAAGGAATTAGCAGTTGAAAACAAGAAAACCTATTCTGAGCATCCATACTTCTCAGCAACCAAAACAATCAATGAAATCAATGCATTGGGTTAAACAGTTCCCAATTGCCCACTATGTTACCAGGAGAAAAAAACCCTTTATCATAGGGTTAAACTTTGGGAAAGATTTTCCATAAGGATCTTAATATAAAGGTTCTTGAATGACATAATGTATAAGGTCTTTGATAGCAACACTACCCACAGTGCAAAGATGTTTTACTAGTCCTGTTTGTGTCTCAAATTGGCTCTCGGTAAGTAATCTGGACATATCGTGAAATTATAATTCTGTGTAGACAATTCGACTTACCAGGTTAGAGTGATGCAATCCAAATAGATGGCTTTCTTCTGATCTGGCTTAACAGAAATCTTGAAAAATCTGGAGGAGTAAATGTTTAATATACCCTCAATTCTCAACCATTCTTCTTCCCCTGAAAGACAACATCACAGGCAGGACATCCTCCCAAGGGTACACACAATATTATGTACAGTTCTCACGTGAGAAAGCACATCATAATCTTAGTGAGAATGATGTTCTCATAAGGTCAGTTATACTCAGTGTGCATAGTTGTCCAAGTGTGAGTATGAAACCAAGTCATTCGCAAGTACCACTAGTCTGATTATTAGTAATAATAATCCACTTGTGACATAGTTTTTCTTTGCTGAAATAAAATATTGTTTTGACACCATGGTTGAAATGTTGGTCTTAGGTCAATGCTCTCTATTATCTGTTGTTGTTGCCAAGCCTCTGAGAGGTGTTTTATGTGGGGCAAAAGGTCCCTTCCTGTGTCTTTGGTCAAAGCAAAGGAGGAGTACAGATGACTGAGATAGTGATCATGCTGCTGTGACCACCTATGCGGTAGACCTTGTTCCTGGGTTGGGAGATGTTTTATGATCAGGGTGCAGTAGAAAGAGCACACTAGTAGCAGTAAAGAGAGGTGACCCTGGCTGCAGTTCTGCCTCTAACTTCCTGAGTGACCTCAGGCTAGTCACACAGTGACTGCTCCCCACATTTCTTTTTGTAAGCTGCAAGGATTGAATCAGACAATAGCCTCTAAGTTTCTTCTGAACTCTCATACTCAGGGATGCCAACGATGTTGGTAATAAAATGGTATGAACGTGCCAAAAAAATAAAAATAAGGAAGAGAAATAGGTATGTAACTTTATTCTGGGAATCCTGTGGTATCTCACAACACCACGCTTCATGAACCCCAAAGAAAGCAAAAAATCCAGCTAGTGTTATAAATCCTGATCAGCTGAATTCTTTCACATGTTGCAGCCTGACTCAAGTTATTCATCGCAGAGGCTAGCAGCTCCCTGATACATCCTTCCTTGTCTCTGGACAGGGTAAAAATAAGAAATTGGCCATTGTGAGACACTCTGAGTTTTGTGGGATTGAGCAGAGCATATTTTATATTCTTCTCTTGGAACTGCCTCTTGTTGGTAGTAAATGGTTGCCAGCACTGTTGTTTCTCAATAGACAAGTCCTAGAAATAAAGATAATTCAATTTTCATTCACTCTTAGCTCTTCTGCTACCAGTGTTCTTCTTTGACACTGACAGGGCTGCACCTGTCTTCCTGGCCTGACATAGCACTTGTGTGGTTTGCCACTTGCCAGAAAATCCACGAGTCATTCTAAAGACCTTTTGCCCAGCAGATACCACTCCAGTGAGCACAAATTGTCTAGTGGTATTTTTTAGATGGTCTTCCTCCTTGGCTCATTTCTCTCCAAGAATGAAGATATCAAGGTGTTCATTTAACAGCAGCTCCTGAAAGACAATCCACCTTGGTTTAAATCTTTAACGGTTTTCATTATAATAGAAAATATAATAGCAAGAGTAGCATCCTCTGTTACATTGAAATTAAATTACAATTCTTTCACTGTTGGGGTGGCAAGTATAATTCCTATCACTTCTTTGGAAAGCAATACAACTTACTAAAGATCACCAAAATGTTTATACTTTTTGGAACCAAAAACCTCACTGAAAAAAATTTATTCCAAGAGTATGATTCAACAGAAAAAAAAAAACCAAGTAATATACATGTGCATGTTTCTCCCTGTGAAAACAACAGCACAGAATTCACTAGACAAGTTTTGAAACAGTTGGCTATGTGGTAACATGGAACAACATTCTCCTATAATGTTGAAGGATAAAAGCTTAGAGAATAGAATATATTCTATGACTGCAACTATGAAAGAAAACATAGATCTACATAGGGACAAAGGTGATAAACATGCGAAAACAGGTGTTAGATTCATGGATTATGTGTATTTTTCCTGCATTCAGATTTATCTTTATTATTGCTTTTTTATGTTCCCCTCTCCTCCCCCCAAAAAATCCTAAAGATCTTGAATGTGCCCCTATCAGTATTTAACATTTCTTCTGAAACTGAGTCTAGATACTCATTCTGCTCCAGTTTTTCAAACAAGATGAGTAGCAAAGTTATTCTTTCCATTTTTTTGTTTGTTTGTGTTTTTTGTTTGTTTGTTTTTTGTTTTTTTTACAGCCAGACACAGGTCTTGAATTATACAGCTGACTTCTTTGTTTGGGATACGTTACTTTCAATCATTTTCCTGATCCTCTGCATGATTTACAGAAGCCGAGTGGGAGGCTTTAGCATTTCCATGGTCCTCCTTCTCCACTATCATGAGATTCTTAGGTGAATTTTTTTTAGAGCCATTATTCTCCATTTATAAAGGCAGAATGCAGTGGCAGGAGCTGGGACTCTGGGAAACCAACAGCCAAGAATTCAAACTACAGCATACTATGAAACACTCAGATAAGATGTCCCCATCATATTCTATTATTGGGCAAAATAAAATGTAAACCATGTGCTCAAAACAGCAAATATTGTGGGTGACAGTGACACTGGTATTCGGAAAGATGAAGAAATGCAATTAAGAAACCTGGCAAAGAAGTAAACATGCCATGTAGCTTACAAAAGACCAGCCACATTGTGTGTATTTTAATATTGTTTAACAGTAACACCTAATAAAGGGAGCATCATGATTGTGTGAACTACATTTTCGGTCATAATGAATGCTACAAAATTAACCTCCCGAGTTTAAATAGGCTACAATGTCTTGGGAAATATGCAAGAAGAATTATTTGATAAAGGTGACAGTTTTTCACACCTGAAAATAATGTTTTTCTCCCAGCCTATCTTGATCAACAGCCAGCAGCAACACATTGCAGATATAATCTCAAGACCTTGTGGCATGTACTTCTCACTACATGCATAACTTACTATGGACAGAGGATCATGGAGATTTTGAATATAATTTCCCACATGACAGGAGATTAAATAGACCACATTGGAAGAAGCTAGGTCTCTGGAGAACCAAAAAGTAAACTTCAGCCAGTTCTGGAAGCAGACAAACAGCAAGAAATATACTTTCAGATGGGCTACTTTCTCAATAGTTCTTTCTTGCAAGAGCTCTAGGGAAAGTATGAGTTACTGGGTAAGAATGTAATAGAAAAGGGGCCAGCCTTGGAAAACTTTGCAATGGAAGAAAATCAGTGTCTCCTCATTTACATCTTTCTTTCTCCTCTTCCTTTGTAATGCCACCTTTCTTGGGATATTCCTTCCCCTAGAATACCCAGCCTGTCACCCCACGAGAACCTGCTCTTGAGACTGCATTTCTAATACCTATAATGAGATGTTATGTCAATGCCTTATCTCTCAGTGTGTGTATATACATATTAAGCTTTCTGTCTATGTTGTGCTTTCTCATGCAGGAATATCAGACATTAATGAACCAGTAAAGAAGATACTGAGGTGCAGAAGAGCTTTCCCAGTGTCCCAGGAGCCATTCTACACAGCATCCTACAGAATGACTGTGGATCTGCTGTGCTTAGTTTCTTTACTTGTGAAAACAGAGTAATAGTAGCACCTACCTCACAGGGTTGTTCTGAAGATTAGAGGGGTTCTTTCATGGGAAGCTCTAGAGCAGTGCTTGAGACATGGTAAGTGCTCAACATGTGTTCATTATTATTATCATTATCAATATTTGATGTAAAAGCCTTTCTGAAAGAAATCACACAAGAACATGATCAGTTAAAAGATACATATGAATGAAAGTATGTTTGACACTGTCACAACACAGAGTGGCATAATGGTTAGGAACATAGGCTTTGGAAGTCAACCATCTGTGCTCAAAGCCTAGTGTCACCACACAGCCATTGTGGGACACTGGGCCTCAGATTTCTAGCCTGAAAAATGGGGGAACAATGTCTGTCATATAAAGTTGCTGTAAAGATCAAACTAGATAAGAAATGTAAAATACTCAACAGTGCCTGACACAAAATAAACACCAATTAATGGTAGCAGGAAGAAAAGAGCACTCTTCACCAACATTTTACCTTCAGAAATTGGTTAAGAAGAAATGAGTGCTTAGGAACCTTCCTGTTAGAGCTGGGAACACAAATAACACCAAGATATGACCCAACTGAGAAATGAGACACGAGAGTCAGCAGGTCTCAGGACTTGAGAACATATCATAGATCTGGGGCCAAGGGGACCTCCCAATACCCCAGTCTTGAATTAGCCAGATGTGCCTTTCAGTCCTTGGCTGAGGTGGACTGAGGCCTCCTCCAAAGGGAGAAATAAATGCGCATCCTGAAGAGAGCTGACTCTGAAAGAGAGAGAAACCCACAGAGGCTGAGTTTCACCAGTACAGCTACTTTCAAGCACAGTCCTCAGTTAAGTCATTTCTCTTCCCAAGGGGAGGACTGAATGAGCTTATGGTGAGAGGCCGAAAGCTTTTCTCCTTTATTTTTCCCTCATGGGAGAGGATGGAAGTGCTATCCTTTCTGTGGGAACCTGCAGACTATGGACGTTTCCCCCAGCAGTTGGCATTGACTGATTTATCTGCATGTTTCTCTGTTCACATCCTCTATATGAAGAATCGAAGTGCGAATAGCCCCCCAAGTAATCTGATAGTACCAAAGCACTATTCTAGTTTTGTGTAATTTTTAAGTCTCTTCTTTAAATTTTTTTTTTTTTTTTTGCAGACTCCATCCCAGACACAGCATACCAGAGTCTCCAAAGGGCTAAGCTCAGCAATCTATTCTCAAGCTCCCAACAGGAGTCATATAGTCAGGCAGGCAATGATCATATATGGGGACCATTAGAAATAATCTAATGCATACCCTCTGAACTTCAAATTTTTAGTATTCTCATTTTCTGCTCAAGCTCAATTTCAACACAGTTCACAGTTTCTCATATCCACCATGGCATTCTGCCAAGGAACTACAACTCGTGTTCTCTAAACCCATCTGTTCTAAGAATGCTGGGCTGGTTATCAATTTCTAATGTACCTGCTTAAACTTTCCTCTCTCAATATGTCCCTGACTGAACTGCAGAAGACAGAACAACTGTACTAGCCATCTCTTTCTGCATATCCCATGTCCCCACAGAGGCCACTGTGTCTTCATAAAGCTAACTTCCACGATTTTCACAAGTGATATTTTTCCTTCATGATTTTCCATTTTCCACTTGAGCATTAAAATACCAGGGAGAAAAGGAAGATAATCGTTTAGCAGCTGGGAAAACAAGATATGTGCCCCAGCACAGTACATGCTAAGTATTCAGAATGTATAGTTATAGTAGATAACTATAAATTAGATAACTATTAAAATAGTTATATTAGATAAGTAATATTTTTCTCATCTTCAAGACTTAAAAAGTTAACTGTTTTAAGTGGTATTCAAAAAAGGAAGGTACTCACTCACATCAACGCAATTAAAACCACATTTCTATAGCTGGATGTAACAATCTTAATCCAAATCATTCACCAAAGTTGTTTAACTTTCTTAAAGTAAGGCTCTAGACATTTGCTTCTTTACAAGTATCTTGCAAAGCCATTATGAGGTAGAAGAAAAGTTTAAATGCGCCACATTTTCCTCCTCCATTTTAACTAAAATTACTACTCACAGGACGTGTATAGCTTCTGCATTTTGGTCCATCACATTTTCCGCCATCAAATGAGTGTACTCTTAAGGTTCTCACTTTATCATCAGCATAACATATTTTGCTTCCAGAATGCCCAGTAAAGCTGAAATTTTTCATTTAAAGTGATAAAAAAGTTCCCTAAATATCTACTTAACAATCTTAGATCTGAGTTTTAGCAACAGTTTAATGCATACACAATGAAAACACTATATTTCTCACTCTCTCTCACACGCACAGATTAAAACCCCAAAGTTTTCACTATATTTCCTCTTTCTTATACAGCTCAATTTTTAACATGCAGCTTCCTTATAATCTAAAAACAATTTTAAATATGATTATCATAAAAATATTTTAAAACAGAGATGCAATGTATAAAGGCAGATATAGATCATCCATGGTTACATTGGTTACATCACATTTCTTTAGAAACAGAACTGTTTCTACTCCTGTAGACAAACTTTTCTCTCACACATTTAAAGTGAGGTTAGTGCTGACATAAAATTATTGCTCTACTCACTGCCTGAGTGTTTGCACTGTGTTTGAGGTACATTTTCTTCATTTTCACAGCCCCACCACTCTTGAGAGTATGAGTCAACAGAAGTTTGCAGGCTAAAACCATTCAATAATATTTTCATCAATACTGGAATGATAGTAAGTAACATTACACAACATCAGAGGCCAAAAATTTTTCTTTGTTGAAGCCCAAGATTTTAACTTATTCTTCATTACCTGAAAATACTGCTCATTTAACCTCTTTAGGAAAAAAAATATTCTGTAGATGAATAATTCCTGCCTTAACGCTTCACCCAAGACAGTTCCTTCATATTTATCCTCCGATGCTTTGTTCTTTTAATCCATTTGATGTAGCAAGCAACAAGAATCACCTTTCCTTTGGTGATCTGACATAGCGATCTCTTATGTTTTTGCTAATTGTTTGATAAATATTTAGTAAATTTTTCCACGGTATGTATGCACTGTTTTTTGTAGTTCCAATTCTAAAGGTTTTATTAATGAATAAACATTGTCATCTTAAAAGAACAATTTCTCAGTGCTTCATAAACAGCTCTAAATGCTGGTTGCTTATCATCATGGTAAACACCTCTGTTCCCGTGAAAAATAAAGATTCCTTCTCCTGCTTCTTGGCAACTGCTTCCATATAGACAATGATCTGGACGACACTTCCATTGACACGGAAAGACAAAAAGGCTTTCTGGATTATGAAAAAACAGGATATCCAACAAATCTTGATCGCCCATGTAATGTTTAACTTGTATATTTTAAGCCATGTCATAAGTATATCTTCTCATTGTAGTCACACAGTTGTCATATTATTTTTGAAATACTTCCTTTTCATTCAAGTCATGTTGTCAACATAACTCCAGAGTTTGCTCCAGCTTTTCCACAGTATGGATGCCTAGCAAAGCGACTATATCATCCTATTTGACATTCCTTGTGTTCTGGGGCCATTGCAGAATTTGTGTGGAATTAAATTTCTTTAGTAAAGACCAAATATTATCAGCTGGTCTTTTAAAAAGGCTATCAGTGTGAGAGTCAACTTCTTTCAGGAATAACGGCAAGGACAATCTCTGCAAACCACATGGTTTAAAGAGTTTTTCCACTCTGCTGCATTCTCACTTGGAAAGGTTATGGAGTATATTGTATAATTAAATATTTGTAGAAATGACCCCTGTCAAGCCTTCCTTTAAAGCTATGATGAGTTGATCTTCAGCAAAAATCTGGAATTGAAGAGGTTTGATCCTGAAAATAATAGCTGACTTCAACATGGTCATAGTTTTTTCAAGTCTTTCACCTAGATGCATTTTCTCAACAGGCTGTATTTTCAGACTACACCTGTCCCACCTGCGGGGATGCGCAGCGGGACAAGCACTGCTCGCGCCTCTCACCGCACCGCATCCGCCTCCCGCCAGCCAGGAAGCCACTGCGGCCTGCAGCTTCCCGCCACCACCGCCCGCTCCTTCCTCCGGGGACATGGGGAGCTGGCTGAAGGCGTAAAGGAGCGAGCAGAAGCCTCAGGCCAGACACAGCGCCACCACGCGCGGTAGCGCCGCATGGCCCCAGCCGCGTTCCTCGGTCTCCGTCTCCGCCGCGCCCGCCTGGCGAACTGGAGCACAGGGACCATAGTTCTGGAAATTTATCCTTTTTCTCTCCATGGATTCAGCAGCAGTGTCTAAAAGAAAAAAAATTCATCAATCAATCATTTATATATGTTTTAATATAAAGATAAAACACTGCGAACCAGTGGAACTGGATAGAAAGTAATTCAGTTTTACAGAACACATCTGTTTTTCAGGCTCTTACTTTTCTTAAACATAAAAGAGCCATATATATTTCTATGGAATTCCCCTTTTACTTAAGAATTCATTATCAGCGAATTAGTGTAACGAGGGTGTTTTGTTAGAGGCTGTGGTTGCATTTAAAAATTAGAATAGGAACAACGACTTGTAAAAATTCAACACTTTATTTTATTTTTGAGACAGTCTCACTGTGTTGTCCAGGCTGGAGTGCAGTGGCTTGATCTCAGCTCACTGCAACCTCCCCCTCCAGGGTTCAAGCCATTCTCTTGCCTCAGCCTCCCGAGTAGCTGGGATTACAGATTTGTGCCACCATACCTGGCTAATTTTTGTATTTTTAGTAGACAAGGGGTTTCACCATGTTGGCCAGGCTGGTCTTGAACTGCCAACCTCAGGTGATCCTCCCCCCTCAGCCTCCCAAATTGCTGGGAGTACAGGCGTGATATAACATTTTAACATTTTAAACTACCACTTACTACATTCACTGTGTCTGTGATTTAATATATCTTTTTCAGTGGCCACAAAATTATAAAATGGATACAGAATAGTCTCTTCAAAAAATTAAGGAAGTTCTTTTTTTTTCTTTTTCTTTTCTTTACTTTTTTTTTTTTTTTTTTTTTTTTTTTTTTTTTTTTTGGTTTGAGACGGAGTCTTGCTCTGTCGCCCAGGCTAGAGTGCAGTGGCACAATCTTGGCTCACTGCAACCTCTGCCTCCCGGGTTTAAGGAATTCTCTGCTTCAGCCTCCCGAGTAGCTGGGATTACAGGCGCCCGCCACCACGCCCAGCTAATTTTTTTTGTATTTTTAGTAGAGACGAAGTTTCACCATCTTGGCCAGACTGGTCTTGAATTCCTGACCTCAGCCCGCCTCGGCCTCCCAAAGTGCTGGGATTACAGGCGTGAGCCACAGCGCCCGGCCGGAAGTTCTTTCTTCTTGAAGGGATTATAAATATAATTCATACTGGCATGACACTTTTACTAATATAGATTGACTTTTCGCTTCAAATAACCCATTCGTACATCGAAATTAATTTTGGTCAGTATGTGTGTGTGTGGATGTATGTGTATGTGGATGTGTGGATGTATGTGTGTGTGGATGTGTGGATGTAAATGGCAGTAAAGGGTAAAAGGGAAGGTGGAGAAAAGGGAGATGGTCTAACATTTTCCACACATTTTTAAATACACAAAATGTGTATTTAACACAATACACATACAATAAAATATGTAGTAAAACAATGGTGTGGTGAAAACAAAACATTGCGAACTAGAAAAAAGACTTAGCCGCTGGTCCTGTCGGATCCGCCCCGCGGCGGCGCCCTCCAGCCCTAAGCTCCACGCAGTTCAACAAGGGTCCCTCCTACAGGCTCTTGGCGGACGTCCAAAACAGGCTTCTGCCCAAATATGACTCCCAGAAGGAGGCAGAGCTCCGCAGCTGGATCAAGGGATTCACTGGCCTCTCCATCCGCCCCGACTTCCAGAAGGGCCTGAAGGACGGGATTATCTTATGCACACTCGTGAACAAACTGCAGCCGGGCTCAGTCCCCAAGATCAACGGCTTCCGTGTAGAACTGGCACTAGCTAGAAAACCTCTCCAACTTCCTCAAGGCCATGGTCAGCTACGGCATGATCCCGTGGACCTATTTGAGGCCAACGACCTGTTTGAGAGTGGGAACAATATGCAGGTGCGGGTGTCTCTTCTCGCCCTGGCAGGGAAGGCCAAGACTAAGGGGCTGCAGAGCGGGGTTGGACGTCCGTGACAAGTACTCAGAGAAGCAGAACTTCGACTGGCCCATGAAGGCCAGCCAGTGCGTCATCCAGCTGCAGATTACCAACAAATGTGCCAGCCAGTCAGGCATGACCGCATATGGCACGAGGAGGCATCTCTACGACCCCAAGAACCGCATCCTGCCCCCCATGGACAACTCGACCATCAGCCTCCAGATGGGTACAAACAAGTGCGCCAGCCAGGTGGGCATGACGGCTCCCGGGACC
Source organism: Homo sapiens (assembly GCF_000001405.40). Taxonomy (NCBI): domain Eukaryota; kingdom Metazoa; phylum Chordata; class Mammalia; order Primates; family Hominidae; genus Homo; species Homo sapiens. The sequence continues at coordinate 42,972,622 of NC_000009.12, read as the reverse complement.
CAGCGGCACATCTATGACACCAAGTTGGGAATCGACAAGTGTGAGAACTCCTCCATGTCCCTGAAGATGGGCTACACGCAGGTTGCCAATCACAGCGGCCAGGTCTTTGGCCTAGGCCGGCAAATATACGAAACCAAGTACTAGCCGGGTGGCCCAGTGGCCCACGGGGCTCCCTCCGCCGGCAACAGCCCAGGGCCAGGGGAGGCCCCTTACTACCAGGAGGAGACCGGCTACTGAGGCTCCCAGCACGCTCTCTCCACGCATCGTCTCCCCGTCTGGGTGTTGGGTTTTTCTGTGTTCTCATCTTTTTTTTTTTTAACCTGTTCAGTGCTGCCAGTCAACCGAAGGTCTGTGAGTGGCAGCGTGGGATCAGGCAGCAGGGTTTTTTCCCCCACCTTCCCTTGCTTTGGTTCCTTCTCAGGACTGAGCCACCGGGCTGTGGGGGAAGGGATCAAGGCCGTATCCTGATGCGTGTAGGGTGAAGGTCCCCGCTGGCACTTCCAGGCTGTGGGCTGAGCTGTGTTGGGGAGAAGAGACCTGGGCATGGAGGGAACCAGTCCGCGAAGGTTTCTGGTTGCCTCTCCTCTTCCCCTTTTTGTCAGCCGATCAGTTTGTGGTTTCTGTACCTGCAAAAGTTTCAGGAAGTATTAACAAAAGAAAGAAAATTTTTTTCTTCTCCGAGGAATGAGGCGGAGACAGTGGAGAGGGTGCTGGGAAATGAGTCCCCTGGGAGAGGAGGCCCAGCCATGATGCTAAAATATCTCAGGCTCCTGAGTGGCTGGATTTCCCTAGGACCCTCAGACCAACAGACCTCAGACCCTCAAACCTATGCTGGGGCCCGGTGAGGAAACTGAGACCCGTACAAGTTAGTGGAATTCTGAGATGCCAGGATTAAGTCTGACCCCTCTCCATCCTAGCTCCCCCACCCCCGTGGCCCTCAGTAGGTTTTTTGTTTGTTTTTGTTTTTGTTTTTGTTTTTGAGATGCAGTCTCACTCTGTCGCCCATGCTGAAGCACAGTGGAGTAATCTCGCCGCACTGCACCTCGGCCTCCCAGCTTAAGCGATTCTCCTGCCTCAGCCTCCAGAGTAGCTGGGACTACAGGCGCCCACCACCACGCCTGCCTAATTTTTTGGATTTTTAGTAAAGACAGGATTTCACCATGTTGGCCAGGCTGGTCGGGAACTCTTTCCCTCATGTGATCCGCCTGTTTCGTCCTCCCAAAGTGTTGGGTTGACAGGCGTGAGCCACCGTGCCCAGGCCCTCAGTAGGTCTTAAGGAGCCCCGGCCCTCCTTCTCCCCTTCTGGGCCTGACCAGGTCTACTGCTCTATCTCCCCCGGCCCCAGGCCACGCCAAGTACTGCACAGAGCCCTCCACCCAGGGGCCCTGTGCTATGAGATAATGTGAAATACCGACTGTGGACCAAACGCAATAAAACCTCTGTTTTTAAGAAGAAAATGAAAAGACTTAAAATTGGCATTTTAAGACTTTATTATATATTATTAAATATATATTAAATATAAATGTTATACACTTTAGCGCCTCTATCTCCCAGTCTCTGATTAGGAGCTTAACTTTCCTAAGCCTCAATTAGTAAACACTTCTGGCCTAGCCACATTGACCCGCCTCTCTCCTAACATCATCCAGTACATTTCGGAAGCGCATGCAAAACTCTCCCACCTTCTGTTTCAACAGATATGTCAACTGATACAATTATACAATAATTGTATAAGATAATATTAGATTTAATCTCACAATCACACTCAGCTTGATTACTAACCCTTCTTTTACATCTTGCTCACCTAAATTTATCTACATTTTCTGTGAATTGAAATAGCTTAGAAATGTATGCCATCTGTGTATTATAGTGTAAGTTATTGTAATATAGAAATATGGACTTTCTTTAACTCCCATTTGCTGCCTAGGAAATACCAATATTTTTTGAGCATGGCAAGTGTTTCCAAGCATTCAGAAGTGGAGAGTGTAGGAAATCCACTGCAGAATGAGGTCTGCTTGTCATCCTCTCAGTCTCAACTGCTCTCCCTCCTTCATCTCTCTCTGTTTCATTGATGAGTATAGAAGATCAGGCATTTTTATATGAAGTGAAAATTGATGGAACTAAGGTGTTGATTTGAATATCCAACCGACCATTTACTGAGTGTCCATTACAAGTTAAATTGTGTTGTAGAGAACAGCTCAGGAAATGAATGCTTGACATTGATGTACATAACAAAAATACAAACATACCATTAAAAAATCAGACCTCTTATGAGCATCCAGATTCTCATGTAAGTTTTGTGAAGCTCTTTCAAAATGAGAATGTAAAATTTCAAAAAAAATCATTTTAACAAGTCATTCTTGAGACAGAAAAGTGGAATTAGAAGATCATATATGGTTGTTTCACTAGCTCAAATCTTAAGTACAGTTTTTAGTCCATTGACAGCCATATGATTCTTATTTTATATGCTGTTATTCATTAGAAACTACAAATTTTAAAAAATATTCATGTCTCATTCTATGAATCAATCTAAAAATTGCATTCATTTGGTTATATTTCTTCATTTTACCTGGCCTTGAATACTTCTTTCCTGCCCAGCATTAAATTTAATTAATGTCTAATTTGTTTACTTGGTTTAGTTACTTTTGGCCACGTTCAGTACACTTGTTATGAAGCAGGCATGTAGGAATGTTGACAAGTTTATGGTCCTCACTCTTCCAAATCCCAAATGGCGGCACCCCAACAGACACATACCACAATGTAAACACATACACACACACACAATCCACACCCACCCATACTCACCCACCTACACACAGACACACACACACTCCAGTGGATCAACACATAAAACACTCCAAAGGCAAAGACATTATCCATCAGGGACCTCTTAGTGCGCTACACACTTCTGTAAATTATCAGGACTCCTCAATTGAGGTGAGTCTACAGAGATTTCAAAGGCTATTTGAGTGCTAAGCTATCTAACTAGTGGTTGGACACTATTTAAATAATGCATTAAACACAACTCTTGAGGCTCTGAAGAATTTCTGTGCTTTCCAATGAACCAGGAGTTACAAGGTCCTGAAAAGCACAAGTGTGTTACATCCTTTAATAGATAAAGCAAAGCAGATTTTAATGTGAATATGCTTTATATTTACTTCTATTCGTGTTAATTTTTCTTTGCCTGTAATATACATTTTTATATAATGGGGAATAAGAAACATCTTAGGAAAAGGAAAACAAAAAAATAAAATTTCTCTGTTTACCCTGTGCCTTGGTCCAGTAACCCTGCACTGCACATATACACTTTAAATTGGTGTCTTGGGGAACCACTTCGGTATTTCATTTTAATAGCGCATCCTGGAGAATATATTTGAGTGGTTCACATATTACAAATGATTTAAATTTTGACCCATATAGAAATAAGTTTTCAAAAATACGTCTGAAGCCTGGATACTGTAAAAATGTTTATCATCATAGAATAATAAAAGGCTAGCCATTAGTTACTCAGAAATTGTTCAGTAAATCTAAGACAACTTAGACATAAATACTTATGAGTGAATATAGTTCATCATTAATGTTTGTAAAAATTAATGCTGTCTTTTATGGTTGAGAAAAACTAGTAATGTAAATTTGATAGAGATAAATGACATAAACTTTACATAAAGCAAGAGAATAATAGATGTGTAAAAATGTTTTATAGATAAGATTTTAAGATGAAATTGTGCTGAACAACATGAATCAAATATGTTTTGCATACTACATCTGCAGCTACAACATCACAGCCTTTTAAGTATTTCATTAACTTCAAAATGTAACTTATTGCTGAAACAATCTGATTTAATGAATTGGGATAACGGGTAATGATTGGTGTCAGCTGAAAGCAATGCTACACTTTTAAAGTTAGATTTCTTTGTGTATTAATACAAACACCAGAGAAGATGGTCAATAAAGTAATTACTGTACAATGCCTATCATAATACTTAAACCTGGAAGAAAATCAGTAAATGTTAAGTGAATAGAATTGGTGAATTGCTTCCATTTTATACAATTTTTTGTTCATTTTAGGGCTTACCAAAACTTGCAGCTCTGAATAAGGCCCAATTATTTACTCCTTCAAATAAAACAAGACTGCAAGAATAAGTGTGAATGCTTTGTTTTGTTTTGTTTTTCACTGAAATATTCCAGTCTGTAGCTGCTCCAAATCACACTGATCTTTCTAGAGTCTGATACAGGTCCTGGTCTCAAGGCCAGTGTTACCATAATCACCATCTTTTGTGCTTCAAGGTTGAGCCCTCCTAATTTACCTGCATGAAATTGGAAAAGTCCCGTTTCATACTTTAAGCAACCTAGATGACTCTTTCACTGAAAGTGGTATTCTTCTTGCTTTTTTTTTTTTTTTTGCAGCAAATGATGTCAACTTCTACCTACACCTGACATCTCAATTAATTTTTGACATTTTCTTCTTCACATTTCCATTTCAAATCACCAAGTATTGTCAGATTTTACCTTCTATTTCTTGAATGAATTTTTCTCTTTCTATCTTCATTGCCATCATGGATTCCAGCCCATCACTCTCTCACCTGGGCTATGGTGAGCACCTCTAAAGTGCTCTCCCTGATTCTCTCTCCAAAAATGGTTCTGTGCTATATCTGGAATGATTACTTGAAATGTAAATACAATTTGCATTGTAAATTGCTTTGCTTAAAAACTCCCAAAGACTTCACATTAGTACTAGGATAAATAGCAAGAGTCCAAAAATGGGTTCAAGCAGTACAAAATTTGTTTCCTTTCTCTTTCCCCCCTCTTGTGGCATGAACATTGTTGAACTAAATGATTCAGATGTATTTCTTCTTGTCTCCTGGACTTTGATCTTCTTACTCATATGCTTTTCCCACTACCATCCCAGATTTATATAATTAGCTCTTACTGGGTTTTTTTTGTTTGTTTTTTTTGAGATGGAGTCTTGCTCTGTTGCCCAGGCTGGAGTGCAGTGGTGCGATCTCGGCTCACTACAAGCTCCACCTCCCAGGTTCATGCCATTCTCCTGCCTTAGCCTCCAAAGTAGCTGGGACTACAGGCGCCTGCCACCTCACCTGGCTAATTTTTTTTTTTTTTGTATTTTTAGTAGAGACAGGGTTTCACGGTGTTAGCCAGGATGGTCTCGATCTCCTGACCTCGTGATTCACCTGCCTCAGCCTCCCAAAGTGCTGGGATTACAGGCGTGAGCCACCACACCCAGCCAGCTCTTACTCTTATTTTAGTTTGCTCTTCATCTTCCCCACCAAGGGAAACCTTACCTGATATCCCTAAATATGAAAGGCTTTCATAACAGTGCATAGCTTTTCTCTGTATTTATAATATTGTTTTTAGGTTTTTATATTTTTATTACTATTTATAATAGATACATCTGAGCATGCTCTTTGATAATAAGTCTAATAAAGTTTTGATGCATTTAGTAATTCAGTACAAAATTGTTTTCTATAAGCCATGATTCTAGAGATTGAGGGGAAAGTGCAGTGGTAATCTGTCCCAAATGGAAGGACAAATAGCCAAGCAATGTTGACCTACCCATTCACCTCTCAAAAACAGGGTTAAGATATTGATTCTCCTGTTTTCAGGATGAAGCAGGGACAGGGAGTTTCTTGTTATCCTCTCAACTCACTCTTTTTATGGAAAAAGTAATTAATCTGATAAATGACACAAAAGATTTTGATGTTCATTAACAAGGTGGTGATTCCAAGAAGTTGAAATAAAAAGACTTCAGAGCCCATCTCTCTTAATCACTATCTTTGGTCTCTTGAGGATGCTTGTGCACAAAATAGGGAGCACCCATGTAAGAGCTGCATAGGCAGGCTCAGTCCAGCGACTGGTTTCATAAATCCAACTTTTCCAAGCATGATGGAATGTCAGAATCCCATGAGCCAAAAGTTTTATGATGAGAGAGGAAGAATGATATTTTACTCCCCAATCTAATTTTAAAATTAAATTTTAATAAAGTTAACAAACCTGAATACACACACACACATGCATATACCCACGCATATGCACGCAGGCTTCTTGCATTCTTTTTTTTGTTTAATCATTCAGGAGAAATGGTTGGATTTTGTATTTTCTATCTACCAATACTTGCACAAACTCTGGCTGCAAAACTTTTGTTGGTCAAACATTAGCATTTGGGAAACCACATCCCTGCTGAGAGATAGAAGATCTTGATACAGCCTTAACTACATCATCAGTAGACATGGGACTGTTTTTAACCAGAAGGAGGCAAATGTCTTCCAGATGGTTGTGTAGCTGGTTTTAACAGTAGCCTGCAGTGGCTTTTTGACAGACATAAACCTTACTAGTTATTATTAGGTTTCAGAGCATTAGTATGAAATTTTAATTTGCTTATGTTAGGGATGAGAAGGTAGCACTATCCTAGATGCCCTAAATATTGCTCCTTGTCACTTTTTCCACACGGAATTCAGAGGTAATCTGGGGACTGTGTCTAAAATGCTCTTATATTCATGTGTTTGCCATGGGTTTCTGAAGCTTTCATTCTGAACATGGTCTCAAGTTGGCTCTTGAGGGCTAATTTCATTACACATGATCATAGGCATAAATTTAAATTTGTGGAGGATTGTTTTGTACACCCCACATGAAGGGGTGACCTTCCCCTCCACACCTGTGGGTGTTTCTCATTTGGTGGGATGAGAGACTGAGAAAAGAAAGAGACACAGAGACAAAGTATAGAGAAAGAAACATGGGCCCAGGGTACCGGCACTCAGCATATGGAGGATCCACGCTGGCACCAGTCTCTGAGTTCCCTCAGTATTTATTGATCATTATCTCTACCATCTCAGAGAGGGGGATGTGGCAGGGCAATAGGGTAATAGTGGGGAGAGGGTCAGCAGGAAAACATGTGAACAAATGTCTGTGTGCCATAAACAAGGTTAGAAGAGGTGCTGTGCTTTGAGGTGCATGTACATAAACATCTCGGTGCATTAAAGGGCAGTATTGCGGCCAGCATGTCTCACCTCCAGCCTTAAGGCAGTTTTCTCCTTATCTCAGTTGATGGAACATACAATCGGGTTTTACACTGAGACATTCCATTGCCCAGGGACAAGCAGGAGACAGATGCCTTCCTCTTATCTCAACTGCAAAGAGGCCTTCCTCTTTTACTAATCCTCCTCAGCACAGACCCTTTATGGGTGTCTGGCTGGGGGATGGTCAGGTCTTTCTCTTCCCACAAGGCCATATCTCAGACTATCACTTGGGGAGAAACCTTGAACAATACCTGGCTTTCCTAGGCAGAGGTCCCTGCAGCCTTCCGTAGTGTGTAGTGTATTTTGTCCCTGGGTACTTGAGATTAGAGAGTGGTGATGACTTTTAACAAGCAAACTGCCTTCAAGCACTTGTTTAACAAAGCACATCCTGCATAGCCCTAAATCCATTAAACCTTGAGTCAACACAGTGCATGTCTCTGCCAGCACAGGGTTGGGGGTAGGGTTACAGATTAACAGCATCTCAAGGCAGAAGAATTTTTCTTAGTACAGAACAATATGGAGTCTCTTATGTCTACTTCTTTCTACATAGACACAGTAACAGTCTGATCTCTCTTTCTTTTCCCCACACCACAGAATCTGGATTCACTACCAAGAGACTGTAGCATTTATCAAAAAGAAGATAAAGAGAAATAAGAGTTCTTGTTGTCTAGGGAATATATCATCTTCTTTAGGTAATGCTTATTAATGCTCCTCAAAATAGCTAGAGCATTCAAGCTTTGTAACGAGTTCACAATGAGAGAAGTAGCTTCTACTAGAAATTAAATGTTACTTCTTTCATTGAGTAACTATTGCTACAAGAATATGTTTGCTGAATAAATTAGCACATTTATTGACATAATTGATTTGCATACTGTGGCAGCACTTCATGGAGCAAACCTTAAGTCCCATGAAAAATTGAATAGAATTATTTGACGGCTAAGTATCATCGGAAAAGCCTGGCTCTAGTTCTCAGGAAGCAATCTGGTTGATTATGTGTTTTCAGTGTGTAGTCATAAAACAACTGTATATCACTAGTGTACATTAGACACTTTGTGCACTCTACATATATTTTCTCATTTGATCCTTCAATACATGCATAAGAGAAGAAATATACGTAGATTTAATTGCTCCACTAGGGTCAAAGACCAAAAACCTCATTACAATGCCAATGTTAGAAATTCTTCTTCCAATTAAAATAAAGCTACCAAAGACAATTGCTCCTGCCATAATGAGAAAATATTGGATGAACTTAAAAAAATTATTATTTTTTTGTTTAAAGCCATCAAAAAACTGTGTGCCTAAAGTTTCAATGAACTAAATTTCAGAGAAAAACAAGCCCTTCCTTGGTGATCACAGATTAACAACAGAGCCCATCTCTGGGACATTTGCTGGATCTGGGGCCTTGAGTAGGTAGAAGAACAAGCCTACAATGTGCAGAAACAGCTGGAACATTGGGAATAAGCAAAATAATCTACAGGGAATTGCAAGAGGGACTGAAAACTAGAAAGATCATGTGTTCTCCTCGCACTTACTTATTTTCACTTAAGAGACAGGTTCTCATTCTGTCACCCAGGCTATGGTGCAGTGGAATAACCATTGCTCACTGCAGCCTCAAACTCCTCCCTCAGGTGATCCTCCTGCTTCAACCTGTCCAGTACATGGAACTACAGGTGCACGACATCATGCTTGGCTAATTTTTAATTTTTTGTGTGTGGACACAAAAACCAACTAGGTTGCCCAGGCTGGTCTAGAACTCTTGGCCTCAAGTGTTCTTCCTGCCTTGACCCCCACCCACTCCAAACACTGGGATTACAGGTGTGAGTCACCACATCTGGCCTCCCCTGGCATTTAGATACTAAACTGTTGGAAAAATGAGTAAAAAATAAATATAAGTAGCATTTTGAGTATTTTCTTCCCGTACACCCATGGATTGTTTAGTGTATCTTACTACTTCACATAGGAGACCATTCCTGCATCAAACTATGTAAACTAAGTATTTAAATTTGATTTTTGCCCTACAATAGGCTCTATGCTAAAGCTCATTATATTTGATTTTGACAATCTGTTTTTATACCACAGTTGCAAAAAATTAATCACATTCTTTACTTCATGAGACTATCATTATTGTTTCCTACAAGTTTCTCTGGTTTTACTTGTTTCATTTTTAAATTCCTTATCCCTTGTCACAGACAGGCATGCTAATGTGTTTGATATAGGTTCTTTACTCTTAAAGAATTCTTACAAGATAAGAAGGTTGTTTTCTGAGTGTGTGTATGTGTATATACATGAGTGTATACATTTTGCTTAAAGAGTATTGTGCTATAAATCTAATTTTATTTCTAATTTTTTCACAGAGCATAACATCCTTCATACATTCCCACATTGCTGTAGGTTATTTTTGGTTGTTTATTCCCCTGTAGCTGCTGCATAGTTTTCAATAAAATGAATCAACCACATTTTCCCTATCCAGTCTTGTAGTAGAATTCACACTGATATCCTGCTACTGAAATATTCACTTCCTTATGGTATCCTTATGAAAACACTTTTTGGTCATGTGTCACAATTTGTCAGGGGCTGTGTTAGTCTCTTTGTATTGCTATGAAGACATACCCAATCCTGGGTTATTTATTTATTTATTTTTTAATAAAAGAGGTTTATCTTGGTTCAGGGTTCTGCAGACTGCACAGGAAGCAATGATATCTGCTCTGGGTGAGGCCTCAAGAAGCTTAAAATCATGGCAGAAGGTGAAGGGGAGCCAGTGTGTCACATGGTCAGACAGGGAGTAAGAGAGAGAAGGGGGCAGTCCCAGGCTATTTCTAACAATCAGTTCTCTCATGAACTCACTGAGAACAACTCACTCAAGTGGATTGTGCTAAACCAAGCTTGTCCAACCCACAGCTTGTGGGCTGAATGCAGGTCAGAACAGCTTTGAATGTGGCCCAAATTTGTCAACTTTGTTAAAACAAAAGAGAGTTTGTGTATGTGTGTGTGTGTGTGGGGGGGGTCTTTATTGATTTATTTATGTATTTATTTATTTTAGCTCATCAGCTATTTTTAGTGTATTTTATGTGTGGCTCAAGAAAATTCTTCTTCCAATGTGGTCCAGGGAAGCCAAAAGGTTGGACATTCCTGTGCTAAACTATTCATAAGGCATCCACCCCATGATCCAATACCTCTCACTGGGCCCCACCTCCAACATGGGGGATCACATTTCGGCATGAGATTTGGAGGGGACACACATCCAAACTATATCAGGTATATGTACCCATCATTGAGACAGGTTGTAGAGTATGCATACTTTCAAATGGGTCCTGTCATGTTATTTTCTGAAATGGTTAAAACCATTTAATTTCCCATCCATTGCCCATAAAGGTTGTTTTCCTCATATCCTCATCACTCAATGTTATCTAGGATTCTTATACTTTCTAAGCAAGTGGTGAAAATACAGATCTCATTTTATTTGTGTACATTTGCATTTGTCAGATTGTTAACAATGTATTGAATTTTTTGGCCCATTTTTCTATTGAGTTTACTATCTTCTTTGTTCATCTGAATATCAATCATATTCACTTTGCCCTAAGCAGTGTCAACATTTTCTATTACTCTGTCATATATCTGATAATTTCATATGCCAACATTTACTGAAATGAGTCTTTATGATTTTTATACTTCTTCTAGAGTTTATGTATTTAATTAAATTTGTTGGTTTAGTATATATTTTATTAAACTGTAACAACAGTCCCAAATCTATGTTTTGCTGGGTTCATTCAGATTTAGAACTCAGATAACTTTTTGGAGGATAAATTCTTTTTATCATAATGAAGAATGGCTATCATAATGCAATATGATTACTTCTGCCAATGTTTATTGTTTTATAGTCTACTTTGTTTCTGTGGTCAGGAGGACAAGACCTGAATGGCCTTGACCAACTCAGCTTTCTGTACCTCCTAGTTCTCAGAATAATTTTAGAATGCTCCAAGAAGACAATATCCTGAGATGAGTAGAAACTGTCTGGGACAGTCTGGGCTCTGTCCTTATTGTTCCTAGAACAGGATATTACTGCAGCCCTTAAACTCAAAGAGCCAAGGTGCATGTGGGGTGTGAAACCTAGGGTGGAGCACTCATGGGTTCCTCAGTGCAGTACACAGTGGGGCATGTGCAGAGGAGACTCCGTCAACCCTGGGCAACTTTTCTGACCTCAAGGGTCAGGCTTGCCATAGAACTTAATGGTTTTGCTGATTCTTCCTGCTCCTCTGTGAGTAATAAATTTGGTTTGCCTGACTTACTGTGTGAGCATTCTTCTGTTTCTGGCAGCTTGGTTTATATAAAAAACCTCCTACTAGACCTATGAATCTATGCAATGTGGAAGTGTCATAGAGGTAAATAAGAAGCAACTTAACTGAGCTAAAAACTAACATGCATAACAAGGGGCCACTGCACCAAGGAGCAAAATGATCCTGCCAAAAAGTCACATGTGACCATTCCAGACATACTGTGGAAGAAGAAGGATGCTGAAACTCACAGAGATCTGAAGATCTTACCCAAGCCAACAGGAGGCTAATAAAGCAAGAGAATTCCACTGTACTTTGATTCGAGAATACAAGCTTCATCTCAGAGAAGAGCAATGCAATGGCCCCAGCGATCAGACCAGAGAGACCCTCTGCCACAGAGAAAGCAGAGGTCTAGAGAACAGCATGAAGACAATAAGAGACTTCAGATTCACTTTCCCTTTGCCTTGAGGCCACAGAAAGCCCAAAGCATCTGAACATCTTCCTGGAGGCATTTAACTAAAAGAGAGCTATTGAAAGTTGAAGAAAAATGTGAATCAAGAAGCTAAATTTAAAGATATATTACTTTCTCCAACCCTCCCCCACCAATTAACCATAGGATGAGTCTAGTGAGATAAAGCATATCATTTATACAAAATACAAAAGTTATATGTTCTTTATGTGAGCAGAAATATGTTCAAGCTTTACTCAATAAAGGTATTTTGTTTCACTACTAGAAATGGTAATTTTCACTTGGTCATTACTTTATTTTATAATTATCTCTATTTAAATTAGTATCAGCTCACTCCTGGGTATCCCCCTAGAGGAAAAGAAGTCATATGAAAAAGACACATGTATGCACATTCATAGCAGCACAATTCACAGTTGCAAAAATGTGTAACAAGGTTAAATGTCTATCAGCCAATGAGTGGACAAAGCAAATGTGTTATAGATACACCATGGAATACTACTCAGCCCTAAAAAGGAATCAAATAATGACACTTGCAGCAACCTGGATGGAGTTAGAGATGATTATTCTAAGTGAAGTAACTCAGGAATAAAAAACAAATATTATATGTTCTCACTTATAAGTGGGAGCTAAGCTATGAGAGAGTGAAGGCATAAGAATGATTTAATAGACTTTGGGGACTCAGAGGGAAGGTTAGGGGGGTGAGGGATAAAAGACTACACATTGGCTACAATGTACACTACTCGAGTAATGCGTACACCAACATCTCAGAAATCACCACTAAGTAACTTTTCCATGTAACCAAAAACCACCTGTTTCCCAAAAACTATTGCAATAAAGTAATATATATGAAAACAATCAACATGATAGTCTTGAAGTGCAACATTCACTGGGTTTCATATGGGAGAAAAACAGCTAAAATCAAACACATGGACAGGCAGTCAGAACAATGTCCATCATATACATAGTAAAATTAATACAAGGACAAACATTCATGAGTGGAGTCCATTTGAATTAGACTGTAGTGAAGACATGTGCCTTAGGGCACACATAACTCATGTTAGGGAGAAAATGTATAATTTTACTCAATGTGAAAACATCTTCAGAAATAACTCAGGCCATGCTGTCCAGATGCAGTCCTGTTCTGTAGAGATGAAGAATAAGAATCATCAAAGTGGAAAAACCTCTGTCCCTTCTCCAAATTCTTGTCCACACAGGAGTAGTACTACTGGAGAGAAAAGCCATACATGTCCCAAATGAAGGAAAGCCTTTACGTTATCAGTCATTTCTTATGAGACATATGAAACTTCACACTGGAGAGAAACCTTATGAATGTAACAAAAGTGAGAAAGGCTTTAGATATTCCCTACACCTTAATAAACATTTAAGAAAGAACATTCTGGAGAAGCCCTATGGATGTAAGGAATGTGGGAAAGCCTTCAAGCAAGGCTCAAAACATGCACATATAAGGAGTCACACTGGGAGAAACCCTATAAATGTGATAAATGTGAAAAAGACTTTGCAAAGTCACCAGAATTAAAAGCCATCTTAAGATTCACAATAGTGAGAAGCCCTGTGAGTGAAAGGCAGGGAAATCATCATTAATTTTTCACCGTACTGAACATGTGAGGAGGACATACTGGAAGGGAGCTCAATGAGTTAACACGCTTGAGAACATCTTTCCTGAACTCTCCTATCTTACAGAAGTGTGAAAAGAAACCCTCTGAAGGTAAAGTCTATGGAAAGCCTTTCATCTTCATTCATCGTGAGTAGATATTTGTTCTCACACTGGAGAGAAGCTATGAAAGTAAGGAATATGAAAAAAGCCTCAGTGTTGTCTCAGACTCATAGTTCATACAAGAACTCACACAGCAGAGACTGCTTATGGAAGTAAAAAATGCAGAAAATACCTCTTTAAACACTATCCCTCCTTTATACATGATTCCACACCCTGGAGGGAGACTACAATTGAATAAATATAAGAAAGCTTTCAGTTCCAGCTCTTCACTTATTGGGCATGAATGAGCACAGGGTAGGACTGAAGCACAGTAAACGTTAACAATTATTGCCTTTAGCATTGTCTTATCCCCCAATTAGAACTCAAATTCATAATTTTGTAGTTTTTCCTTTCTTAAAAAATGTTATAAGATGACAGATATCTGTCTTAGCAACCTTTCCGCTCTGCCACCTTAATGTTGCTATGTAGTAGCTTTGTTACAATTCATTTACATACACATAGTTTCATTTTCAATGGGAAGCCCTTCTGAGCTCCATTCAATTTAGATTTAGAATTCGTATGCTCCATGACACCTTTTTTGTCAGTTTGTTTTTGTTGGTCACAATTTGACTGCATTATGGTCCCATTATGTGGTTTTAATGGTACTGATTTGGTGTACCTGTTATGACTTTCATTTTGGTCTAATGTGGCCAATGCTGTCCATTTCCCTGCTATATCCATTATTCTCATCTTCTTCACTAAGGGAACATAGATTCACTTTTTCCAAGGAGCACTGTTTAAATGTCTTTATTTATTTATTTATGCATATTTTATTATTTTACAATTTTTTTTTGAAAAATGGTCTCACTCTGTCTCCCAGGCTGGAGTGCAGTGGCATGATCAGAGCTCACTGCAGCCTTGAACTCCTGGGCTCATGTGATCTCCCAGCTCAGACTCCTGAGTAGGTAGGACTGCAGGCATAACAGGTGTGCACCACCACAACCAGCTTTTGTTTTGTTTTGTTTTTGTAGAGACTGGGTCTCTTTATGTTGCCTGGACTGGTTTCAAATTCCTGTGCTCAAGTGATTCTCCCACATTGGCCTCCCAAATTGCTGGAATTACAGGCATGAGCCACCATGCCTGGCCCTGGTTAATGTCTTTAAATGAGTTTCCCAGTTTTTCTCGTAACTGTAGTGAGCAAATTTTATAGTCCTGGCCAATGTGAAATGCAGAATTCACTGCTTTGGATTTCTGAAAATCTGTTTGGAAAGGGGAGAGTTATTGTTCCTCTTTTTTGTTGACCAAGTTCCCTTTGCTCTCTCTGCTTGCTGCTGTCTGGAAATAGGATGAAATGCCCTGAGTTGGATTTAGCAACTTGAAGACCATTGGAACGATTGTCCCTACAACAAAACCTTCAATCTACAAGATTTCTCCCTCCCCAATGGCATGTTGTGTATCCCTGGCTGCCCTGGACTATTTCTGGACTTGTTTCATGAAACTAACCCCTAGTAGAACTAAGAAACATTTTAGGAGAGAAGTTTATAACAGATTAAATGATAAACCTAAAAAATGAATAAAACATATTATAAAAATAAAGAGGATAGACAAAACGGGCTTGCAGATGCTGACTGGCCACACTCATCCTTGGCGCTTGCCCCCATGGATGCCTCACTCACTGTGACACTTGGAGAGCTGGCAGCCATCACTCGAAAATCAGAACACAGTGGCCTCTACTGCAGCATCAGGGAACAAAAACTAAGCCTGTCAGCTCTCAAGAAGCATACTTATGTGTATATATATATAAATATATATATATGTATATATATATGACATAAATTTATTCAGGGACTTTGAGTTATCTCATGCTAAACAGATAAAATGAATTAAAACTAGTGCAAAGTTATGGCAACAGTACTCCCCATTATTTATGCAGGGCGTTGAAAATTGGCACACATCACAGATCCTTAAGTCATTCTCTGAATCAGGAGGAGAAAAGAGAACAGAGAGAGCTCACTATATGTGCCAGTCACTGGACTGAGTGCTGCGCCTACAGGATCCCACTTGATGCTTGCAATAACCCTGCAAGATAAAGGTAAAAACTCACACAAACACACTCACACACACAAAAACTCACACACACACTCTCACGCATACATACACACACATAAACTCACACATACACACGCATGCTCAAGCACACACTAGAAACTACAGAACAAAAAAGCATTGACAACTAATAGAAGTATAGTGCTGGCCAAGCAAAGTGGCTCGTGCCTATAATCTCGGCACTTTAGGCCAGGAGTTCAAGACAAGCCTGGGCAACATAGCAAGACACCATCTGCACAAAACATTTTCTTAAATAAACATCATTTTTAAAAAGAGGTATAATGCCTACAGGCTCAGGGAAGCAATACCCCTATGGCTGTATGGTAAGCAGCAGGCAAGGCTATTTTTCAGACCAAAGTGGTAGTGACTCCAGGGTTCCTTTGCACACTTAGCCAGGAGACTAGCTAGCTCAGCACTGCCTGGGTTCACTTTACCCTTCTACAGTTCTAAAGCTCTGGCAGGTGGGACCTAAGCATCACAGAAAGTGCTATTATGAAGGACTCTCTTGACTGCAAGTGACTGAAACGTAACTGGATCCAGCGGAACATTGAATTATTTGGCTTTACTTACTAAAAATGTACATGAGTTAGATGGGCTTCTGTCTCAGTGGGATCAGGGGTCAACTAATATAAACCAAGGCTCATTCTGTCCCTTCATTTCCTGTGTCAGCTCTGCTTTTCAGGCAGGCTGTTTTGAGAGAGCAGCAAAAATGGCCCCATAAAGTTCACATCACTTACTTCCTTACAAATAGATATGCCAATAAAAAGAAAGCACCTCATTCCCAGCAGTTTCATCAAAAGTTCAGGGATGACTTCCATGAGCCCAGCTTGGATCACATGACCACTCCTGAATCAATTACCCTGCCGATCTGATTGCCCAGGGTGGGTCAGCCTTCCCAAATCACATGGACTAGTATTGAAAGAGAGGTCCTCCCATGAAAAAAAAAAAAAAAAAAAAAAAGGAAGAGTAGTGGCAGAGGAATATGAGTGGGGGGGGCCTCATCTCTATATAAAAAGTATGAGCGTACTTGTGCTCTTTTGTACATTCATTTGTATAGTCACTGGGGAAAAAATGAGAAAAACCCAAACACGGCTTTCTATATGCCTCTGTGCTTTGTTTTCAACACTGAGCTGTGAGAAATCTAGTTATTAAAACAAAACTTTGAAAAAATATAACAATTTGGGACAATGGGGACACTTAGCTGATGCAGCACAGGTGAGCAGTTCTTCTTTTGTGCCCAAGAGGACACAATTCCCAGGAGGCTGCATGTGGTCTCCTAGGACAAGCCTGTGGGCACCCACTGGCTGCAGTTCCACCTTTCCTTCCCTGGACTCTCAGGAAGACATGAGTTCTGGATTCAGCTGAATTGAGCTCAAGTTCAGGCTCTGTGACTCACTGGCTCTGTAATTCTGGGTAAGTCTCTTGCTCTCCTTGAGTCTCATATCCTCCTTGGTAAAATGGAGAGGTAGAGCTATTGTTAGATTTTGAAGGCAAGGCGAGGGTTAAAGAAAGACAGAGAAAGACAGTTGGCGGCTTCAACAGCAACACCTTTATTACTAGCAAAACCCTGCAGAGGAGGAAACCAGCTTACTGCCAGCACCAACTGCCTCTCACAGGCTGGGGTGATCATGGGACTGGGAAGGAGGGGTCTGGGCTGTAGAGCTTGCTGCCCGGCAGGATATGGCAAGGATGTTCCTGCAGTCAGGCTGTTGGGCCTTTGCCCGGGAGGGTGCGATAAGGATGTTTCTACAGTCAGGTGATCAGGAAGGATGCTTCTCACGGCCCGAGTTCCCAAGGAATGTTTCATTCTGACCAGGGTGTGCAAAATGGCTGCAGGTTTACAAAATGGTACAGGTTAGACTAACAGCAACATCTCCCAGGTAGACAGTTCTATAAAGTAAACTTCCCTTGAGCACCTACACTGTACCAGACATGGTGCTAGGACCCAGGCCACAGGAGGAATAGGACAGATGAGGCCCCTGCCATCCTGGTGCTCATGCCTGATGAAGGAAGCTAACAGGTCGCAAGACCAGGTCATGTGGTGGTGGTAATGAAAGACATTACCAGAGTGAGATGAGCTAGAAAGAAACTGAAGGAGCTGTTCCAAACACAGTGACAGGGAGAGACCCCTCCAAGAGGTGACTTTTGAGTAGAAACCTGAGATATGTGGAGAGGCCATGGAGAAGGACCAGCCCCTGAAGCCATCCCAGGATTAAAGACCCAGCAGCAGGAGGGCAATAGAATGGCCTGACCTGTGCATCCTTCATGCTTCCTTCCTCAGTGGTGCCCAAACAGAAACATGGGACAATTCTGTGCAGGTCCATGGAGGGAGCAGGAAGCAGCCGCAGTGAAGAGCCATGGTGGGGATGAAATCTGGCCCAACAGTAAAGCTAGAAGCAGGTGCTGCTTACCAATGACCGCAACACAGGTCATGAAGGATAACCAGTCCCTGAAGGCATGTCCAGGGCCAGACCAGCTGGTTGGGCTGCCAGCATCTTAGTAGAGATCCCAGGGGATCAGATGAGCTGGTTAGGGGGAGAAAAAAACAGGAAACCTTCAAAAAGTTCCAGAGGACCCATGACACTTAGAATGAACTTCCCCGGAGTGGGATCTGTTTGGCATTGCTGGTCCTAAAGAGTTGGTCTCACCATCCCCACCTGCCCATTGTCCCAACAGGGACCCCACTCAGGGTGGGGTCCACAGAAACAATCCCTGTGGAAGGGAAAAGGGTGTTTCCCATCCAAAACCAAGGGAGGACACCCACAAAACACCACTCATAAGGAGCAGAGGGCCCTGCAGAGAGAGACAGGTTTCTGCTGCTCTTTTGGGTATCTGCTTCCCAGAGGGGAAGGGGACCATGCAGGATAGAGGGGCTAAGTGGACCCTGGGCTGTGGGGCTAGGGGAGCTGTTGCTGGCTCACTGTTGGAGGTGAGCCACAATAGGAGGCTTAGAACCCTGCCCTGCAACCTCTCCAATCTAATAAGGAGATGGTAGTGTGGTTAGTGGGGGCATCCAGATGCAGTCAAAGGGCACAGGGAGTGATGTGTCCCCTGGCCACCTCTTTCAGCTGTAGATTCTCCCTCTGAGTTACTGGAACAGCTTCTCCATGGCCCCATCAGCCTGGAGTGTGGTGACAGCTCCCAGATGATGCTAACCCCAGGGCCTTGCACCTTCCTCATGGTTCCCCTTGGCCCAGCCCACACGTTTGTAAACAGCTTTTTCTTAATGATCTTTCAGCCACTTCGAGGTCCCTGCCAGCACCTGACTGCCACATTCCCCAAAGGGACCAGACTCCTCGGCACAGTAGCTGAGGTTTCTATAGGCACAGAGAAAACACTGTCCCAACTGTTGGAATGGAGCTGGGAGTGGAAAAAATAATGTTTTTTCTCAATGCTTAGACTTACCAATTGCTTCATTTTATCACATGAAGGCTGTGTGGCACTTTGAAGTAGAATTAGTAATTTACATAATTACAAATTATGTTTTGTTTTTTTTTTTTTAGATGGAGTCTTGCTCTCTCACCCAGGCTGGAGTGCAGTCGTGCCATCTCGGCTCACTGCCAGCTCCACCTCCCGGGTTCATGCCAGTCTCCTGCCTCAGCCTCCCAAGTAGCTGGGACTATAGGTGCCAACCATCATGCCCAGCTAATTTTTTGTGTTTTTACTAGAGACGGGGTTTCACCAAGTTAGCCAGGATGGTCTGGATCTCCTGACCTCGTGATCTTCCCGCCTCGGCCTCCCAAAGTGCTGGGATTACAGGCATAAGCCGCTGCGCCTGGCTACAAATTATGTTCTTAAAAGAAGCTGCTCAGTGCCATGCCTAACACAAGATGGAATTCCACGATGAGATATGTGTGAAGACAGGGTGCCATGGTTACAAACAAGGACTCCAGGTGCAGACTGTTTGGTTCAAACCTGGACCAGCGGTATGAATTTTTGCAACTCTCTGTATTGCTCTTTGCCTCAGTTTTTTCATATAACAACTAGAAGTAAAAACAAGGTTATTGTGAAAATTAAATGAATTAAAGTAAGCGGAGTGCCTACAACACCCCCAGGCACACGGTCAGCACTGAGCATGTTTTTCATTACTACTCTTAATGAGGTAAGAATGAGAAAACAGGCGCCAGCCATGAGCCTGGGGTTTATCTGGCAAAGGCATCAGAGACCCCACTTTTAACATCCTCCATTCATTCATTTGACCCTGATAAGGAAGGAGTCTCATGAGAGAGGAGCAAGCCTCCACCTTGGGGCCAGACATCTCATGATCAAAGTTGAACTCTACCACTGTTCAGCTGGGTGACTTTGGGCAAGTGACTTTCCCTCTCTGATCCTCATGTCCCTTTTTGATAAAAACAGCAAAATGTCAGGCCTATGGGGATTCAAGGAGCCAAAATAAAAATGTGTGTCTTAGTCTGAATTTCCTGGAAGTAGATCCTGAGGCAAAGATTCAAATACAAAAATTTTGTTTGGAGATAACTCTAGGATATTAATTCGACTGCCAGTTCTTCCTTAGGGTGCTAATCCCAGGAAACATCAGTGGAGGAGTGGGGAACTGAGACAGGAAAGGAATGCAGCAGTTAAAGGGACCTTCATCAAGAAAGTTTCCACTGTGGCAGCCAGGACTCAGCCCTGCCAGGTACCTCTGAGAGACAGCACAGAACATGTGCTTCAGAGTCGTCATACCCAGAGCAAGGGACCAGGGGTATTTATTCACCAATACCCACCAGTCACTCCTCAGGGATCCTCCCAAGGGCATGATTCCTCCAGAATGTCCTGCCTGCGCTGCAAGGGTCAGACCTGGGATTGAGGGCAGGACCCCTGACAGCGCTTCCAGCAATGAGCAGAACGACAGCTTGATGTGTACAGTTTCAGTCACCCAGTAACTCCAACACACACACACACACACACACACATTCACACACCACACTCCAACACCAACAAAGTATATACGTACATACACATACATGCATACATGACTGTTACCCACTTAGATCCTAGTGACTCCATGGGATAGACGATAAGGTGGGAATCAGAGGAAAGAGTAAAATTAAGGCGAGTGAAAGTCTTAAGAACAAAATGCAAATTTAGGCTGAAAATGAAGGGGGAGGAGGTGTGGTCTCGACACCAAATGCCTGCTGGGTGGCACATGCTCTACACACACTGTCACTAATTCTCCAAGCAGCCTCATGGAGTAAAAGAAATTCCTCTCAATGTACAGATGACAGAAACATAGTTCAGAAAAGAAAACTGATTTTACTAATGTCTCAGCAAGTTAGTGGGTGACATGGAGTCCCAGATCTTTCTGTCCACAAAGCCTACAAATTCTCCCTTGTTAGGCAGGCTGGGTACCAGGCCCTGCTTCTGGGCTCTGCTTCTTTTCCTGCTAGGCTAAACCGGCAGAACTGACAGAGACATCATCCCCCTTCTCCACCTGGAGCAGAGCCAATGAGAGGGGCTGGGGAACAGCCATGAGGCCTGGCACCCACCATTAAATGTCTTCAGAATTGCCATCCCTCAGAACTCTTGCACCACGAGGTGGCAGCACTCCCAGTGTCTGGGTGTCTTCTGAGGGGTACCAGGATCCAGTAGAGGCCACTGGCTGTGCTGTCATATCCTAAGTGGCAGCCAGGCAGGCTTGGGTCTCTTGGCTGCTTCAGCACCAGAGGTTGGACAGTGCCCATGCACTGAGTCCCTCAGGAGAATGGGAGGGAAAGGAAGGGCAGAATGGAGTGACGTAGGGTCCATCCACCATGTCCCTGGATGGAGAGACCCCTGTTCCCACAGTAGTCCACACCAGGACCACGATTGGCACTCACGAAGATGCCAGCCTCCATGTATATGTCCTTGTCTGACAACTCCTCCTTATTTTCATCCTGGAGACAAGAACCCTGAACACAGTAGCTCTGAGGGCACCTGAGTGTAACCCGAGACAGTCCCTGAAGTCCTTTCATCCAAGCAGGATCCCTCCCTTGCCATCTCCAGACCTGCCCCACAAACTCCCTCCCTGGTCTCCTGGCTCTTGTTCACTCCTTCCAGGCAGCCTTCCACAGTCATCTCTAAAACATATATGACTGTCCCTCCTTTATCCAGCACCTTCCATGGCTCCCCAGAGCCCTCCAGGTCAAGTTCAAGTTCTTCGATCAGACACTAGATCTCAAGCTGCATTCTACCTTTTGAATTAAGATCCCGGAGAAGCCCACCTTGCTCAGCACAAACGCATCACTGAAGTCGAAAATCTTGAACGTGGCCTTGGCATTGAGGAAGTCATCAACACCCTGGCTAGTGAGGGTGCAGTGCCGCTCCAGGATGATGGTGTCTAAAGTTGTGCCCCAGGTCGCAGGCCCTGCAGAAGCATCTCCCCTCAGGAGTGAGGTAGTACAGGAAGTCTGTGCACAGGCAGATCTGCTGGTGCTCTTACACTATGAGGGCACTGAGCTCCAAGATGGTGGCAATATATTCACTGGGATTCCTGCACGGTGAGGTTGGAGAGAGGAAGCATCTCCATAACACATATGAAACCCTGGAAGCACTTCCCAGCCAGAAACTCAGGACCACGTTATATGCAGATACGGGTGCCCTCTGAGCACACTTGTCTCTCTGTCTCCCACTCTGAGCTGCCTCCTGGCCCCACATGCCCCAGCCTGGCCAAGGGCTTAGCCCAGTGGGTGTTCAGTCCATGGTGTTGACTGCTCCCTGGGCCAAGAGAACCCTTGGTGCTCTGTGACTCCTCCTGTGGAACCCCTACCTCTGCCTTGGGACCTCCCAATTCCCATGGAAGCCCCCACAGCTCTGGATTGCCCCACCTGCCCTGGGATCCTCCAGTCCCATAGGCCTTACTCGATGCCTTAGTCCTCCCAGAACATGACACGTTTCTCCGAATGTGGCTGATATCCAGGGCCATCTGTAGATGTTTGCTGGGGACCTCTTGCTGTTTTCCTTTATGGTCTGTAGGGCAGGGCCAAGAGGAGAAACCAGCCCAATCTCAGAATGGACAAAAGGCTCACTGCCCTAACGGCAACCACCAAACAGTCAGCAGTGCTTCTGGATGGAAAAGAGGTTTCATTCTGCAGAAAGCTCCTTGTTTGGCTTCTTTCTGAAGCCAGGGAGGGGTACCAAGACCAGCTTACCTGCGGTGCCTACATTAGCATCTGTGCCTAGGATGTGTGATGGGCTCCCACTGCAGGGTTGACATTCCCTCCAGCTGGAGACCTAGGTTCCTGACACCACCTGGCGTGTTTGTCCTGCTCTGGATGATGGTGGAAAGGCTGTATCTGGTATTTTCCTAGGTCCTTGGTTTTCACCTTCTAGACATCCAGCAGGAGTGACCATACCCAGCCCCACACCTGAAATAGGACTCCCTTGTAGAGCAGCTGAGACATCTACAGACAGAAGAGTGCTCTGGTGAGACAGGCCACAGCAGTCCCCGGGGAGGATCGGGGGCTGGAGGATTCTGGAGGTTTCCAGCCTTGGGCTCTGTGGTTCCTCAAAGAGTTTAGGTTTACCTAGGACTAGGCCTCCCCTCCCATGATTCAAAGAGTGGGTGAGTGCTATGCATCAGGAACTCTGATCTGGACCTATTTTTTCATTTAGGTCACCAAGAGACAACCCCTAACCCCCAAGCTAGGGATGGTCCAAGCTCTGGCATGAAATTCTCTTCCAGCAATGTGATGCTTGCAGGGACAGGGAGAAAAGCTGGTGACCAGGCCTGCTGTCCCCCAGGTAAGGACAGTGTGCTACCCACCCTCTGAGAGGCAGGTGGTGCCAGGTCACTGCACTGGGTGCCTGTACCCCTGGCTCTACGGACACCGGTCATGGAGGTCCTCCCCTCTCCACATTACCTTCTTGCTGCTCCTAGATTTCTTCTGGTCATTAAGCACTTTGAGCCATTTTTTTCTGTGCAGCCGATCTGATATTTTTGCTATCAGATGAAACATGACAAAGTAAGCCAAGCCACCAGGATTCCTGGAGGGAACTTTGGATGCTGTGTCTTGGGATCCAGAGCCCTGATGGGACTGAACCAGAAGGAGCCAGGGAAGGACAAACACTGGGTCTCAGGCCCTATGACCCAACGGCCATTGGTGGCCTGTCCTCATGGCCCCAAGACACCCTGTCCTCAGGCCACAGACACCATGGGCTTTGGTCAGGTCCCAGCCTCCCAGTAGTGCCCTGGCGCCGGTGGGTGCTGACCCCCAAACCACAATAGCAGTTCTGGGTTATGGGTTTGGTAAAACCACCTCAGGGAGAATTCTGGGGTTGGGTTTGGCAGGAACCACGGGGCCTCCCAGGAATGATGTGTCACTCCTACTTGCCACAAAATGTGCACAGAGGCTGTCCCACTGACCAGCCCATCCTGCTGGACAGGATGGAGGAAGTCAGGGAAAAGGCAGGGTGGACATCTGGGGTGCAGGGAGAGGCAGGTGCATGCTGGGAGGTCAGACCCTGCGAGGGCTGTGGGGGCATCAGGTGGGGTGGGCTCCAGGTGCACCCTCAATGCACTGGGTGGGTGTCTCAGGCCAGGCTCCCTGGACCCTGGTTGGCTGATGTGGTCACTTCCTGGGGGACTGCTGTCAAGCCCTGGCCACCCACCCTGGGCAGCACCATCCCATCCCAGGACCAGACTTCCTGAGTCCTGAGACAGGACAGTGCTGTCCAGGCCTGACAGACTGGGAGGACCTGCCAAGTCCTCCATCCCTAGACCAGCCTCCCACACAGCAGGGACAGTCTCTTCCATTTACCTTCAGGGCACTGACTGATCCATGTCACTCTAAGGCAACCAAGGCAGAGCTGAGGACCTGTGCCAGGCTGGGAGCCAGTCTCCTCCCTAAATGGGCCTGAGGAAAGCACAATCCCTGTCCCAATGCGCCCCAAGTTTCAGCCCAGGAGACACATAGGGAAGGGAGGACGGAGCCTCTCTGCTGGCTGACACTTGAAAAGCGGGACCTGGGAGTAGATGGAGCACAGGGCTGGCAGGGATGCTCCAGGCCCATGGAGAGCTTGGGCTGCACCAAGGGGCTGCCCCTTCTGGGCTGGAGGCTGTGTCCTCTGCAGGATCTGAGAAAGTCCAGTCCAGAGATGGGACACTGCTGCCAAGGGTGGGTGGCTGGGCCTGACAGCAGTCCCCCAGGGAGTGACCACATCACCCTACCAGGGTCCAGAGAGCCTGGACTGAGACCTGCCCAGTGCACTGAGAATGCACCTGGAGCCCACCCCACCTGACGCCCCCACAGCCCTCACAGGGTCCGATCTCCCAGCATGCACCTGCCTCTCCCTGCACCCCTGCTGCCCACCCTGCCTGTTCCATGGCTTCCTCCATCCTGTGCAGCCCATAGACTGTGACCATCTCTCTAGCCACTCTGGCCCGTCCTTTACCTTTGTTCTTTCAGAATCTCTGAACAAGATCTCCCAGGTCCATCCAAACACCTGCTTTGTCCACTTTTGACTGGGCCATTGGACACCACTGGGCCATCCCAGCTGTCCATAGGGCCCCTGATAACATGCATTTCCCCTGACAACATGCATTTCCCCTGACACCTCCCAGCAGTGCTCAGCAGCCCCACTGACCAGGTCCCTGCTGACCAGATCCCGCACATCAGGTCCTCCCTGACCACACCCTCACTGATTAGGCCCCCATCACCAGGCCCCACTAACTAGATTCCCGCTGCCAGGCCCACAGTGTCCAGGACCCCACTGACAAGGATTTCACTGACAAGGCCTCACTGACCAGGGCCTCACTGACAAGACCTCCCTGACAAGGCCTCACTGACCAGGGCCTTACTGACAAGGCCTCCCTGACCACATTCCATCAATCATGACCCCATTGCCTGGCCCCACAGATGAAGCCCCACTGACCAGGTCTCCAGGGAACAGGCTGCCAGTGACCAGGCCCCTACTAACCAGGCCTGCGGTGACCAGATGCCCCTGACCAGAAACCTAGTGACTAGGCACCACTGAACAGGCATGTACCGCTCAGACCCCCGTTGCCCAGGTCACCCCATAGACCAGTGCTACAAAAGCCACCACTGATCAAGTCCTCTCTGACCAGGCCCCCACTGATTAGGTTCCACTGACCTGACCAGGCTGCCGTGACCAGGGTCCCACTGACAAGGGCCTCACTGATGAGGACATGCCCTGCTGACTAGGTCCCATGTGACCAGGCCTCCACTGAATAGCACCCCTTGACCGGGTCACCAGTGACCCAGCCCATTCTGACAAGGCTACCACCAAGCCACAGCTGACCAGGTCTCCACTCACCAAGCCCTGCAGCCCAGGTTTGCACTGACCAGACACCAAACATTTGTCTGCCACTAGGTCCCCACTCAACAAGACCTGCACTACTCGATCCCTCTAATGAGACCCTCTCTAAGCAGACCCTGGCTGACCATTCCCCCAGTAAATAGGCCTCATTGACCAAGTCCCAACTGACTAGTTCACTGACCAGGCCCACACTGACCAGGCCCTTCCTAATCATACCAGAAGGCCAAGTGGCAATGAGATGTTTCATATGGCAGGGGTAGGAGCAAGACACAGAGAGGAAAGAGGTACCACACCCTGTTAGACAACCAGATCACATGAGATCTCACTATCAGGAGATCAGCATCAAGAAGATCCTGCACCCACACCACCGCCCACTGTTTCCAGGCAGAAGCCTCCTGCAGAGGCCAAGCCTCTTGAGAAATTTCCACTATGGCAGTGCAGAAGGAAAATATGGGCTTGGAGCCCCCAAAAAGGAGGCCACCATCCTCCATATCCCAGATTCATAGGCCCACCAACAGCTCACACCCTCAGTATGGAAAAGCTACAGGCACTCAACACCAGCCCAGCCCATGAGAGCAGCCATGGGGCTAAAGCCTGCAAAGCCACAGGTGCACTGCCCTAGTAGAGGTTTTCCATGAGCCTCTGCCTCTGCAGAAGGCTACTCCCCCTTCCTAGTACCCCCCACCCTCCTACCACCCTACTGACAACCTACTCCTCCCCACCCTACCCCTCCTTTTCCTACCACCCCGAACCCCCTCCCATTCAAGATTAAATCACCTACCACCAGGCCCCAAAATTAAGGATTACAATTCCATGTGAGTTTTATACGGACACACAGCCAATCCATATTATTTGACCCAGATACCCCAGAACCTCATGTCCTTCTCACACAGCAAAACACAGTCATGCATTTTCAAAAGTTTCCAAAATTCTTAACTCATTCCAAATATAAAAAATTCAAAGTCTCATCTGAGACAAGGCTACAGTCCCTTCGGCCTATGAGTCCCTGAGTTCAAAAGGCATTTCTTTTCTTTCAAGATACAATGATAGTACCAGCATTAAGTAAGGTTTCTCAATCCAAAGGGAAAAAATTCCCCAGAAAAATACAAAAATGTCAGTCCAAACCCCAGCAGGACAATATTCACTCAATCTTTAAGCTCCATAATCATCAAGAGAACTCACTATCACGCAGACAGTATTAAGGAGATAGTGTTTCACCAGTTGTGAAGAATCCGTCCCCCCTCATTTTTCACCCCCACCCACAAAATAATCTCTCCTATTGTCCCCACTCCCCCACCTCCAACCCCCACTCTTCTCCATGATTAAATCATCTCCCACCAGGCCCCACCTTTAACATTCCCCATTATAATTCCACGAGAGTATTGGTAGGAACACAGGGCCAAATCATATTATTCTCACCCAGGTCCCCCCACATCTCATATCCTTGTCACACTGCAAAATACAATGATGCCTTCTCTACAGTCCCCCAAAGTCTTAACTCACTCCAGCATTTACTGAAATGTCCAAAGCCCAGTCTCATCTGAGACAAGGCTGCCATCCCTTCTGCTCGAGCCTCTGAAATACAAAGCAAGTTAACTACTTCCAAGGTACAATGATTGTAGAGACATTGGGTAAGCATTCCCAGCCAAAAGGAAGAAATTTGTCAGAAGGAAGCACAAAACACAGATGGGACTTACAGACCCCATGCAAGTCAAAAACCCAGCAGGAAAGTCATTCCATCCTACAGCTCCAAATCATCTTTTCTGAAAGGATCTACATCCCACATCTAGAGCACAAGAGTGGATGGCGAGGCTCCCAAGGCCTTGGGCAGCTCAGCTTCTGTGGCTGTGCAGGGTCTTTCCCCACAGCTGCCCTCATGGGCTGGGCTGGTGGTCAGTGCCTGTGGCTTTTCCACACTGAGGGTGCAAGCAGTTGGTGGGTCTATGAATCTGGGGTCTGGAAAATGGTTCCTCCCTGTATGGGGGCATCAACCCTGTATGTTCCTTCTGCACTGCCCTAGTAAAGATTTCCCATGAGGCTCTGCCTCTTGGAAAAGCTTCATTCCAGCTGGACACCCAGGTTTTTCCTTACATACTCTTGAGTCTAGATAAAGGCTCCCAAGCCTGTGCACCTGCTGGCTTAACACTATGTGGAAGCCACCAAGGCTTGCAGCTTGCACCCTCTGAAGCAGTGACCCAAGCTGTAACTGTGCATCTTTCAGCCATGGCTGGAGCTGGAGCTGGAGCTGCAGGGATGCAGGCGGCACTGTCCTGAGGATGGACACAGCAGCGCGACCATGGGACTGACCCAGGAAACCATTCTTCGGTCCTAGAACTCAGGGCCTGTGACAGCAAGCTCTGCTGCAAAGGTCTCTGAAATGCCTTCAAGGCCTTTTTAACATTGTCTTAGCTGTTAGCACTGGGCTCCATTTTATGCACATTTCTGAAGCCTTCTTGAATTTTCCCACTAAAAATCAGCTTTTCTTTTTGACCTCTTGGGCAGGCTGCAAATCAAACTTCAAAGCTCTGCTTCTCATTTAAATATAAGTTTCAACTTAAGGTCATTTATTCGGTCACACAGAACACCACAGGCTGTTCAATACAGACAAGATACCTCTTGAGCTTTGCTGCCTAGAAGTTCATTTCACCAGATATACCCTAAATCATCACCCTCAAGTTCAAAGTTTCACAGGTCACCAGGGCAGGGGCACCATCCAGCCAAGTTCTTTGCTAAGGCAAAAGAAAAGTAACCTTGGCTTCTGCTCCCAGTAAGTTGTTCATTTTCATCTGAGACCTTCTAAGCCTGGCCTTCACTATCCATCCTTCAGTCACCCTTTTAATTATAACTATTTAACACGTCTCTACAATAGTCAAAACTTTCATTCATCTTTCTGTCTTCTTCCAAGCCCTCCAAACTGTGCAGCCTGTGGTTGTTACCCAGCTTCTGAACCTGCTTCTGAACTTGCTTCTACATTTTCAGCTATCGTTGTGACAGCCTGGCAGTGTGGTAAAAGAAGAAAAGTCCATTTTCAGGGGGAAAATTCAAGAAGGCTTCAGATATTTGCATATAAAGGAAGCCAAATGCCAATAGTAAAAACATCAGGAAAAAAACCTTGAGGGCATTTCATAGCTCCACTCTACAGTACAAATTTTCTGTAGTATTATTTTAAAAAGAGGTTTAATTGGCTCACGGTTCTGCAGGCTGTAAAGGGAACATAGTGGCTTCTGCTTCTGGGAGGACTCAGGAAGTCTCCTACCATACCAGAAGGCCAAGCGACAATGAGATGTTCCATATGGCAGGTGTAGGAGGAAGACAGAGAGAGGAAAGAGGTGCCACACCTTGTTATACAACCAGATCTCATGAGAACTCAGTATCAGGAGATCAGCATCAAGAAGATTAACCATTGGTGAAGGATCCACCCACACCACCCCCCACTGTTTCCAGGTAGAAGCCTCCTGCAGAGGCAGAGCCTCTTGGAGAACCTCTACCAGGGCAGTGCAGAAGGAAAATGTAGGCTTGGAGCCCACATACAGGAGGCCACCATCCTCCAGACTGCAGATTCACAGACCCACCAACAGCTTGCACTCTCAGAGTGGAAAAGCTACAGGCACTCCACACAAGCCCAGCCCATGACAGCAGCCATGGGGGCTACACCCTGCAAAGCCACAGGTGCACTGCCCTAGTAGAGACTTTCCATGAGCCTCTGCTTCTGAAGCAGGTTACTCCCCCCTCCTAGTACCCACCACCCTACTAACAACCTACTCCTCACCCTACCCACCCCTTTCCTTCCATCCCCGGTCCCCCTCCCATCCATGATTAAATCACCTCCAGCCAGGTCCCACCTCCAACATTAAGGATTACAATTCACATGAGTTTTGGTAAAGAAACACAGCCAAATCATATTATTCTGACCTGATCCCCTGCAGTCTCTTGTCCTTCTCACAGAGCAAAATATATTCATGCCTTTTCAAAACTTTCCAAAAGTCTTAACTCATTCCAACAATAACTCAAATGTAAAAAATTCAACATCTCATCTGAGACAAGTCTACAGTACCTTTTGCCTATGAGTCCCTGAATTTAAAAGGATGTTCTTTCTTTCAAGGTACAATAATGGTACAGGCATTGGGTAAGCTTTTTCAATCCAAAGGGCAGAAATTTCCCAGGAAAATAACACAAATGGGACCACAGGCCCAATGCAAGTCCAAAACCCAGGAGGCCAGTATCCATTTAATCTTACAGTTCTAAAATCATGAAAAGAACTCACCATCACAAGGACAGCAATAAGGAGATAGTGTTTAATGATTTGTGAAGGATCTGACCCCCCACCCCAATTTTCACCCCTCACCCCCACCATAATTCCCCCATTTTCCCTACACCCCCATCTTCCAACCCCCACTCTGCACCGTGATTAAATCATCTTCCACCAGGACCCACCTTTAACATTCCAATTACAATTCCACATGAGTTTTGGTAGGGACACAGCTGAATTTTATTATTCTTTCCCTCACTCCCCAAATCTCATGTCCTTCTCACATTGCAAAATACAATGATGCCTTCCCTAAAGTCCCCTAAAATCTTATATCATTCCAGCATTTATACAAATGTCCAAAGCCTAAAGTCTCATCTGACACAAGGCTACAGTCCCTTAGGCCCATTAGCCTCTGAAATATAAAGCAAGTTAACTACTTCCAAGGTACAATGCTTGTACAGGCATTGGGTAAGCATTCCCAGCCAAAAGGAAGAATTTTGCCAGAAAAAAACAAAACACAGATAGGACTTACTGGCCACATGAAACTCCAAACCCAGAAGGCCAGTCATTCAATCCTACAGCTCCAAAATCACCCTTTTTGAAACCCTGTCCCACATTCAGGACACAGGGGTGTGAGGGCTGGGCTCCCAAGGCCTTGGGCAGCTTGGCACCTGTGGCTTTGCAGGGTATATGCCCCAAGGGTGCCCTCATGGGCTGGGCTGGTGATGAGTGCCTGTGACTTTTCCACACTGAGGAAACAAGTTGTTGCGGGCGGGGGTCTATGAATCTGGGGTCTGCATGATGGTGGTCTCCAGTGTGGGAGTTCCAACCCCATATTTTCCTTCTGCACTGCCCTAGTAGAAGTTTCATATAAGGCTCTGCCTTTTTGGGATGCTTTTGCCTGGACACCCAGGAATTTCCATACATCTTCCAAAATCTATAGAGAGGCTCCCAAGCCTCTAGTCTCACACTCCGTCCACCAGTGGCTTAACACTATGAGGATGTTACCAAGGCTTCTAGCCTGCATCCTCTGAAGCAGTGACCCGAGCTGTACCTGTGCATCTTTCAGTCATGGCTGGAGCTTGAGCTGCAGGGATGCAGGCAGCAGTGTTCTGAGGCTGCACATAAAGGAGGCTCATGGAACTGGCCCAGGAAACCATGCTTCTCTCCTAGGCCCCAGGGCCCACAATAGCAAGGGCTGCTGCAAAGGTCTCTGAAATGCCTTCAAGGCCTTTTCCCTATTATCTTGTCTATTAGCACCGGGCTCCTTTTCATGCAAGTTTCTGAAGCCTTCCTCAATTTTCCCCCTGAAAATCAGCTTTTCTTTTTGACCACTTGGCCAGGCTGCAAATTTTCCTAAATTTGAGTTCTGAGAGATGGGACTCATTTAATGTAAGTCCCATCCAGAGGTCATTTCCTCCATCACACATAAGAGCACAGGTTGTTCCATGGGGACAGGACGCCTCTTGAGATTTGCTGCCCAGTTCATTCCACCAGATACTCAGTAAGTCATCAACCTCAAGTTCAGTTTCACAGATCTCCAGGGCAGGGTCACCGTGCAGCCACATTATTTGTTAAGGCAAAACAAAAGTCACTTTGGCTTCTGTTCCCAGTAAGTTCCTCATTTTCATTTGAGACCTTCTAAGTCTGGCTTTCACTCACCATTTTCCTGTGAGCCTTCTGGTCACAAGTATGTAACAATTCTTCACAAAGATCCAAACTTTCCCTCAACTTCTTGTCTGCAAAGCCCTCCAAACTCTCTGAACTCTGTCTGCTACCCCCTTCTGAACCTGCTTCTACATTATCAGCTTTCTTTGCTGCAGCCTGGCAATGTAGTAAGGGAAGACAAGTCCATTTTCAGGGGGAAAATTCAAGAAGGGTTCAGAGACTTGAATGAAAAGAAGCTGAGTGCTGACTCCCAAGACAATAGGGAAAAGGCCTTGAAGACATTTAATAGATCCACTTTGCAGTACTAATTTTCTCTATGATCATAAAGAAGAGGTTTACTTGGCTCATGATTCTGCAGGCTATAAGGAAGTATAGTGGCTTCTGCATCTAAGAGGAATCAGGAAGCCTCCCAATCATACCAGAATGTCAAGGGGCAATGAGATGATTCATGTGGCAGGAGGAGGAGCAAGACAGGGAGAGGAGAGAGGTCCCACACCCTATTATACAACCAGATCTCATGAGAACTCACTATCACAAAGTCAGCATCACAAAGATGGTGCTTATCCACTGGTGAAGGATTCGCCCCCTACCCCCAACTCCCACTATTTCCAGGCCGAAGCCTGAGGCAGAGGCAGAGCCTCTTGGAAAACTCTACTAGGGAAGTACGGAAGGGAAATATGGGCTTGGAGCACCCACACAGATGGCCATCAACCTCCAGACCCCAGATTCATAGACCCACCAACAGCTCACACCTTGTGTGGAAAAGCTACAGGCACTCAACACCAGCCCAGCCCATGAGAGCTGTGGCAGGAGCTAAGCCCTGCAAAGCCACAGGTGCATTGCCCTAGTAGAGGGTTTCCCATGAGCCTCTGCCTCTGCAGCAGGCTGCTCCCCCTTCCTCCCACCCACCACCCTCACACCACCCTACTGCCAGCCTACTCCTCCCCACCCTAACCAACCCTTTTCCTTCCACCCCAACCGCTTCCAGTCCATGATTAAATCATCTCCTCCAGGCCCCAACTTCAACATTTGGAATTAAAATTCCACATGAATTTTTATAGGGACACACAGCCAAACCATATTATTCTGACCCTGCTATCCCAGAATCTCATGTTCTTATCACAGAGTAAAATACAATCATGCCTTTTCAAAAGTTCCAACAGCCTTAACTCATTCCAAATGTAAAAAGTTCAAAGTCTCACCTGAGACAAGGCTACTGTCCCTTCTGCATATGAGTCTCTGAATTTAAAAGGGATTTCGTTTCTTTCAAGGTACAATGATGGTACAGGCATTGTGTAAGCTTTCTCAATCCAAAGGGAAGAAATTTACCATAAAAATAGCACAAATGGGACCACAGGCCCAATGCAAGTCCAAAACCCAGCAGGACAGTATTCACTCAATCTTTAAGCTCCATAATCATCAAGAGAACTCACTATCATGTAGATAGCATTAAGGAGATAGTGATTAACCATTTGTGAAGAATCCACCCCCCTACCCTCATCTTTCACCCCCACCCACAAAATAATCTCCCCCATTCTCCCCAAACCCCTACCTCCAACCCCCACTCTTCTCCATGATTAAATCACCTTCCACCAGGCCCCAACTTTAACATTCCCCATTACGATTCCACATGAGTATTGGTAGGGACACAGAACCAAATCATATTATTCTGGCCTTTGGTCCCCAAATCTTGTATCCTTGTCACACTGCAAAATACAATGATGACTTCTCTACTGTCCCCCAATGACTTAACTCATTCCAGCATTTACTGAAAAGTCCAAGGACTTACAGACCCCATGAAGTCAAAAACCCAGCAGGCCAGTCATTGAATCCTGCAGCTCCAAATCATCTTTTCTGAATCTACATCTCACATCTAGAGCACAGGCGTGTGATGGCTGGGCTCCCAAGGCCTTGGGCAACTCTGCACCTGTGGATTTGCATGATATATCCCCCACAGCTGCCCTCATGGGCTGGGCTGTGTTGAGTGCCTGTGGCTTTTCCACACTAAGGGTGCCAGCTGTTGGTGCATCTATGAATCTGGGGTCTGGAGAATGGTGTCTCCATATTTAGGGACTCCAACCCCATATTCTCCTTCTGTACTGCCCTGGTAAAGGTGTGCCATGAGGCTCTGCCTCTTGGAAAAGCTTCTGCCTGAACACCCAGGTTTTTCCGTACATACTCTGGAGTCTAGACACAGGCCCCCAAGCCTCTAGTTTTGTGCTCTGTGCAGCTGCTGGCTTAACACTATGTGGAAGACACCAAGGCTTGGAACTTGCACCCCTGCAGCAGGGATGCAAACTCTACCTGTGCATCTTTCAGCCATGACTGGAGTTGGAAATGGAGCTGCAGGGATGCAGGCAGCAGTGTCCTGAGGCTGCACATAGAGGGGGCTCATGGAACTGGCCCAGGAAACCATGCTTCCCTCCTAGGCCCCAGGGCCTGTGACAGCAAGGGCTGCTGCAAAGGTCTCTGAAATGGCTTCAAGGTCTTTTCCTTATTGTCTTGCCTATTAGCACCGGGCTCCTTTTCGTGCAAATTCCTGAAGCCTTCTTGAATTTTCCCACTGAAAATCAGCTTTTCTTTCTGACCACTTGGCAAGGCCGCAAGTTTCCCAGACTTTTGAGTTCCGTTTCTCATTTAATATAAGAGTTGTGACTCATTTAATGTAAGACCCATCCAGAGGTCATTTCCTCAGTCACACATAAGGGCACAGGCTGTTTGATGCAGACAGGACACCTCTTGAGCTTTGCTGCCCAGAAGTTCATTCCACCAGATACTCACTAAGTCATCACCCTCAAGTTCAAAGTTTCACATATCTCCAGGGCAGGGTCAATGTTCAGCCACATTCTTTGCTACAGCAAAACAAAACTAACCTTGGCTCCTATTCCCAGTAAGTTCCTCATCTTCATCTGAGACCTTCTAAGTCTGATCTTTACTGTCTATTTTCCTGTGAGCCTTCTGATCACAAGTATTTAACCATTCTTTACAAAGATCCAAATTTCCCCTCAATTTCTTGTCTTGGAAGCCCTCCAAACTCTCCTGAACTCAGTCTGCTACCCTCTTCTGAACCTGCTCCTGCATTATCAGCTATCTTTGTCAGAGCCGGGCAATGTGGTATGGAAGACAAGTCCATTTTCAGGGGGAAAATTCAAGGAGGATTCAGAGACTTGAATGAAAAGAAGCTGAGTGCTGATCGCCAAGACATTGGGGAAAAGGCCTTGAAGACACTTAACAGATCTTCTTTGCATTAAAAATTCTCTCAATGATCAAAAAGAAAAGACGTTTAATTGTTAATGATTCTGCAGGCTGTAAGGAGGCATACTAGTTTCTGCATCTCAGAGGGCTCAGGAAGCCTCCCAATCACACCAGAATGTCAAGGGGCAATGAGATGTCTCATATGCCAGGAGAAGGAGCAAGCATGAGAGAGGGAAAAGGTGTCATGTCCTATTATACAACCAGATCTCATGAAAACTCACTATCACCAGGTCACCATCATGAAGATGGTTCCTAACCATTGGTGAAGGGTCTGCCTCCCACACCCACCTCCCACTGTTTCCAGGCAGCAGCCTGCTGCAGATGCAGAGTTCTTGGGAAACCTCTACTAGGGCAGTGCAGAAGGAAAATATGGACTTGGAGCCCCCACACAGGGGGCTACTACCCTCCAGACCCCAGATTCACAGACCCACCAACAGCTGGCACCCTCAGTGAGGAAAAGCTACAGGCCCTCAATACCAGTCCCGCGCATGAGAACAGCTGAGCTAAACCCTGCAAACCACAGGTGCACTGCCCTAGTAGAGGGTTTTCCATGAGTCCCTCACTCTGCAGCAGGCTGCTACTCCTTCCTACTACCACCCACCCTCCCACCACCCTACTACCGACCCACTCCTCCCAATCCTACCCATCCCTTTTACCTTCCACCACCACCAACCTCCTGTCCATAATTGAGTCACCCGCTTCAACATTAGGGATTACAATTCTGCATGAGATTCATAGGGACACACAGCCAAACCATATTATTCTGACCCTGATATCCCAGAATCTCATGTCCTTATCACAGAGCAAAATGCAATCATGACTTTTCAAAAATCTCCAAAAGTCTTAACTCATTCCAAATGTAAAAAAATTCAAAGTCTCTCCTGAGACGAGGCTACAGTCTCTTCTGCCTATGAGTCCCTGAATTTAAAATGGAGTTCTTTTCTTTCCAGGTACAATGATGGTACGGGCATTGGGTAAGCTTTCTCAGTCCAAAGGGAAGAAATTTCCCATAAAAGTAACACAAACGGGCCCACAGGCCCAACACAAGTCCAAAACTCAGCGGGACAGGATTCACTCAATCTCACAGCTGCAAATATCATCAAGAGAACTCACTATCACGCAGGCGGCATTAAGGAGATAGGGTTTAAACATTTGTGAAGGATCTGCCCCCCTACCCTTACCTTTTACCCCCACCACAAAATAATCTCCCCCATTCTCCCCACACCCCTACCTCCAACCCCCACTCTTCTCCATGAATAAATCACCTCCCACCAGGCCCCACGTTTAACATTCACCATTACAATTCCAAATGAGTTTGGTAGGGATGCAGAGCCAAATCGTATTATTCTGACCCTGACCCCCCGTATCTCATGTTGTTCTCACACTGCAAAATACAATGATGCCTACTCTACAGTTTCCCAATGTCTTAGCTCATTCCAGCATTTACTGAAATGTCCAAAGTCCAAAGTCTCTTCTGAGACAAGACTGCCATCCCTTCTGCCCCTGAGCCTCTGAAATACAAAGCAAGTTAATTACCTCCAAGGTACGATTGTCCAGGCATTGAGTAAGAACCTCCACCCGAAAGGAAGATTTTTTGCCAGAGGGAAGAACAAAACACAAACGGGACTTACAGGTTCCCATGACATTCCAAAACCCAGCAGGCCAGTTATTCAAACCTACAGCTCCAAAATCATCCTTTTTAAATCCTTGTCCCACATCCAGGGCACAAGGGCATGAGGGCTGGGCTCCCAAGGCCTTGGGCAGCTCTGCACCTGTGGCTTTGCAGTGTTCAGCCCCCGCAGCTGCCCTCATGGGCTGGGCTAGTTTTGAGCACCTGTAGCTTTTCCACAATGAGGATGCAAGATGTTAGTGAGTCTATGAATCTGACATTTCAGAATGGTGCTCCCTGTGTGGTGGTTCCAACCCTATATGTTCCTTCCATACTGCCCTAGTAAAGGATTCCCATGAGGCTCTGCCTCTTTGAATAGCTTCAACCTGGACACCCAGGTTTTTCTGTAAATCCTCTGTAGTCTACATGAAGGATTCTGAGCCTCTAGTCTTGGCCTTTGTGCACCTGCTGGCTCAACAGTATGTGGAAGCCACCAAGGCTTGCAGCTTGCACCCTCTGAAGCAGTGACCCATGATGTACCTTTGTATCTGTCAGCCATGGTTGGAGCTCGAGCTTCAGGTATGCAGCCAGCAGTGTCCCGAGGATGGACACAGCAGCAGGGCCATGGGACTGGATAAGGAAACCATTCTCTTCTCCCAGGCCTGGGGGCCTGTGACAGCAAGGGTTGCTGCAAAAGTCTCTGAAGTGCCTTCAAGGCCTTTTTATCATTGTCTTGGCTATTAGCACTCAATTCCATTTTATGCACATTTCTGAAATCTTCTTGAACTTTCTCACCAAAAATCAGCTTTTCTTTTTGACCACTTGGCCAGCCTGCAAGTTTTCCAAACTTTTAAGCTCTCCGTCTCATTTAAATATAAGTTTCACCTTGAGTTCATTTCTTTGGTCACATATAAGACCTCAGGGTGTTTGGCACAGACCAGACATCTCTTGAGCTTTGCTGCCTAAAAGTTCATTCCACCAGATACATTCTAAATCATCACTCTCAAGTTCAAAGTTTCACAGATCTCCAGGTTAAGGGCATCGTGCAGTAATGTTCTTTGCTAAGGCAAAACAAAAATGACCTTGGCTCCTCGTCCCAGCAAGCTCCTCATTTTCATGTGAGACCTTCTAAGCCTGGCCATCACTGTCCATCATTCTGTCATCTTTTTAATTATAACTATTTAACAAGTCTCTACACTGGTCCAAACTTTTCCACATCTTCCTGTCTTCTTCCAACACCTCCAAACTCTCCAACCTCTGGCCGTTACACACTTCTCAACCTGCTTCTACATTTTCAGCTATGTTTGTTGCAGCCTGGCAATGTGGTAAAAGAAGCAAAGTCTGTTTCAGGAGAAAAATTCAGGCAGGCTTCAGATATTTGCCTGAA
Organism: Homo sapiens; assembly: GCF_000001405.40. Lineage (NCBI taxonomy): Eukaryota > Metazoa > Chordata > Mammalia > Primates > Hominidae > Homo > Homo sapiens. The sequence goes on along the minus strand of NC_000009.12, from coordinate 42,934,612 downwards.
AAGAAGCTGAGTGCTCATTGCCAAGAAAATAAGGAAAAGGCCGTGAAGGCATTTCATAGCTCCATTTCACAGCACTAATTTTCTGTATAATCAGAAAGAAAAGAGGTTGAACTGGCTCATGGTTCTGCGTGCTTTAAATAAATCATAGAGGCTTCTGCATCTGGGAGGACTCAGGAAGTCTCCCAATCATACCAGAAGACCAAGCACCAATGGTATGTTTTATATGGCAGAAGTAGAAACAAGACAGAGAGAGGAAAAAGGTGCCACACCCTGTTATACAACCAGATTTCCTGAGAACTCTCTAACACAAGGTCAGCATCAAGAATGCTTAACCATTGGTGGAGCCATTGGTGAAAGATCTGCCCCCTACCACCCACAACCCCCACTGTTTCCAAGCAGAAGCCTGAGGCAGAGGCAGAGCCACTAGGAAAACCTCTACTAGGACAGAGCAGGAAAAAAACAAAACACACAAAAAAAGGCTTGGTGGCCCCACACAAGAGGTTACCATCCTCCAGACTCTCTAACCTCTGGCCATTACCCAATTCAGAACTGGCTTCTACATTGTCAGCTATCTGTGTCACAGCCTGGCCATGTGGTAAAAGAAGAAGGGTCCATTATCAAGGGAAAAATCAAGAAGGCCTCCAATATTTGCATTAAAAAAACCAGTGCTAACAGCCAAGAGATTGCGGGAAAGGCCTAGAAGGCATTTCATATCTTCACTTTGCAGCATTAATTTTCTGTATATACATAAAGAAAAGAGGTTTAATTGACTCACAGTTCTTCGGGCTGTAAAGAAAGCATAGTTGTTTCTGCTTCTAGGAGGACTCAGGAAGACTCACAACCATACCAGAAGGCCAAGCGGCAATGAAATGTTTCATATAGCAGGAGCAGAAGCACAACAGCGAGAGGAAAGAGGTGCCATATCCTTTTTTTTTTATGTAATTACATATATTTGTAATTTCTACATTGGTTAAACATGAATATTATTTATATTTGAATAAAGAATTGAATGATTATTTACTGTGTTTACTGTCTTAGTAAGACACTTCATATGTTGTGATTTTCAATGTATTAAATGTCAAGATGCCAACTGTGATGCAGTTTGAGGTTTTTATTATTTTGGAATACCTTGAATATGTTTCTTCTGGATGGATGAGTCTGAAGTTAGCTAAAAAATGAAGTGAAATTCTGTTTTTTCTCTAACACCACGATTTGCTTTTCACCAAAGAACTCTTATGAAATTATATTGCTGTAAACAGAATACAAAAATTGCCTCAAGTTATACATTGATACTGGACTATCCTGATATTTTGAAGTGATATGAAAACTTATTGGAATGAATTGTATTGTGCTGCCCTGCCTTTCAATTGTTACCAAATGGGAGAGTTTGCTCTTTGCTGTAGTTGACTTTCCTGTAGTTTAGCAATCATGATTTAAAGTTGGGGAAACTTGACATGCTAATAACAGATGACTGAATAAGTTAGAGCTTTTCTGAATCCAGTAATATGAGAAAATGGTTAACTAATTTAAATTGGTTTCATAAACTTAATTGTGTGTACAATTCAACAGAATTATTAATTCTGTTTACATTGTGATTCAAAGTAGAAGTAGCCAAATATTCATGTTATCTAAAGCTATATCCTGTTATGCAACTTGATCTCATGAGAGCTCACTATGAGGAGATCAGCATCACAAAGATGGTGCTTAACTATTGGTGAAGGATCTGCCCCCCACCCCGTATCCACCCCTCACTGTCTCCATGCAGAAGCCTGAGACAGAGGCAGAGCCTCTTGGAAAACCTCTACTAGGGCAGTGCAGAAGGAAAATATGGGTTTGGAGCCCCTATGCAGGAGGCCACCATCCTCCAGACCCCAGATTCATAGATGCACCAACAGCCTGCACCCTCAGTATGGAAAAGCTACAGGCACTAAACACCAGCCTAGCCCATGAGAGCAGCCATGGGGGCTAAAGCCACAGGTGCACTGCCCTAGTAGAGGTTTCCCATGAGCCTCTGCCTCTGCAGCAGGCTACTCCCCTCCCACAACATGCCACCTTCACACCACCCTACAGCCAACCTACTCCTCCCCACCTAACCCACCTCTTTGTACTTCCAACCCCACCCCTCTCCCATCCATGAATAAATCACCTCCCACCAGGCCCCACATGCAACATTCAGGATTACAATTCCACATGAGTTTAGGTAGGGATACACAGCTAAACCATATTATTCTGACCCTGATCCCCTGAATATCATATCCTTCTCACAGAGTAAAATACAATCATGCCTTTTCAAAAGTTGCTGAAAGTCTGAAGTCATTTCAACATTAACTCAAATGTAAAAAGTTCAACGTCTCACCTGAGAAAAGGCTACAGTCCCTTTTGCCTATGAGTCCCTGAATTTAAAAGGGAGTTCTTTTCTTTCAAGGTACGATGATGGTAGAGGCATGGGGCAAGTTTTCTCAATCCAAAGGGTAGAGGTTTGCCAGGAAAATAACACAAATGAGATGACAGGGCCAATGCAAGTCCAAAACCCAGAAGGCCAGTATCCATTCAATCTCACAGCTCCAAAACCATCACGAGAACTCACCATCGTGAGGAAAACATTAAGGAGATAGTGTTTAACCATTTGTGAGGGATCCTGCCTCCACCCCTACCTTTCACCCCTCACCTCCACCAAAATCCACCCATGCTCCCCAATCCCCACCTTCCAACCCCCACTGCCCTCCATGATTAAATCACCTTCAACTTGGCCCCACTTTTAAGATTTCCAATTAAAATTCCAGATAAGTTTCTGTAGGGACACACAGCCATATCTTATCATTCTGTCCCTGCCTACCCAGATTTCACGTCCTTCTCACTTTGCAAAATGAAATGATGCATTACCTGCCATTTCCCCAAGCCACTATGCTTTTTTTACAGCCTGCAGAACTATAAGCCAATTAAACCCCTTTTTGTTATGAACACACAAAAAATTAGTACTGTGAAGTTAAGCTATGAAATGCCTTCAGTGACTTTTCCCTGTCGTCTTGGATAAGACCCCCAAGGTCTTAACTCATTCCAGCATTTACTCAAATGTCTGAAGCCCAAAGTCTCAACTGAGACAAAGCTGCAGTCTCTTCTGCCCGAGCCTCTGAAATACAAAGCAGGTTAACCACTTCCAAGGTACGATTGTCCAGGCATTGAGTAAGAATCTCCACCCAAAAGGAAGATTTTTGCCAGAGAGAAGAACAAAACACAAACTGGACTTACAGGTCCCACGAAATTCTGAAACTCAGCAGGCCGCTTATTCAAACCTACAGCTCCAAAGTCATCCCTTTTAAATCCTTGTCCCACATCCAGGGCACAAGGGCGTGAGGGTGGGCTCCCAAGGCCTTGGGCAGCTCTGCACCTATGGCTTTGTAGTGTTCAGCCCCCACAGCTGCCCTCATGGGCTGTGCTGGTGTTGAGTGCCTGAAGTTTTTAACCCATGGAGGGTACGAAGCTTTTGATGGGTCTATGAATCTGGGGTCTGCACGATGGTGGCCTCCAGTGTGGGGGCTCCAACCTCATATTTTCCTTCTGCACTGCCCAAGTAGAGGTTTCCCATGAGACTCTGCTTTTTTGGCAGCCTTCTGTCTGGACACCAGGCATTTTCATACATCTTCTGAAATATATATGGAGGCTCCCAAGTCTCTAGACTAGTGCTGTGTGGACTCACTGGCTTAACACTATGTAGAAGCAACCAAGGCCTATAGCTTGCACCCTCTGAGGCAGTGACCCAAGCTGTACCTGTGCATCTTTCAGCCAAGGTCGGAGCAGGAGCTGGGGCTGCTGGGATGCAGGCAGCAGTGTCCTGAGGCTACACACAGCAGCAGGGCCATGGGGCTGGCCCAGGAAACCATTCTTCTCTCCTAGGTCCCAAGGCCTGTGACAGGAAGGGCTGCTGCAAACATCTCTGAAATGCCTCCAAGCCTTTTCCCCACAATTGTCTTGGCTATTAGCACTGGCCTCCACTTTATGCAAATTTCTGGAGACTTCATGAATTTTCCCCCTGAAAATCAGCTTTTCTCTTTGACCACCTGGCCAGGCTGCAAATGTTCCAAACTTTTGAGCTCTGCTTATCATTTAAATATGAGTTCCAACTTGAGGTCATTTCCTTGGTCACACATAACAGCACAGACTGTTTGATGCAGACAGGATCCCTCTTGTGCTATGGTGCCTAGAAGTTCATTTCACCAGATATGCACTAAATCATCACCCTCAAGTTCAAAGTTTCACAGATCTCAAGGGCAAGGTCGCCCTGCAGCCACATTCTTTGCTACAGCAAAACAAAAGTAACCATGGCTCCTGTTCCCAGTAAGTTCCTCATTTTCATCTGAGACCTTGTAAGCCTGGCCTTCCCTGGCCTTCCCTGGCCTTCCTTCTGTCAGCATTTTAATCACAATTATTTAACAAGTCTCTACAATGGTCCAAACTTTCCCTCATCTTCCTGTCTTTTTTCAAGCTCTCCAAACTCTCCAACCTCTGGTGTTACCCACCTCTGAACCGCTTTACATTTTCAGCTATCTTTGTTGCAGCCTGGCACTCCTGTCTCTCACCTGTAACCCCAAACACAATCCCCCCCAACTCTCCCCACCCTCCCAATACCCTCCAACCCTCCCCTTCCCACACATCCAACCTCCACTCTCCACCAGGGGAAACTTCAAGAAGGCTTCAGATATTTGCATTAAAAAGAAGCCCAGTGCTAACAGCCAAGACAATGAGGAAAAGTCCTTGAAGATATTTCATAGCTCCACTTTGCAGTACTTATTTTCTGTGTGGTCATAATGAAAAGGGGATTCATTGGCTCATGGGTCTTCAGGCTATAAAGAAAGCATGGTGGCCTCTGCTTCTGGGAAGACTCAGGAAGCCTCCCAATCATACCAGAAGGAAAGCAGCAATGAAATGTTTCATACGGCAGGAGTAGGAGCAAGACTCACAGAGGAAAGAGGTGCCACCGCCTGTTATACAACCAGATCTCATGATAACTCACTATCACTAAGTCAGCATCAAGAAGATGGTGCTTAACCACTGGTGAAGGATCCACCCCACCAAAACACCTCCACCCCCTACTGTTTCCAGACAGAAGCCTGCTGCAGAGGCAGAGCCTCTTGGAAATCCTGTTCTGTGGCAGTGCAGAAGGAAAACAAGGGCTTTGAGTCACTCTGCAGGAGGCCACCATCCTCTAGACCCCAGATTCGTAGACCTACCAACAGTTCACACTCTCAGTTTGGAAAAGCGATAGACACTCAATACCAGCCCAGCCCATAAGGGCAGCCATGGAGGCTAAAGCCTGCAAAGCCACAGGTGCACTGCCCTGGTAGAGGTTTTCCATGAGCCTCTACCTCTGCAGCAGGCTACTCCCCCTTCCTACTACCCACCACCCTCCGACCACCCTACAGCCAGCATACTGTTCCCCACCCTACCCACCCCTTTTTTCTTCCACCCCCACACCTCCCATCCATGATTAAATAATCTCCCACCAGGCCCCACCTCCAACATTTGGGATTAAAATTCCATGTGAGTTTTTCTAGAGGCACACAGCCAAATCATATTATGCTGACCTTGACCCCCCCAAATCCCATGTCCTTCTCACACAGTAAAATACAATCACATCTTTTCAAAAGTTTCCAAAAGCCTTAACTCATTCCCACACTAACTCAAATGTGAAAAGTTAAAAGTCTCATCTGAGACCAGGCTACAGTCTCTTCTGCCTATGAGGCCCTGAAGTTAAAAGGGCATTCATTTCTTTCAAGGTACAATGATGGTACAGGTATTGGGTAAGTTTTCTCAATCCAAAGGGAAGAAATTTCCAAGAAAAATAACACAAGTGGGACCGCAGGCCCAATGCACATCCAAAACCCAGCAGGACACTGTTCATTCAATCTCACAGCTCCAAAATCATGAATAGAACTCACTCTCAGAAGGGCAGCATTAAGGAAATGGTGTTTACCCATTTGTGAAGGATCCACCCCCACACCTGCCTTTTACCCATAAACCCAAACACAATCCCCCCCAACTCTCCCCACCTCCACAATACCCTCCAACTCTCCCCATCCCTCCCATCCAACCTCCACTCTCCACCATGATTAAATCACCTTCCACCAGCCCCCACCTCTAACTTTCCCCATTAAAATTCCACATGAGTTTTGGGAGAGGTACAGAGCCAAATCATATTACTCTGTCCCGGGTCCCCCAAATCTCATGTCTTTCTCACATTGCAAAATACAATGATGCCTTCCCTGCAGTCCCCCAAATCTTAACTCATTACAGCATTTACTCAAATATCCAAAGCCCAAAGTCTTATCTGAGATAAATCTACAGTCTCTTCTGCCATGAGTCTGTGAATTATAAAGCAACTTAACTACTTCCAAGCTACAATGATTGTACAGGCAATGGGTAAGCATTCTCAACCAATAGAAAAAAAAATTGCTGGAAAGAAGCACAAAACACAGATGGGATTCATAGGATACATAAATGTCCAAAACCCAGCAGGCCAATCACTCAATCCTACAGCTCCAGAATCATCCTTTTTGAATCCCTGTCCCACATCCATGGCACAGGGGTGTGAGGGCTGGGCTTCCTAGGACTTGGGCAGATCTGCAGTGGCTTTGCAGTGTTCAGCCCCTGTAGCTGCCATCATGGACAGGGCTGGTGTTGAGTGCCTGTAGCTTTTCCATACTGAGGGTGCAAGCTGTTTGTGGGTCTATGAATCTGGGGTTTGGAGAATGATGCCTCCCTGTATGGGGGCTTCAACCCTATATGTCCCTTCTTTGCTCCCCTTGTAGAGGTTTCCCAGGAGGCCCTGCCTCTTGGAAAAGCTGCTTTCCTGGACATCCAGGCATTTCTGTGCATCTTCTGGAGTCTAGACAGAGGCTCCCAAGCCTCTAGTCTCTTACTCTGTATATCTGCTGGCTTAACACTATATGGAAACAATCAAGGCTTGGAGCCACCTCTGAAGCAGTAACCCAAGCTGTACCTGTGCATCTTTGAGCCATGGCTGGAGCTGGAACCGCAGGGATGCAGCCAGCAGTGTCCTGAGGATGCACACAGCAATGGGGCCATGGAGCTTCCCCAGGAAACCATTCTTCTCTGCCAGGCCCTAGGGCCTGTGACAGCAAGGGCTGCTGCAGAGGACTGTGAAATGCCTTCGAGGCCTCTTTCCCATTGTCTTGGCTATTTGCACTGGGCTTCTTTTTATGCAGATACTCTAAGCCTTCTTCAATTTTCCCCCGGAGAATCAGCTTTTCTTTTTGACCACTGGGCCAGGCTGCAGATTTTCCAAACTTTAGGTCTCCACTTCTCATTTCAATAGAAGTTCCAACTTGAAGTCATTTCTTAGGTCACACATAAGAACACAGGCTATTCAATGCAGACAGGACACCTCGCTAGGCTGCCTAGATGTTCATTCCACCAGATACATCCTAAATCATCACCCCCAAATTCATAGTTTCATAGATGTCCAGGGCAGGGTCACCGTGCAGCCACGTTCTTTGCTAAGGCCAATCAAATGTAACCATGGCTCCTGTTCACAGGAAATTCCTAATTTTCATCTGAGACCTTTTAAGTCTGAACTTCAGTGTTTATCCTTCTGTCAGCCTTCTGATCGCAAGTATTTAACAATTCTCTACAATGGTCAAATTTTCCTCATCTTGCTGTCTTCCAAGCTTTCCCAACTCTCCTGACCTCTGTCTTTTACCCACTTCTGAACCTGGTTCTACATTGTCAGCTATCTTTATCACAACCTGGCAGTGTGGTAAAAGAAGAAAAGTCCACTTTCAGGGGGAAAATTCATGAAGGCTCCAGATATTTGCATGAAAAGAAGCTGAGTGCTGGTTTCCAAGAAAAGGGGAAAGGGCCTTGAAGGCACTTCATAGCTCCACTTCATAGCACTAATTTTCTGTATGATCATAAAGAAAAGAGGTTTAATTGGCTCATGGTTCAGCAGGATGTAAAGGAGGCAGAGCGGCTTCTGCTTCTGGGACATCTCAGGGAGCCTCACAACCATACCAGAAGGCCAAGGGGCAAGGAGATGTTTCACATGGCAGGAGCAGAAGCAAGACTGAGAGAGGAAAGAGGTGCCACACCTTGTTATATAACCAGATCTCATAAGAACTCACTGTTACTAGGTCAGCATCAAGAAGATGGTGCTTAACCATTGGTGAAGGATCTGCCTCCCACCCCCACCTCCCACTGTTTCCAGGCAGCAGCCTGCTGCAGACACAGAGTTCTTGGGAAACCTCTACTAGGGCAGTGCAGAAGGAAAATACGGACTTGGAGCCCCCACACAGGGCTACCACCCTCCAGACCCCAGATTCAGAGACCCACCAACAGCTTGCACCCTCAGTGTGGATGAGCTACAGGCACTGAACACTAGTCCAGTCCATGAGAGCAGCCATGGGGGCTCAAACCTGCAAAGCCACAGGTGCACTGCCCTAGTAATGGTTTTACATGAGGCTCTGCCTCTGCAGCATGCTACTCCCCCTTCCTACTACCCACGACCCTCCCACCACCCTACAGCCAGCCTACTCATTCCCACCCTACCCACCCCTTTTTCCATCCACACCCACCCCTGCTTATCCATGATTAAATCACTTCCTCCCTCTCCCTCATCTTTCTGTCATGCTCTAATCCCTCCAAACCCTCCCAATCTTTGTTTGCTACCCACTACTGAGCCTGCTTCTACTTTTTCAGGTATCTCTATAGCAGGTTGGCTATGTAGCAATAACACAAACCCCATTTAAGGGGAAAAATTCAAGAAGACTTCAGAAATTTGCATATAAAGAAGCCCTGTGCTAATAGCCAAGACAAAGGGAAAAAGGCCTTGAAGACATTTCACAGCTCTCTCTGCAGTTCTAATTTTCTCTATTATTGTAAATGAAAGAGGTTTAATTGAATCATGGTTTTGCAAGCTGTGAAGGAAGCATAGTGTCTTCCGTTTCTGGGAGGAATCAAGAAGCCTCCTAATTATACCAAAAGCCAAGACAATGAGATATCTCCTAAGGCAGGAGTAGGAGGAAGACAGAGTGAGGAAAGAGGTTCCACAGCCTTTTAAACAACCAGATCTCATGAGAACTCACTCGCTATCAGGAGGACAGCATCAAGGTGATGGTCCTTTATCATTCATGGAGAACCTACCCGCACCCTTTTATAACTAAATCTTTTTCCACCTAGGCCCCACCTCTAACATTAGGGAGTATAATTCCACATGGGTTTTGATACGGACACAGAGACAAACCATATTATTCTGTCCCTGATCCCATGAATATCATGTCCTTCTCACATTGCAAAATACAATCATGCCTTGCCAGAATGAGTCTTAACTCATTTCAGCATTAACTCAAACTTAGAAAGTCCAAAATCTCATCTGAGTCAAGGCTACAGTCTCTTTTTCCTATGAGCCTCTGAAATAAAAAGCAAGTTCACAGCTTCTAACGTATAACGATGGTACAGGCATTGTGTAAGCTTTCCATATTCAAAAGGAAGACCTTTTCCAGAAAGCTTCTTATTTCTATCTGAGACCTCCTCAGCCTGGCCTTCACTATCCATGTTTGTGCCAGGATTTTTATCACAACCATTTAACCAGTCTCTAAGATAGTCCAAAAATTTTCTCATTGTCTTCTTTTCAGCCCTCCAAACTCTTCCAACCTCTGCCCATTACCTAGTTCCAAAGCTGCCTCCACATTTTCAGGTATCTTTATAGCAATGCTGCAATCGTCATTTGCCATTTTCTGTTTGATTCATTTTGAAAAAGAGGTTTAATTGGCTCATGGTTCTGCAGGGTGGACAGGAAGCACAGGGCTTCTTATTCTGGGAGGCCTCAGAAATCTTTCAATCTTTGCACAAGGCAAAGAAAGAGTGAGTTGTCTCACATGGCAAGAGGAAAACACGCAGAGTAGGGAGGTGACATAGAGTTTTCAGTAGCCAGATCTCACGAGAAGTCACTCATGATTGTGAGGATGGTACAAGGGGATGGTGCTGAACCATTCATGAGAAATTTGCCTTCATAAATCAATTGCCTTATACCAGGATCCACCTTCCACATTAGGAAATATAATTAAATATGAGATTTGGTGGGGACACATATTCGAATTGCATCATCAGTCTTTGAGTATAAAGACATGCACAGCAGGCTTTATCCAGCCAACTTATTTGGGACTCTTTATAGGGTTTGTGGTCTACGGCATATACACTAAAATATTCATACTTCAAAAAGCAGTAAAGTGGTATTATCATTCTTCCAAAAGTTACATTGGTAGTTTAGGCATTCATGGCATGATTTAGTTTGTGTTTGCTACTGTTTCTATTCTGTCAACATATTAACTGTTTCCTACACAATTCTGTATTCAGCTGGATTTCAGTTGAGCACAAAACCATCCTTGTGCTACCACGGATAGCTGGCACTAGCTCCTTGCTAGTGTTATTATTCTGTGTAGAAAGTATCCTTGAACTGTAAACAGTCCACAATCAAATATCTAGTAATTCAACACTATCAATTCCTGGATGATTTTTGAAAAAATAGTATCTCTTTTTGCAAGAAATGCTGCATCTGTGATTTCATGTCTCTCATTCAAATTGGATGGAAGTGGTGAATTTCCACTGAAGTGGTGAAAGAATTCCTGTTCCTGTGATTCTGATGTCATCAGCCTCTGCATCTCTATCTTCCCTTCTGCCACATGTTGCCTGCCTTCTGCGACTTTGGTAAGAACTTGCTTGTGTATGTGGATGATGTTCAGGATGTTGGTCTGGTGTCCCTGAGACAGTACTAACAGGTCCATGACTGGGTCCAGGTTCTGCCTGGGATGATTGGCAAAGAGCTCACTGACAGTGTTGAAGGCATCTGTGGTGAAGTGGATGGGCTGGTCCAGCTCCAAGGCCTGGCTGAGGCTGAAGAACTGGCAGCCTTCTGATGCTCTTTCTTAAAGCCTGTCACCATCACCTGCTTGCATGTCAACTCATTGGCTGTGAAGTTAAGCTGAGTGCCCTGTTGTCCATCTTCTTGGTGAAGCATTTGAAGCTGTCAATCTTGCTCTCCCACTCCTAAAGTTTGAGTGTCACCCTGGAGGTGGGCTCAGAGCCAGGGAGAATCTGGCACTCACCATCTCATCCTTCTCAGCCTTCCTCTTGCCCTGTCTCCAGGCTGTCTCTTCAGTGCTGGTGTGGCACATCAGGAAGTGATGGAAGATGTGGCACTGTGCCTGCACCCAGAAGCTGGCCGTGTGGTTCATCTACCAGACTGGGCCCTTTCTGCACTTGAACATAGAATCCTCCTCAAGAGGGCCTGTGGTCTGCCTCTTGGCACCCAAGAAGCCCACAGTGCTGTAGGAGCCCTGATGCATGGATTGGAGCCCCGATGCATGGATTGGAGCCCCAAAGGCAGCGCAAACCCTGCTCCTGAGCCTGCTGCTCATTTCCTCTATGTGGCTCCATTTGCAGCACAGTTGTTGAACTGAGGCTTGTGCATGCCAGGCAAGGCCAAGTTGGCTCAAAGAGCAACCAGCCACCTCTGCAAGGGTGTGCCAGGAGCAGGTGGACCAGCCACCAACCTCACTTGCAGTAAATCAGTTACTCTGCCCTGGAGGTAGGGCCCCAGTGCCATCTGCTTTTCCTCAGGCCTCCACTCCATCAGCTGTCAGGTGGTGGTCACTCGGGGTGTGGGAACCTGGCCATCCCTGTTTCCTTGAGTCGGTGAGGTTGGTGGCTGGTCCACCTGCTCCTGGCAAACCCTTGCAGAGGTGGCTGGTTGCTCTGAGCCAGCTTGGACTTACTTGGCATGCACAGGCCCCGGGTACTGACAAGCTGCTCCGAGTGAGCTTGTCTTGTCTTGGGCCAAATTCTAAGTCTGGCCAGGGCCACAGAAGGCTGAGTCCCCTGGGTGGTAACCCTGGCTGCTGCAGGGAGGCCCATGGTGCTCCTCCCCTCCCAGGGCTCAGGATGAGGTTCAACTGGGACAGGACCCTTTAGGTATGGGACTTGTGCCCCAGGAGGGGGCCTCTGTCACACAGGTTGGGTAAGATGTATGGCATGCTGCTGGCTTCCAGGGCTGTTGGGATGACACATTCACCCTTCCCTCCAGGGACCTCAAAATGACCAGCTTCCCCTTTGAGAATGACTTCCCAAGGCCTAGGAGCCATCTGGGGCTGCAGGGCAGCTGGCTGCATGCTGCCCTGACTTCTTCCATGTTGTGCTGGTCACTACCCACCAAGGGGGTCAGATGCAGGCACCATGCAGGGCGGTTGTCTCTGGACCTGCGTCTTGGTTATCATGGAGCTGGACTGGGCCTGGGTGAGAGGGCCTGATGGGGTTGTCCTGGGTAATCACGGGGGTGACTAGAAAAGATGCAGAATGGAATTGCTGCGAGGATGAACGAGATGACTGTCAGCACAGAATAGGCATCCGGTGAGTGTTCAGGGATTACCCTCAGTAGCTGCCCAGAGGCCAAAACCACCCACCTGATAGCGACTGTCCCCAAGCTAGGAGGAAGAGAAGAGAGCAGGTCCCACTCACCTGAGTCTGATCAGTCAGCTGTGTTGAGATGTGCCTCTCACCTAGAAAACGGTCCTTCATGCAGAGCCACTCAGACACCACAGTGTGTCTCTAACTGCTCCACAACACAGAGGCGATGGGGGCTCAGCAACAGTAACATTGTGGGGTGACACAACCCACCACAATGGGAGCCTGCATGGGTCAGCAGGGCCCAGAGTCAGTGTCCTCTATCCCCTGAACTGACATGTGTGGATGCAGTGTGTTTGTGCATGTGTGTGTGCCTGTGTGTGTGTGTGCACATATGTGTGTGTGTGTTTCTCTTGCTTCTCTGGCCAGGCCTAGCTTCTCCACTCACAGGTGCACCCAGGTCATCACTGAGGGCTCATGGCCAGCATTAGAGCTTCTACAGGTGCTCCCCAATCTCTGCCTTCCCCACCCATGGTGGTCCTGGGGATGCAGAGAGAGGAGGGGCACCAGGCACAGCAGAGAGGGCTGGCACCCCCTCTAGGTAGAACACAAGTCATGTGTAAAGTTGTAGGTCTGCCAAGTGGTGCTGGATTCAACACATCTTCTCACCTTCTCTTTCCAGCCACCCTCCAAGGTGCCCTGACTCACCTTCCCTGCAGATGGAGGCAAGGAGACTCCACAGACAAACCCCCTGCCTGAGGTCACACAGTGGCCAGCTGGCCAGGTTCCTACTGACCAGCCGCCCAGGACCAGTTTCCCACTGATGAGGCCTCTAATGACCACTCCTCCATTTACCAATTCCCACTGACCAAGTCCCCACTGACCATGTCTTCCTAACCAGGCTCACACTTAATAGGCCTCATAGGCCAGACCTCACTGACCAATTTCCCACTGACCTGGTCCCCACTGACCAGGTTCCCACTGACAAGACCACAATTGACCAGGTCGCTGCTCACCTGACCCCCACTGAACAATTTTCCATGGATCAGTCCCCAGCTGACTGAGCCCCCTCTGACCAGGCCCTCACTAACGAGGCTCCAAGCCACTAAGGCCCCACACTGACCAGGCCCCTAGTATACTGTATAGGCCCCACCAACCAGTTTTTCATTGTTTATGTTCCAACCCATCAGGCCTCACTAAGAAGACCATCACTGACCAGGTCCCCATGAACTGGGCTTCCAATGACTAGGTCACCAGGTCCCCACTGATGAGGCCTTTACTGAGGAGGCCACCACTAACCAGGTCCCAACTGACTAGGTCCTGATGACCAGGTCATCTCTGAGCATGGTCCACTGACCAGGCCCCTGAGCAGCATGCTCAAAGTCTCATTACAATGCCCCCCTCAGCCCACAGACCCTCCCTCCCTGTATGTGTGCCCAGAGGTCAGGCCCTGGGTTTTTTTTTTGGGACATGGCTTTTCCTCCAAGACAGAGGGAGAGACAGCTGGCCTCAGGCTCCAGGTGCCCAGCTCCACACTCACCCCAAAAGCCCTCTGGGCCAATCTCAAAGGAGATAGTGAGGTGGCCTGGCACTGCCTGGACATGCCATGTAGCCTATTCCTGAGTGTCAGAGTGGGAGGAAGGCAGGGACATTTGGCAGATGAGACATCTTGTGCTGTTGGGCATCCCAGGGCCCTACCCACAGAGTCCCGATCTACAGACACAGCACAGAGACTAATGCAGAACCCTTGAGGCTGAGCCAGGGACCACATGAGGATTGTGCCCAGACAGCCAGAAGGCCCTTTGCTAATTTCTTGGTACCTCATGGATGCGGCAGCGGTTGTTCTGTTGGGGACCAGTGATCACGTGCTGGGGAGGGCTCGCCTGTGCTTCCTCAGTGGCTCCACCTCTGCTTCTAAGAAAAATCACTCATTCCATGGCTGGAGCAGAGAAAATACAACATTAGCTTAGAACATCTTGTTCCAGAAACTAAAAAAGTGCTGACAGAGTAACGAAGACAAATAAAAAAGACAAGAAGTCAGCTTGAAATGTCTACCACTGGCCTAATCTTGGGGAATTGGAGCACGAGAATCATGAGCTTTCTCTTCTCAGTTATTTATTGGTTTTACTTCTCCATGTACAGCAAAGAAGAGAAGAAAATAATCATCTGGCAACCATCATAGTAATAATTGTTCAAACACAAGTCATCCATGAAATGCTAAATCTAGTGGGTTCTGAGGAGTAACTGGATATTTACAGAGCCTCAAAGTATCTCCCCACAAAACACGGTTCAACTACAAAAAGAAAATTGTCACATTAGCATAGACAAGCCTGGCAGGTACTCCTTAACTCCCCTAAGTAGTAAAAGCTGTAAAATGCAAAGAAGCCTTCGATGACATTTACTAAAGTATCAATGATGACTTGGTTGTTTGGCTGTTTAAACAGCTGACTTTTGGGCAATTTGAGTACATCAAACTCAATAATACTAGTGTTCATTTGCAAGATCCACTTAAAACTTAAGGAGGCTAATTTCATCCATGTCCCTACAAAGGACATGAACTCATCATTTTTTATGGCTGCATAGTATTCCATGGTATATATGTGCCACATTTTCTTAAACCAGTCTATCATTGTTGGACATTTGGGTTGGTTCCAAGTCTTTGCTATTGTGAATAATGTCGCAATAAACATACGTGTGCATGTGTCTTTATAGCAGCATGATTTATAGTCATTTGGGTATATACCCAGTAATGGGATGGCTGGGTCAAATGGTATTTCTAGTTCTAGATCCCTGAGGAATCGCCACACTGACTTCCACAATGGTTGAACTAGTTTACAGTCCCACCAACAGTGTAAAAGTGTTCCTATTTCTCCACATCCTCTCCAGCACCTGTTGTTTCCTGACTTTTTAATGATCGCCATTCTAACTGGTGTGAGATGGTATCTCATTGTGGTTTTGATTTGCATTTCTCTGATGGCCAGTGATGATGAGCATTTTTTCATGTGTTTTTTGGCTGCATAAATGTCTTCTTTTGAGAAGTGTCTTCATTCTCAGTAAACTATCGCAAGAACAAAAAACCAAACACCACATATTCTCACTCATAGGTGGGAATTGAACAATGAGATCACATGGACACAGGAAGGGGAATATCACACTCTGGGGACTGTTGTGGGGTGGGGGGAGGGGGGAGGGATAGCATTGGGAGATATACCTAATGCTAGATGACGAGTTAGTGGGTGCAGCGCACCAGCACGGCACATGTATACATATGTAACTAACCTGCACAATGTGCACATGTACCCTAAAACTTAAAGTATAATAAAAAAAAAAGAAAAGAAAAAACTTGAGGCTAAAAAACATCATTTAAATTACCCTATAAATTATCATCACACATGTGATACAAAAACATCCTACTTCAGTAAAGATTGTAATGTTATATATTTTATGAAAAACAATTAAAATGTTCTGTAAACAGCCCAGTAATAAAGTTTTATAATCTTTTAAATAATAAAATTTTTCCTTAAGACTTTATGGTTAAACATTCTCTTCATTAGATGTGGCTTACCAGTGGATTATAGAGAAGTAAGTAGACGGGAGCAAGTGTTCAACACAGCAACAACTGGAAAGAAAAAGAAAGAATTATGTTCTTTACCTAATACACTTCAGTTAACTAAATGTGAGTTTAAATACTAAAGAGTTGAGAACTTTATCAGAGTTAGTAAGAATGAGAAATATCTATGTACATTTACAACACAAAATTACTATTAAATAATTTACACATGGCATTAATTCTATTGTGTTTAAATATCAGAGGTTTTTCATTCTTCATTCATGTAATCAACAGCCACGTGCTAAGGTACTAGAACCAGCACTGGAATTCCAAGATGAAGATGGCATGGTCCACCTCCCAATAGTCATATGCTATAACCTAAAAAAACAGACAGGTAGGCAAGGTCCACATAGTGTCATAGATACCATGACAGGTATACAGCAGGGCACTACTGGAACACACAAAAGGGACATCTATCCCACTTTTATGTCAATGTCATGGGCTTTCTGGTGGAGGAGATAACATAGGTTGATACCTGAAGGACAAGGAAAAGCTTGCCAGATAGAGGGAAGAGGCGAAGGCCAAGAGCCTGAGGTGAGGAAGAGCCCTGCGGAGTTCTACTCTCCTCCACTTTGGTGCTAGAGCAAAGGGTAGAGTGCGGTAAGTGGCAAAAAACAAGGCTGAGTAACTTGACAAGAATCACATTGATGTGGGTGTTTTTATTTCATGGTGAAAAATTTGGAACTTTTCCTGAGAACAGATGTAAGCCAATGACACAGTAAATGATAGGAGATTTAAAATGTCACCTGTCAAGTGACTGCTTATGAAGGGTTATTGCCCAGCTAAGGATTTCAAAATGAGTCTGAGGTCTGTTGGCCTTCAATCTGTACCAAAACCCTGAGAACTTGGTGATGCCTTTGTTTTCTGAGAATCGTTTCAGTGTGCTGGCTGACAGTTCCATGATGATGGCAAAACTTAAGAAAGTGTAGAGCCAGTAAAAAACAGATGCATAGACTTCTTGGGAATTTTTTAAGCTATGGAACATGATGAATTTATGGTGCATAAGTACAGTCTTCTCTGTGAAAGTTTTTGTTTTCACATCTTGCATTAGATGTGTGTAAGAAAAAAAATACTTGACATAGTATCTACTAACCAAACAATGAAAAGGAATGCCATTTGTTATTTACACTTAATTTCTAAAATAAACCTAAATGTAATTAATAAATTTTGGCAACATACTTCTCTTTGTTTCTCTAGTTATTTGTTCTACACAGTCCAGCTCCATCTAAAATAAGTAAAAATAATAATAATGTTTAAGTTAAACAAGAAACATTATCATGCAAATAATGTATCACTTACAAAATGTGGCCTTTAGTATTTTTAGTGACTAGACATAACTTGAAGTTTGCTTAAATAGAAAAATAATCACATAAATGAAGTAAAATTTCTACTTATTTTAAGTTTAGATAAGAGGATGCACCTGTGTAATGCTGTTTAATCAGACAAAAATACAGTTAATATTGGTCTACTGCATATACATGATTTTAGAAAGGTAGTGTTTTATTAGTACAAAGGTTAAACAATGGCCAGGTGTGGTGACTCATGCCTGTAATCCCAGCACTTGGGGAGGCCAAAGCAGGCAGATCATGAGGTCAGGAGATCGAGACCATCCTGGCCAACATGGGGAAACCCTGTCTCTATTAAAAATACAAAAATTAGCTGGGCATGGTGGTGCACTCTTGTAGTCCCAGCTACTCAGGAGGCTAAGACAGGAGAATTGCTTGAAGCCAGGAGGTGGAGGTTGCAGTGAGCCAAGATTGCACCACTGCACTCCAGCCTGGTGATACAGTGAGACCTTGTCTCAAAAAAAAAAAAAAAATTAAATAATTAAAGTCATCTTTTGCAATGAATGCATTGCTTTGAAATTCTTAGCAAAACTCTGCCCTATATACAAGTTTAATCCAATGTTTTTACATCAATAAATTTTATCTTAAAAAGAAATTTCTATTCTCTACTTATAGTAAACTTTTTTAATAGTAAATTTTTGTGTTTTTTTGTTTGTTTCTTTTTTTCTAGTTTGTATTCTAAATTAAGGTGGTACCTGTGTAGGCTTCTTCCAAGAGTATATTGAGGGATGCCGAGGTTTGGAGTACAGTGGAACCCATCACACAGGTAGTAAGCATAGGACCCAATAAGTAGTTTTCCAACCCTGGCCCACTCTGTCCCTCACTGTTCTTATTTCCCAGTGTCTACTGTTCCCAGGTTTATGACAATGTGCACCCAATGTGCAGCTCCCACATAAGTGAAAACATGAGATATTTGGTTTCTGTGTTAGTTTGCTTAGGATAGTGGATTCCAGCTGTATCCATGTTGCTGCAAAGGACATGATTTTGTTCTTTTCTTGGCTGCATAGTATTCCATGGTATGTATGGAACATTCCAATCTACCTTGGATTTTCAATCTGCCTTGGATGCACCTGGATTGACTCCATGTCTTTGCTGCTTTGAATAGTGCTGCAATGAACACACATGTGCAAGCATCTTTTTATTACAATGATTTATTGTCCTTTAGGTATACGCCTAGTATAGTAATGGGATTGCTGCATCCAACGGTCATCCTTAGTTCTTAATTTCCAAACTGCTCTCCATAGTAGCTGAACTAATTTACATTGCCACAAACGGTGTGTGTTCCCTTTTCTCCACTGCTTCCCCAACATCTTTTTTTTTTTCTTTTTACTTTTCAACAAGTTATTCTGACTGGTGTGAAATGGTATCTCACTGATGTTTTGTTTGGCACTTTTCTGATGATTAACAATGGTAAGCATTTGTTAATATGTTTGTTGGCCACTTACATGTGTTATTTTGAGAAGTGTCTGTTCACGTCCTTTGCCCATTTTTAATGGTGTTATTTATTTTTTGCTTGTTGATTTGTTTAGATCTCTTATGGATTCTGGATAATAGGCGTTTGCTGTATCCATAGTTTGTGAATGTTTTCTTCCATTCTCTACGCTGTCTGTTTAATCCTGTGATAGTTTCTCATGCTGTGCAGAAGCTCTTTAGCTTAATTAGATCATACTTATCAATTTTTGTTATTCTTGCAATTGCTTTTGAGGACTTAGCCATAAATTAATTGAGAAGTATGAAGTCCAGAAGAGTATTTCCTAGGTTTTCTTCCAGGATTTTTATAGTCAGAGAATGTACTCTTACGTAAGAAAAGCATAAACCTTTTTTTTTTTTTTTTTTTTTGAGACAGAGTCTCCATCACATAGGCTATAGTGCAGTGGTATGATCTTGGTTCACTGCAACCTCTGTCTCCCGGGTTCAGGTGACTCTCCCGCCTCAGCCTCCCGAGTATCTGAGATTACACATGCCTGCCAACATGCCTTGCTAATTTTTGTATTTTTAGTAGAGATGGGTTTCATCATGTTGGCCAGGCTGGTCTCAAACTCCTGACCTCAGGTGATCCACATGCCTTGGCTTCCCAAAATGTTGGGATTGTAAGTGTGAGCCACGGCACCTGGCCAAGCACAAAGCTTTGAACATAAAAATGGAAATGAACATTTTAGTGTTTTGTTTAATTCATAAAATGCAATTATTTTGGATTCTACTAAATAATAAACATCTATATGTGGTAAACTGTTTGGATGCCAATCATTCAGTTGTGATTATGGGTGGAAAGAGTTGAGATGGTGCAACTAAACTTTTTTTTAAATTTTTTATATTCAAGATGAAGTCTCACCCTGTCACTCAGGCTGGAGTTCAGTGGCACGATCTCGGCTCACTGCAACCTCCGCCTCCTGGGTTCAAGCAATTCTCTGCCTCAGCCTCCCTAGTAGCTGGGATTACAGGTGCTCTCCACCACACCTGGCTAATTTTTTTTTTCTACTTTTTGTACTTTCACCATCTTGGCCAGGCTGGTCTTGAACTCCTGACATTCTGACACACCTGCCTCAGCCTCCCAAAGTGCTGGGATTACAGACATGAGCCACCACACCTGGCTGGTGCAAAGAAACTTTAAAAGTGACATGGGCTGGACGTGGTAGCTCATGCCTGTTATCCCAGCGCTTTGGGAGGCTGAGGCAGGCAGATCACAAGGTCAGGAGTTTGAGAAGAGCCTGGCCAATATGGTGAAACCCTGTCTCTACTAAAAATACAAACATTAGCTGGGTGTAATGGCAGGTGCCTGTAGTCTCAGCTACTTGGGAGGCTGAGGCAGGAAAATCGCTTGAACCTGGGAGGTGGAGGTTGCAGTGAGCCAAGATGGTGCCACAACACTCCAGCCTGGGCAATAGAGTGAAACACTGTTTCAATGAAAAAAAAAGGGGGGGCTGTATGAACCACAGCTAAACTATAATCAATTAGAGAGTAAGCCAAAGCATCTCAAACTATATCATCAGTTATCAGGCAATAATATGCAATTTCTAAAACCTAACTTAAATGCAGCTTTTAAAGACATTTTAAATGTGTCAGTTTAGTCACATTTATTGAATAAAGTTAGTAAACGGGTATCTCTTGAAAATGAGAGCTCCAGGGAATTAAAAAATGTAAAGTTTCCATTTCCTTTCTGTGTTAACACAGTTAATTATGATCTTTACTAAACATGCATAAGTCAACAGAACTCAGTATTTCACCAAATTAAAAACAAGAATTATATTAGAGAAATGAAACCCAAAAGAGAAATGGTCATGTAACTGACCACAGTCAAGGAGTTCTTGCAGTTATTTGAAGTCTGTGGGCTTGAAATAGGAATTCTTATGGGTGTTTGGGGAATATATTTTCTGTTGAGTCCTATACTAGTAAGATTTTCAACACAAGGTGACTCTGGGTCTCGCCTTGTAGGAAGAGTGCTGAGAAAATATTTCATCTGCTCTTTCTCCATAAGGAGCTTCATGCTGATCACTGCTATTTTCTTATTTGATCTGTAAAGATAGCAAAGACACACGCTTAGTATTTCATTTTTCCTCTGATTCTTAATGACTTGCAGTTTTTAAAAACTTGCCCTGAGAGCAAACTAAATTATCCACTAAACAGTGTTTTCACACTGAAGATGTGTGAGAGCATACCTGTTGTAAGCAAGTATAATTTTAAAATCATTCTAAAGAAGCACCTGTGTTTCTAAGGTGATTTATACTGAACAAGCAGTACAAACAAAGTAGACAGGGAAGAGAAATGGCTATCAGTGATATATGGCTCAACAGGTAACACTTGCTGCCTTCTAAAAGGGCTCTACTTGTGAGATTCTGAAGATTCCATTAGAAATACTCATATTTAAAGGGTAACAATGTGAGAAAAGAATATGTTGATTTGCTTGATTATAAGAACCACTTCACTAGAAATAATTGTATCAAAACATCATGTTGTACTCCTTAATGTAGGTTAAGAAAACTAAAATGAACAACAACAACAAAATCTAGGAATACTTGTGTTTAGCAAACAAATTTTAGGTTTCGCCCTTGTGCATTTCACCCATTATCTAGGAACAATTAAGCATTTGGCACTGAGGAATAATTCAGAACAACAACTCCTGGGGGAGAACTAGATTGGCTGGTTGGTGATCAAAAAGAACTAAAGCATGTCTGAAGGCAATTAGCCCCCAGCACTGTGACCAAGGCACTGGAGGTGGGGCTTTTTCCTTCTGCCTTCCACACACCCCTTCAGGCTGAACAAGGTTTTGTTTTTTTTTTATACTTTAAGTTTTAGGGTACATGTGCACAACGTGCAGGTTAGTTACATATGTATACCTGTGCCATGTTGGTGTGCTGCACCCAGTAACTCATCATTTAACATTAGGTATATCTCCAAATGTTATCCCTCCCCCATCCCCCCACCCCACGACAGGCCCCGGTATGTGATGTTCCCCACTTCCTTTGTCCATGTGTTCTCATTGTTCAATTCCCACCTATGAGTCCTATGAGTGAGAACATACAGTGTTTGGTTTTTTGTCCTTGCGATAGTTTGCTGAGAATGATGGTTTCCAGCTCCATCCATGTCCCTACAAAGGACATGAACTCATTATTTGTTATGGCTGCACAGTATTCCATGGTGTATGTGTGCCACATTTCCTTAATCCAGTCTATCATTGTTGGATATTTGTGTTGGTTCCAAGTCTTTGCTATTGTGAATAGTGCTGCAATAAACATACGTGTGCATGTGTCTTTATAGCAGCATGGTTTATAATCCTTTGGGTATATACCCAGTAATGGGATTGCTGGGTCAAATGGTATTTCTAGTTATGTTTTAACCACTTTGTGAATTACACTTCTTTAAATTCCTTGATAAGTATTCCCTATTTCACAAGGATGCCTTTCTGTAACATCTTGAAAATGTTACACAAATAGTCTTTCTTGAGGCACCCTCTAGTGATAATACTAAAGATCACAATAAAAAATGATTGTGCCCAGAGTAGCAGTACCACTTGAAACTTTGGGTTTAGGTTGTGATCTACCAAAAAATAAATTAAACTCATTAATATTTCTATTTAGGAAAATTCTGACAAGCAATTTTATAACAAGATCACATTATTAATTATAATGCTTCGAAAATACTTAGTGACAAAAACTAACAGATCAGGTTAACTACATGAGACTTTTCAGGGGAAAAAAGCCATACAAAAGCAAAAAAAAAAAAAAAGAGAGAGAGAGAAAGAAATGGGACAGAAACTATCCTTGACTAACATTTTAAAGGTAAGATTATTTACTAACATTATTTTCTGAAATTACATTATTAGATTAGCATTCACTTCCTACTAATCTCCTGAAGCCATCTCACTAAAAATTATGCTTTCAAAACAAATTAATGAGCTTAATTCATTTTCTATGAGTGTATGTTTTGACTTACTTTGTTAATTTTTTTGACATGGAATTGTTAGCTTTCAATGCTGCTGCAAAGGCTTCCTTATATTCTTCTAATTCGGTTGTAATCTCTTCATAAGCAGTTTTCATTTCTGAGAATTTACATTCCACATCTTTAAGTGTGAGTTCTTTCTTATTTAGTGAAGCCATATTATCCTTGTTTAACTGCTCTAATTGTTTTTCATATTGTGCTTGTTCCTAAAACAAAGGAAAAGAATACACTTTTAAAACAATTATAACCTAATTATTATATGTTTGTTGCCTTTCATTTTGAGTCAGTGATTCAAAGAGCGATTGTGAATATGTTAGTAAAAGAGGCTGAAGCTTAAAATATTTATCAGCAAGATCAAAACTAATAACTGAATTCAGAATTGTCTGATTTATAAAAATTTGAAATCATAATTATGTATTAATGTAATCTGCTCATATAAAAAGTAATAGAATCCATTCATAATTTTAAAAAGTGATTAATGAACAATGTAGCTTAAGACCAATTCAAAAGTATCACATAATTTTGAAATCACAATTTTCTTATGCCAACTGATCTTAATCATCAAATGACTCCACAGTGAGAATCATTACTCTGAAAGATTGATTTTGTTATAATAATAATGGAAATGTAAATATTTAAAAGAAAAAACAGATGCCATTTTTCTTCTAGAACTCTACAAAGCAAATTGCTACAAGAGAGGCAGAGGAAACATAATATATTCATAACCAAAATATAATTTGCGGTGAAATAAATGAAAGCACATTACAGATAAACTTACCTGATTTAAAAAACTAACCTGTAAATGGATTTCTTCTATTTTTTCTACTGCCTGCATTGCCTTTTCATCTAGCTCCAATTTATATTCTTGTAGTTTACTAAGTTCTACCCTATTGTTTTCCATATGTGTCTTAAGATTTAATATTTCTTCTTTCAACATCTTTTTATCCTCCTCAAGTTTCTCACATTGCTGTTGTACTTTTTTCATAGATAAAAACTCCTGTTGAAGAACTTGATTGTCTTTAGCCAAATTGACACATTTTGAAGATAAAGCTTCCTTCTCTGCCGTAAGATCATCAAACTGCATGAATAAAATAATATAGCTTGATGATGAAATAGGCTGAGAATAATCTAATACAAAACCAATAGCAAATTTTGAAATGCATTTACTTGCAATAAAATGTGATCTGTAATGCAGTGGATTCTTCAAATGTGAACCCTTAAATTACTCAGAATTTTAAGAAAAAAGTTAAAGCTACCATGAGTCACAAAAATATATTATTTGCTATCATCATCTTTGCCACAGAACTTTTGCACTTCATCTTACTTTTATTTTTCTGATAATTCATTTTTGTTCCTCCTTAGATGGCACTAAGTTATCTCTTAGTAAAAAGTGTCTAACCACCTTCCCTCATTATCATTCCCCATAATATGTCAAAAAAAAGTTTCAGAGATATCATATTGAGTTATTTAGGCCAAAGTCAATAAATGGCTCTCAGAATAAGACTTTGAAAATAATATAACACTCTATACTAGGCATGGTGGCTCATTCCTGTAATTGTAGCAATTTAAAAGCCTGTGCCAGAATGATCACTTGAGGCCAGGAATTTGAGATCAGCCAGAGCAACATAGTGAGACCCCCATGTCTACAAAAAATTTTTTTTAAATTAGCTGGGCATGGTGGCTCATGCCTGGAGACCCAGCTAGTTGGGAGACTGAGGCAAAAAGATGGCTTGTACCCAGAGTTCAGGGCTGCAGTGAATTATGACCACATCACCGCACTTCTGCCTGGATGACAGACAAAGACCATATCTCAAAAAAACACAAAATAATGAATCCTGTAAATAAGGATTCTGATGCCATAAGCCTTTCCTTAAACCGCAAATGTTTCATGCTAATTTGAATTGCATTTTAAGAAGTAATGATTCTTGGGGTAAAGGTCATAGAATACACACCCAGAAATAAATCCACATATTTACAGCCAACTGATTTTGGACAAAGGTGCCAAGAACATACACTGGGGAAAGGACAGTCTCTTCAAATGAATGGCACTGGGAAAACTAAATATCCATATGGAGAAGAATGATACTAGCTTCCTATGTAACAGCACATAATGAAATAAACTCAGAATTGATTGAAGACTGACATTTAAGGCCTAAAATTATGAAACCACTCTAAGTAAATGTAGGAAAAATGCTTGAGGACATTAGCCTGCACAAAGATTTTTATGGGTAGGACATCAGAAGCATAGGCAAAAACCAAATGATAGACAAATGGTATTACATTAAGATAAAGAGCTTCTGCCCAGCAAACTGAGTGAAGAGAAAACCAGTGGAATGGGAGAAAATATTGTCAACTATTCATCTAATAAGGGACTAGTATCCAAAATATACAAGAAACTCAAAAAACTTGACAGTAAAAAAAAATCTGAGTTCAAAATTGGGCAAAATATCTAACTATACTTTTCTTTAGAAAAAAGAAATACAAATAGCCAATAAATAAATTTAAAAATGCTCAGTATCACTAATCCTCAGGGAAATAAAAATCAAATCTTCAATGTGATACAATCTTGCTTCAATTTGAATAAAATGCTATCATTGAAAAGACAAAAAAATAACATATGCTGGTGAGGTTCCAGAGAACAGTAAACTCTAACATGCTGTTGGTGGGAAGGTAAATTAGTGCAGCCACTATAGAAAACAACATGAGGTTTTCTCAAAAAGCTAATAATGAGACTGCCAAGGGATCCGGCAAACCCACTATTGGGTATTCAGGCAATAGAAAAGAAAACAATAGATCAAAAAGATACCTGTACTCATATGTTTATTGTAGCACTATTCACAATAGCTGATGTATGGAATCAACCTGCATGTCCATAACCAAATGAATGGACAAAAAACTGTGGCACACAAACACAGTAGAATACTATTCACCATATAAAGGAATTCAATCCTGTTATTCGTGGCCATGTGGATCAGTCTGAGGGATGGTATGTTAAGTGCAGACACAGAAAGATAAACACTGCACGTTCTCACTCATATGTGGGAGCTAAAGAAAAACTGAGGGCTGGGCAACCTGGCTATTGCCTGTAATTTCCTAGCACTTTGAAAGACCAAGGCAGGAGAATCACTTGAGGCCAAAGTTCCAGAGCACCCTGGACAACATAGGTAGATAGCTCTACAAAGTCAAAAATCAGACAGGTGCAATGGTGCATGCCCATAATCCTAGCTGCTCAGGAGGCTGAGGTGGAAGGATCACATGAGCCCAAGAGTTTGAGGCTGCAGTGAGGTATGAACAAGCCACTGTCTCTAGTCTGGGTGACGACAGTTGCCCAGAGCCCAGACTAGACTAGCAAGGCCCTGTCTCTTAACAACAACAAAAAAGCTCACAGAGGTAGGGGAGGGGAGGATGGTTAATGGATACTGAATTACAGTTAGATAAGAGGAAGGAGTTCTGGTGTTCTGTGGCATTGTAGGGTGAATATGGTTAACTATGATTTATTGTATATTTTTAAAAAGGCAGAAGATTTTGAATGTTCACAATTCAAAAAATGAAAAATGGTTGAAGTAGTAAATGTGCTAGTTAGCTTGATCATTACACACTATATACATGTATCAAAATATCACTCTATTGGCCAAAATTATGTATATACATGTCAATTAAAACAAAAGAGAAGCTATATTTATCCCATTAAAAAAACAGAATATGGGCAATCCTTACTGACTTCCTTCTAATGAATAGAATGCAGTAAAAGGGATATCATGTGGCTTCCCTATCTCAGACTGCTTTCCCTTTGAACTCAGCCCCCAGATTGTGAGTGAGATCAGGCCAGAGAGACAGCCTGGGAGTGTCAGTGTCAATATTCATGCTGCCTGCTCCAACCAAGGTTCCAGCCAATGGCCAGCATCAACCATCAAACACATGGGTGAGCAAAGCTTCAGAGGATTCCATTTCCCCAACTGATCAGCTATTCCTAGGGAAGCTGAGGGGAGCAGAGATGACCTGTCCTGGCTAAGCTTTTTTCAAACCACAGGTTCATGAACAAAATAAATGTTTTTCTTTTAAAGCCACAAAACACTGGATAATTGTTAGAAAAATAAGTTTTAAAAAGAGACAACAGGAAACATAACTTATGCAGAGAAAAGAGTCTCCTTTAAAGTAGGATCTAATAAATGTTGAGATTAATTTATTGATGGCAAACATTATTGAGAAGCAGTAGATAACCAGGAGAGAGACATAAGCTGCTGAGGAGGAACATTTCCTAAAACCCCCTTCAATTATGAACTCTCATAACAAGGCAAGGGTGTCTCCTTACAATTTCCCCTCAAGTTAGGAAATAAGACTGCAAAGAAAGAAGATGTATGATTTGAAAAACAACTAGAAATACTTGGTTAGATAACCAAAATCAGACATTTGCCTGATTTCAGTTAATGAAAATTCTAAAAGAATAAGTTTTGAGTATTTATTAATCAATCTAGTATTCAATTTTCATTTTCCTTTTCTCAATGAGGAAATGAGAACATTATGGAATGATTTTTAGTCTTCACAGAAGTAAAATAAGCACAGTATGCTTTGAGTGTTAAGACATCAAATGCAATTTCTCCTTTATCTTACTTCAAGCTTGTTTGTATGGAGAAGTTAAGACCATCCCATCTCTGTATTATACCACAATGCTTCTCTACAGCACACAACTTGGCTCTGAAATTTCAAAAGTCAAAATACTAATCTACTATTTGTCTCCAATAAATTGCCTGAACATTACCTGATTTTGAAGTGCTGCACTCCTAAGACTTTTTCTTGGAATGAGTTAAACTTTATATCCCAAGAATCCTCTACTGAGCTAGAAAGCAGAGCTGTGCATCTCTGTTTCAGTAAAAGGAGGTCAATACAGGGAACTGTGGTTTCTGAGAATGCAAGATCTGCACCAAGTAAAGGATTAGATGCAGTGCTACCCAAGAGAACCAGCTACCAGGTGGAAAGAGGATCTGCGAACTACAACATGATGACTTCACATGATTTCCACTGAGGAAAGCTGGCAGCTCAGACTTCTCCTTCCTGGATGGTAAACATCTCTGGAAGATTCTATGAATTATAATGAGTTAGCAAAACATAATACACTAAATATTAGACTACATCAGCAGATCCTGTGATGAAAACTTACTGAAAATATAACTATAGAGGGAGGCAATGGAAAAGAGACTAAAGGTTTGAATAGAGAAAAAAAGAGTGTCTTGTAAGCCTGACTTGCCATGTCTTAGAGAAAGTAAGGTATAAGCTGGCCAGAGATTCCTTTGAGGCACAAAAGGTGAAGTTAAAGATATTCCACTAAATTTAATTTTTATTATGATATAAGACAACTGGTAATATGCAACATGCTTGAAAAAAACTTCTCATTAAATTCAATTTGGCCTTGGCATAAGAATAGATATAAACAAACTAAGAATTGATAATCTACAAATAAACCTGCACCTTGACAGTCAATTGATTTTATACAAGGTTAACAAAAGAACAGAATGGGAAAAGAATAGTCTTTTCAACAAATGGTGCTGCGACAACTGGATATCCACATGCAAAAAATAAATAAAGTAAGAAGAAAACCCTGGCATAAATCTTTGTGACTGCATTTGGCAGTGTTTTCTTAGCTATGACTCCAAAGGAAAAATGGATTCAATGAACTTCAAAATTGAAAACTGCTGTGCTTGAGAAGACAGTATCAAGAAGTGAAAAGGTAAGATACTGAGTAGAAGAAAGTATTTGAAAAGCATGTATCTGATAAGGGACTTACATACGTAGGATATATAAAGAACCTTTGCAATTCATAAATAACAAGATAACCCAATTTAAAAAATGGGCAAAGAATTTGAGTAGATATTTCTGCAAAGAAGATATAAAGATGGATAATAAGCACATTAATAGATGCTTAATGTAATTAGTCATTAGGAAAAAGTAAATCAAAACCACATGTGGTATCACTTCACACCACAGGATGAAACCTTTATTCAATAAAAAAGAGAAAATAAGTGTTAGGAAAAATGTAAAGAAATTAAAGCCCTTATCCAATGCTGCTGGGGATGTAAAGTGGTGCAGCCACTTTGGAAAACAAACTGGCAGCTCCTCAAAAGGTTAAGCATGAAGTTACCATACGACCCAGAAATTCCAGTCATGAGTATATACTCCAGAAAATCAAAAACACATGCAAGCACAAAAACTCATACATAAATGTTTACAGCAGCATTATTAATAAGAGTGAAAAAGTGGAAAGAACCAAAACGTCCATCACCTTTGGGTGGGAAAGAACCCAAAGGTCCATCACCTGGTGAATGGATAAATAAACTGTTTGATGTATCCATACAATGGAATATCACTCTGCAATAAGAAGAAACTAAGTACTGATACTGTATTAGGAGGAGACAGCAAAATGCCTAGGCAGATAAGGAAGGGTCCCTGGAGAATCCCCAACAAGCCTCACAAGTGTTTACACCAGACGTTATGTGCAGATAGGGGAACCTGGACTTGTCTTGCCTGGACGTGCCGGCAGCAGACCCGAGGCCCACAAGCACTGGGGGGATGGGGTGGAGTCACCAGGAATTCACGCCTTATGCAGAGCAGGAGCCTGGCCACTTCAGCTCCTGTGCTCCTGGTATTCAATTGTGAGGTGGAAACCTGTTTGCAGGACGCCCCTCTTTGCTGAGAGCTTTCCTTTCACTTAATAAATTCTGTCCTCCTCACCCTTCAATGTGTCTGTGTGCTTAATTTTTCCTGGTCATGAGAGAAGAACCCAGATTGAGCTGAACTAAGGAGCAAAAACCCTGCATCAATACCTGCTGCAGCACAGATGCAGCATGGAAAATTATGCTAAGTGAAATAAGCCAGTCACAGTAGACCACTGGCTTTTCATTTTAGAGGCTTATAGGCAAATCTATACAAAGAAGGTGGGTGGTTACCTAGGGCTGAGGGAGGAAGGGAAAACTAGTGAAGATAGCTAAATGATGTGGGGTTTGTTTTTAGGGTGATGAAAATGTTCTACAATTGATTGTAATGATGACTGCATAACTCTCTGAAAATACTAAAGTTAATAAATTATATATTTTAAATGAGTGAATTGCATGGTGTGTTCATTATTTCTCAATAAACCTGTTACCCCCCACCCCAAATTAATTTGGTACTAGTGATTTTGGTACTAGTGATCTGGAGACAGGTACTGCTTGGTTTCAGATCACTGGCCAGGGTTCAAGGCCTAAGAGAATCAACAGCATGTCCTTTTCATAGAAAAAGAGATTGATATTTTAAAAGCTATCCTTTTCATTAGTTTCAAGTCTGTAAAATTAAATGAAAAATCTTTCACTGCTTAGAGCACTGACAGATTTATATTGAGGAATAAGACCTTGTTTTCCTTGGCCTCAATTTCTATCTAAAGGGTCTGGGAATCACACCCTTCAAACTATCAAATCTCATCAGATGGGTTATATTAACTCTTATAATGTGGCTTCCTTTCCAACCTGATTCTGGTGCAGCATCACAGAGAGAAGAAGCTGAAGGAAATCAAAATATTTTACCCCCAAATATATTTTTTTGTCATATTTTGAAATGGCTGCTGCAGGGCCAAGAGATTGAAATGGCGCTCATTAACGTAGCCCAATCTCTCCCCTTCTAGGTCTTCCCAGATCTGGGGAAGATTAACTAAGAGCCTGAGGCATTTAAAGTCTGAAAAGATATATTTACCCTCTATTTTCTCAACATATTTTGGCAGAATTTGGGTTTTTCCATTATCAATATTTTCCAAAATTACATGATTTTTAATACCAAAACTGATTTAAAATTACCATATGTTGGAATATAAATTATTCTATTATAAAGATACATGCATTTGTATGTTCATTGCAGCACTATTCACAACAGTAAAGCCATGGAATCAACCCAGGTGTCCATCAGTGATAGATGGGATAAAGAAAATGTGGTACATATACACCATGGAATACTATGGAGCCATAAAAATGAATGAGATCATGCTTTTTGCAGGGATATGGATGAGCTCAAAGCTGATATCTTCAGCAAACTAATGCAGGAAGAAAAAAACAAACACTGCATCTTCTCATTTATAAGTGGGAGCTGAATGATGAGAACACATGGACTCGGGGAGGGGAACAACAAACACTGGGGCCTGTTAAGGTCAGGAGGGAGAGCATCAAGATCAATAGCTAATGCCTGCAGGGCTTAATATCTAGGTGATGGATTGATAGGTGCAGCAAACCAACATGACACACGTTTACCTATATAACAAACCTGCACGTCTCACACATGTAATCTAGACCTTAAGATAAAATAATTTTTTAAAATTACCTTCTGTTTTAGCTTCTTAATCAGAATATCCATTTTCAGTTGATCTGCTTTTAAGTCTCCATGGCAATCAAAATCTTCATTTCCAAATACATTTAACATATTTATTGTCATTTCCAGGAGTTTCTTATATCTGCAGAAATGTACAGAATTAGTAAGTCAAGTATTTTTAAGAGTAAATATTTAATAATTGTTTAAACATCTGTTATGGCATATTGAAGAAACAAATCTATAAACTATGTTCCTTTCAGTTTCAACTGAACATAGTTTGAAAGCATTCTATATGAAATTATAATCTTAGATAAATAATATGAAGAACAATTTTATGGCATATATGGCAGGTAAAGTGATATTATAGCCATACAGTGTTTTTGTTTTGTTTTTTGTTTTGTTTTGAGATGGAATTTCACTCTTGTTGCCCAGGACAAAGTGCAATGGTGTGATCTCAGCTCACTGCAACCTCTGCCTCCTGGACTCAAGTGATTCACCTGTCTCAGCCTCCCAAGTGGCTGGGATTACAGGTGTGTACCACAAAGCCTGGCTCATTTTGTATTTTTAGTAGAGACGGGGTTTCACTGGTCAGACTGGTCTTGAACTCTTGACCTCAAATGATCCACCCACATTGGCCTCCCAAAGTGCTGGGATTACGGGTGTGAGCCACCACACCTGGCCTAACCATACACTTTTTGTAAATAAACTACTCATATCCATGTTGGTATGCTAAGTAAAATCATCTATTACTAAATATAAGCCATAACCCAGAGATGAGTAACCAAGATAAAAAAAGTAAAACACATACGTTTAAAAAGACACAAAAGTACATTTTGATACCCACTGACCACAGTCTATCAGAAGAAAAAAAAAGTACACACAAAAAGCATCAAGGAGATCATTCAATGTCGAAAAAGAGAAGAAAACATCTTTAATATCTGAGTTGAGGAGAAAAAGGATACAGGCAGTTTTAGAAAAAAGGAAAGGGGCAGAGAGATGTGTGACGATTTAAAGACTTTGAAGAAGAGATCTAGACATCTTTGCTGACATAATGTCAACAAAATGAAAGAGATACAAAACCATGTAGAGAAAGGCAATGACAGAAAAATGTTGATTCTAATCAGAAAACCAAATTAAGTGCTCAGTAAATAAATAGAAAAGTAGCTGTGTTCAGGGCTTCAAAGACAGATTCCATTTTTTTAAAAAAAATCTGTGATCAAAACATGAATGTTCATTTTACTTTTTAAGTTATACATATATTTATATATATATGAAATTTATTTATGTAAAACAAGTTTAATAACATGTATACTTCATGTATACAACAGAGGTACTCATGTACAATGAGTAAATTTCCACATTTTATATCTAAAAGAAAAAGCAGAAACAAAATATAAGCTACATATCAAGATAAATTTGATGTTAAAGAATGACACAAACAGGTCTTTAAACCATTTGAATGCAGCAGAGGATACTACAAAAGGAAGAAAAAATGACCACAGACAGCAAAAAATATCTTCAGAAATAAAAATTCAAACTAGATAATGAAGAGTGCACTGGACATTATATGTCCAAGGTGTGGTCATTGTTTTCAAAATCATTAAAGAATAAGTGGCCGGGCATGGTGGCTCATGTCACTTTGGGAGGCCGAGGCGGGCAGATCACGAGGTCAGGAATTCGAGACCAGCCTGACCAACTTGGCAAAACCCCGTCTCTAATAAAAATACAAAAACTAGCCAGGTGTGGTGGCACATGCCTGTAATGCCAGCTACTCAGGAGGCTGAGGCAGGAAAATTGCTTGGAGGCATAGGTTGCAGTGAGCCAAGACCGCGCCATTGTACTCCAGCCTGGGAAACAAAGCCAGACTTTTTCTCAAAAAAAAAAAAAAAAAAAGAATATTTTGGCATTCAAAAAAAATTTCACCTTGCCCCAGCAGCTCAGCTGACTCCCGCCCCCATGACACACATGTCTAAAAAGTTGTGCTGTGAGTTTCTGAAATACATTTTAAAATAGAATTCATCTAATTATGAAAATGCAAACATAAAATGAATTTGTATCTAGGTTTTAGTCAAGTAAAATTAGAGTTAAATCAATTAATAAAGGGCTAACATGTTCTACAATATGAAAACCATACCCAGTTGCCTCTTCTTCTAATTCATCATTTTTCTTTCTTATTCGATTCACATTATACTTCAGTGATGGTATTAACTCAAAAAGTTTTCTTAATTCTTCATTTTCTTTTTTAGGCTTAAAAAAAGTGTTTAAAATTATTTTTGTAAAATCTGGAGACGCTCTTTTATCTCAAAAATATTATTTCTCATAAGTGGATGAGTAATATGTATTTAGGCAGGTGTATAAAGTGCATTTTATAAACCTGATGCCAATAAGGTCAGATTTCAATAATAGTCACTTTTCTTAAAACTGCTAAAAATGATTCAAATTTTCATCATTATCTTTTCCGAAATTTAAACTGCCAACAATGTTTGTTACAAATGAGGGTTTTTACACACAAAATACTAAGGGTTAGTTAAAAAAAAAAAAGAGTAGTTATATTTACATTTTAGTTTTTAAAGATGCTCTAGAAATATTGTTTTTAATAGTTTAAGATATTCCAAGTTTTCTTAAATTACATCTTACTAAGACAAATTTTAGAAAACTCTTATCTAGTTCCCATTACATTTTTCATCCTCATCTGTCTTCAGGCTGAGCTAAATACTGTCATTCTAAGTATTCACCCATAGGTTTCAGTTTTTCCCTTTCTCTTAACCATTTCTCTTTAAATAAAGTTTATTTTTTCTATAATAAACAAAAACAACTTTTGTCTACTTTTTGTGGCTTTTCTATTATCCTGTTTCTCCCCTTCCATTGGACTCTATGACACATGGTCTCATTCAGAAATCTTTTTTCATCAATTATTGTGTTTTTTATACTGAAATCTGATTTTTAATAATTCCAATA
Organism: Homo sapiens; assembly: GCF_000001405.40. Lineage (NCBI taxonomy): Eukaryota > Metazoa > Chordata > Mammalia > Primates > Hominidae > Homo > Homo sapiens. Next base: position 42,900,526 of record NC_000009.12, on the reverse strand, counting down.
AAAAAGTCCAACGGTCATCAAGTACTTTATCCTGCTTTACTCAGCAGAGCAGTGACCAAATGCTCCCTCTGCTCCTCTGACCCCACTTCCTTTCTAAATGCAGTGACCTCTGTTCTTCAGCCCTATCCCTTTCTATTCCTCTGACCCCGCCTCCTTTCTAAATGCAGCGACCTCTGTTCTTCAGCCCTATCCTTTTCTGGTTGTTTTTTGTTTGTTTGTTTGTTTTGAGATGGAGTCTCCCACTGTCACCCAGGTTGGAGTGCAGTGGCATGATCTCGGCTCACTGCAACCTCCACCTCCTGGATTCAAGCGATTCTCCTGCCTCAGCCTCCCAAGTAGCTAGGAGTACAGGCATGTGCTACCACACCCAGCTAATTTTGTGTATTCTTAGTAGAGATGGGGTTTCACTATGTTGGTCAGACTGGTCTTGAACTCCTGACCTCATAATCTGCCTGCCTTGGCCTCCCAAAGTGCTGGGATTATGGGTGTGACCACCATGCCCGGCGGCTATTTCACTTTTTAAATTCTCTCAGGACTCCTAAAATCTCAAAACTTTGACCTAGATTCCCTAATCTACATTTCCAGCTCTGACCTTTTTCTTGAGGTCTCTTCCTTCTAGTACACATATTATAGACAATATTCTCCACCACATGCTCATACATTGCTACTTGGTGCAGATTACTTTTGTAGATAGTGAATCTTGTCTATTTTATGTTGGTTCTTATTGATGTTACCTTGAGTATACTGTTATTTTCTAATCTCAAAGGGGGACTATCTCACTGTTACGATACTAACCAGTATACTTTGTCCTTTTTTTCATTCTTTCTTCTTTTTTGGACCAATATACTTTGTCCCTTTTTTTTCTTTTTTTGAGATGGAGTCACACTGTGTCATCCAGGCTGGAGTGCAGTGGTGCCATCTCAGCTTACTGCAACTTCTACCTCCTGGGTTCAAGTGATTCTCCTGCCTCTGCCTCGCAAGTAGCTGGGACTACAGGTGCACACCACCACGCCTGGCTAATTTTTGTATTTTCAGTAGAGACAGGGTTTCACCATGTTGGCCAGGCTGTTTTTGAACTCCTGACCTCAGGTAATCCACCCCTCTCAGCCTCTCAAAGTGTTGGGATTACAGATGTGAGCCATGGAACCCAGCCCTCTTTTTCTTTGATAATGAAAACTTTCCCGTGAGAATCAGATTATCAATTGTTTGCCTTTGTTTTCTTTTAAAGAATTTCCTTTTCCATAGAGATATGGCATGATGAACATCTTGTTCTAAAGTTTCTTTTGGGGGACACTTAACTATGTCATTGGGAAGCTTCAGTAAGTAGAGATCTCCCTTCTTCCCATTCAAGATTCTTCATCTCAAAATGGTGTCCACCAAATGTCTTAATCCAGGTAGTCCCTTGCTTAGAAATTCATGAAATAAGAACCTTCTCGAGAAGTTAGAGGCTATTGATTGAGACGGTTTAAAGCTGCCCCTTATTATATGTTTTACTCCCAAGGTAGACATCAAAGTGGCTAATAATTCTATGTCTGATATCTAGCTCACTTCTATGGGAATCTATACAACATGTTTTATTTATGAGACAGAGTCTCCCTCTGCTACCTAGGCTGGAGTGCAGTGGCTTGATCACTGCTCACTGCAGCCTCAATATTCCAAGCTCAAACGACCCTCCTACCACAGCCTCCCAATGTAGCTGGGACTACAGGCATGCACCACCATGCCTCAGCTAAGTGTTTAAAAAATTTCTTTTTTTTTTTTAGAGACAGGGTCTCACTATATTGCTCTGGCTGGTCTCAAACTCCTGGGCTCAAGCAATCCTCCTGCCTCAGCCTTCCAAAACCAGGTGTTTAACTGGGGACTAACATGAAGCACTTAGAAGACTACATGGAACATAGTGAGCTACATAAAATATTTGCTATTAGCATAATAATTTTATTGTATATCTTAACAAAATTGTGTATTTTACGCAGGTGGCATGCCAATGGAAGTAGTCTCCTATAGCTGCACTGAATCATTCTTAACACTGAGAGTTGCAGCAAATGGGGGACATAATTTATAACTTACTTTTCTCTCTGTATGACTCATTAGGCAATGACTATCTCTGTACTACAATGTAAATAGCACCTCCTGGATGGAATAGTACGTAACTGACATGACCAGCAGAGACAGGCTAAAGACACTGAGCTGAAAACCCTGGACTCTACTGCTAAGTCAAGGCTCCTGAATCCGTTCCCTCTGAGCAACTGTTGCTGTGGTGCTGCCTTCACAAGCACTCTGCTGAGCACACAGATTGAGGGGCTGTGCTATCCTTCATCAGACAAGCTGCACCCAGAACTGTTCAGCTGACAGACTGGGAGCAGTCCAGAAACACAGTAATGGCTGCATAGTGAAAAAAGGCCAATTTATATTCTTTTTCATAGAGAGAAAAACATAAACACGTGATTGAATGCATCTCCTGTATTAGACTAATTGGGTTAGATTTGATATTTAATTGCTAAAAATATATTTAGAATATAACCTTACTATGTCAAGGTCTCAAAGCAGAAATAATTGGTATGGTATAAAGGATTGAATTGTATGCTACAAACTTCTAAGCTAAAATATTTTCAATGTATGCAAGGATAGGTGGCATACATATTATATATTATTCCCCCATTAAGCAAATTTATAATGAGAGAAAATTATCTTCCATAAAAAAATAAAAGCCATGTAAAATTAAGGACTAAGTTTTTCAGCACAGACTAGACAACGATTGCTAACACATAAGGTCAATGACAGAACAGTCAGAGAAAGCTTCATGAAAACAAAAAAATTGTCTGCCAGGTCTGAATGAATGAGGCTAGATGAACAGAAACTGAGAAGGCAGAAAGGATAGCATGAGCAAGACAAGTGCTGAAATCTGCCCAATTAACTCTGAGGATAAAGTCCAATGGCAGGGAAATAAAAACCCGTGTCCACATAATAACCTGTAAGTGAATGTTCACAGCAGCATTTTTCATAATAGCTAAAAAGTGGAAACTAACCTAAAGGTCCATCAACTGATGAATGAATGGAAAACCAGTATAGCCATGGAATAGAATATCATTTAACTATAAGAAGAAATAAACTACGAATGTGTGCTAAAACATGCATGAATTCTGAAAACATTATGCTAAGTGAAAAAGCCAGTCACAAAGGACTACATATTGTATAACTCTATGTATATGAAATATGCAGAACAGGCAAACATATGGAGACAAAAGTAGACGGTGGTTGCCTACTACAGGGGTAGGTGGAGGGACATGGAGGAAGGCTGCAGTCATGCCTAAGAGATGTGGGGTCACTTTTCAGGGTGATGAAAATGCTGTGAACATACTAATAGACACTGAGTTGTACATTTTAAATGGTTGAACTGTCTGATATGTGAATGACATCTCAGTGAATCTTTTTAAAATCCAAAGGCAGGATCAAGATAATTTTCTCAACTCTTAATTTTTGATGTACATGCTATATCAAATCTAAATATTTCTACAGTTTTACAGTATATTTTAAATAAAAGATAGATAAAGAAAATGCCTAACTTTTCAAATAGTTTGTAAATTAACCTAAAACATGCACATTTCAAAGAATAGTATAATGGCCTTTCTGTACAAGTTAACCTAGAATCTGTGAAACAAATAGACACAGATTCTGTGTCCATTCACAAAAGTGAAGAAATAAGACAATTTTCTGGAACATTCCATGAAACATTCTCCTCTGATTTAATCTGGCCTGCCTCATCAGAGCAATACAAAAATTACTTAAAAATACTGTTTAACAGGAAAAAAGTCAATTTTCTATGAGGAATGATGTATAATTCTCAACTTTTCCAAGGGTACATATTGTAAGAGAAAAGGTATGCAATGGTTTTTCAAAATGGTAGAATGAAAGTCACAATATAAAAAAATAAGTACATTATAAAGATAGTAAAATGGAAATCATTCATTATAATGAAAATAAAAAATCAAGCTTCTGCCAAAATTAGTATCCTAAAACACGTTATATAATTCAACTAGCTACAGAATAACTGTTGAGATGTTAAATTCCATACATACTTGACTTTCCACTTGAAATAATTTCTTCTTTGAGGCCTATGTCTCATCCAAATTAATGTGACAACGTGATATACCTTCCAGTGGAGACTCTAACGTCGTTAATTTTTTTACACTGTCAGCCACTTCTTGTTGAAGTTGTCTCACAACCACCTGATAAAATATTTGTTACTGATTTTATAAATTGCCTTATTATTAAATTATGTTAATAATGTTTAATTCTAACATATCTACTTTGAAAATTATCACCACACATATCAATTCATCTTCTTTTAATCACATGTACACATTTTTATTTATTACTGAATTCAGTGAGGGATGCAGAATATGTTCTCTTCCTGCCAAATTGGTATTCTCTTACTTACACAACAGATTCATTCCAACATTCAATCATCTCTGAAGCTCAACTCAGCCTCAAAGTTCCTAACATATTCAATCACCTGTTCAAATCCTTCCAACAGATTCCTATCTCAGAATAAAAGTAAAATTCCAATGGCCTTTGAGGCCCCAGGTAAAAAGGCCTCTACCTCCCTCTCTGACTTCAAAGCTCCTACAACTCCCTCCTGTAATTACTCCATTCCCACTGTATGTGAAGCCTGCCACCCCTCAGTCTGAAAATGGAGATTTAATGCCTAACTCGTAAATCACAGACAGCTACAAGTATCTTTGTACTGAACAAAATTATATTCCAATGATAGTCATTGAGCCTTGAAATAAAAATTATGAGCTAATTATTAATATAAATATTCAAAGTAAACTATAAATACCAGTGGGAAGACTAAACCAAATATAGTTTTGCTAAGTTTTACCACATTTATCCTAAATTACGATTTTATAACAAGTAGGTGCCTTTAAAACATTACGTGGTCATAAAAATACGTAATTTGACATATTTTCAGATTTGTTAAATTAATATGAATAATAACAAAGCTATACCAACTAAAATACATAAAAAGCTAGTTAAAGCAAGGTATTACAAGACACAGCAATACACTTCAATTCATCTGGGGAATCTAGAATTAAGTGTCGAAGAAAATCACTTAATTAAATTTTAATTTGAAAATACTTCAGGTGTAAACATTTCCATTTATAACTACATTATGGTCTTAACATGTGGCAACGTAAAGACATTAAAATTACTATTTCAGCAGTACAGAACTATCTACCTTAAAATATGACTCTGTGCCTAATAAAATTTCATAGGTGACACAATGTCTTTTCTCAAAGTAAATCATCTCTCACCTCTATCTTTTATTTCCTAGAAATGAGGCATGTTTCTAAGCCGATATAGTAAACACATTTTTCCTTTTTTTATTAAAACAGCTTTGTTGAAATATAATTTACATACTATAGAATGTATCTGTTTTAACTTAAAGTTAAAAGATTTTTAGTACATTTACTGAGTTGTGCAGCCATCTCTACAATCCAACTTTAGAGCATTTCCATCACTGTAAGATTCCTCATGCCCATTAGCAGTCACTACCAGCTTCCAACCCCAGCCCCTTGCAAACATTAATCTACTTTTTGTCCCTATACATTTATCTTTTCTGGATGCTTCATGTAAATGGAATTATACAGTATGGTAAACACACTTTTTATCTAGATTTTTATATTCAACTAAGTTCAACATGTATCCAGAACCAAATGTTTAAATTTTCTTTCTAGAAGTTTGAAAATATTTATCTTCCTTGATACTTACTACTCCTTCTGCTTTCTCTCTCTCATACTGAAAGAGACTTTCTTTTAAATGATCACATTCATTCATTAGCTTCTTACTTTTCTCTTCTAGCACGAGATCTTTCTTTCCACTCTCAATAAAGCCTCTTTGAATATTAGTTACTATCTCTTTATGATCCTCTTTCTGATGAACGTCATCTAGTTGCTGTACAAGCCATGCATTTTCACGTTGGAGGTGACATATCCTCTCTTCTACACAGTTCCACTTTCCAGTGGAATTATTCACTTTGGCTTCTGCATTTTGATACATCTCTTTCATTTCCTGTGTTTGCTGCTGTGTATGGCTTAGGTCGTTTTGTACAGTTTCTAAAGACAATGACTTTTTTCTGAGACTATCTCATCTTACGGAACTTATCTTTTAAGGCATTGAATTTAATTTGTGTTTCAGAAAGTTGTTCAGTAAGAAACTCATTCTCATCTTTTACTTTGGAAATAGCAGAACTCCTTTCTACGTGTACAGAAACATCTCGTGTTCTCTCTAAAGCAAGTTTTAGGTTTCTTTCTGTTTTCACACTTTCACTGTGTTTACTTATAGCAGCAGCCAGTCTAGACTGATAAGATTCAATGTCAGCTTCCAGTCTTTTCTTGCTTTCTTTTTCCTTCAACAGTTCGGCATTGAGCCTTGTATTCTCAGCCTTGAGATCATTAAGCTCTTGTTGATACCGGAATGCTGTTTCTGTTATCATTTCCTCATTGAGTTTTATGTACTTTTCAAGGGCAACATTTGTTTCTTTAACAATTTTAATGTCCTTAAGATATTTATTTTCTTTTTCCAAGTTGTCATTTTTCATTGTACATATTTCCTGTCTGAGTATAGCAATATCTGCCTTCAAAATGCAATTTTCATCCATCAGACCTTTCATTTCTTCATGATTATGAAAATCCTAAATAAAACAAAAGAAAGTTTTAGCTAGTACTCAATAAAATAACATATCATGATTACCTCTGAAGTTAAAGAATAACCTGCACATCCGTACACTAAAAAGTTTACCATAAGTGGATATCCACCTGGAGAAAAAGTTGAAGCAAAACTTTGAACCTTATAGAGCATAAATTCCAGAAAGTTCAGAAATGTATTTAGAGTCAATGAATTTATAAAAGTAAACACACACACGCACACCAGAGAATTTTTAAGAATATCAGAATTGGAAAAGCCTTTCCCTGAATTACAACAAACTCAAAAGCATAAATTAAAGCATTAACAAATTTGACTAAATTAAGATATATCAAAAAATTGCATTTACACTTTGATATCTAACCCATACACCACCCTATAGTAAGAACTTTTGTTCACACGTATTTGGACAGATAAAATTTCCCAGAGTTATTACAGCTCTGTTTCACTGATAACATTCTATTTCAGTTTGACTCTTTTAACACTTTTATAGTCAGTTATAAGAATTACATTCACTAAATCATAAACTAGACATTATACTAGTCATTCCTATATACATTCATTGATGAACTCATCTAGTTACCACAATTTTGAAAAAGAAATGTTAAAAATATAAGCAAGCTACAGGATTTTCCCCAGGACTTCTGACTCTACTTCTAGTTCTCCAACAGATCACAGTTACTTCTGTGGTGTAAATACGTCAATACGAAAGAAAACTTTTATTTCAAAACACCAATAGTAAATAAGATAAAATTTATAGAGCTCTTCTTAGAATATCATGAGATTATTTGTGATTGCAATAATTTCTGTTTCCTCTTTATAATATTAGGTGCAGTAATCAATATGAAATAGGGGAAAGTACAAGGAAAAATTTTACCTGGAACAAAATTTTTATCAATAGGTTATCACTAAGTATATATTATGGCATATTATTGTTTTCAAAAGCTCTTTGTAATAAAATAATATCCTATGTGGATGCCAAGATTTATAATAAATATTAATAATTGTACCTGTAAGTGTCATCATTCATTTTTAAAAATGAGATAACATTTCTGGTTTTAGACCTAAACAATATATATTAAATCAAGTGGATATTATAAGTAACAGTGATAAGATAAAGTTTAAAATATAGAATTTTTACCAAAGATTGATTTACCCGATTTGGAGTATTTCTTGCAGTCTTTGATTTCATCTCTAGTGACTGAACAGTTGGTTCAAGTTGTTTTGCGTCAACTTCTTTCTTATATTGTTTCTCTTTCCTTTCTAATTCTTCTCTATTTTTTTTGTACAGCATATTAACATTTGTTTTTTCTTCATTTTCTTGTTTTAAGGTGCATCTACAGATAAAGACATTTATCTTAAAATTCATTTTGTTAAAAAATAAAGAGTTCATCCTGTGATATACCTCTGCAGATGTTGTTTATTATCCTAATAAAATTTCTATATTCTGGATTATTTTTCCTTTGCAGTTCTCAGATATTTAATTTCTCACTTCAACATCTTCAAAAGAATGCATATACTTGAAAAGTAGTAAGGAAAGAATATTCTGCTAAAGTTTTTGTTACTAGTCACACTAATATATATTATAAAAAAGGATACCGGAGATAATTCAGTGAAGTTACAGGTTCAAAATTACCTTTTTAAATCACACAGTCATAATTACTCCCTAATTAGGAAAGATCATTTACAATCAACTAAATTTTTAAAGTTACTATTTATTGACAAGCGTATAAGTTCACTAGAAATAAATTTTCATCTTTATGAAATATTGCAGGTGTTTCTCCAAATGATTTACAGAGTGAGATGACACCTTCAGATGTCTCTCACACAAACTATATCTGCAGATGACTGTCATCCAAAACTAGGCTAAAGAGTCTAACATCTGTTTCCCCACACTTTTTATAATTCTTTCTTAATACTTTCAATTCACCTTCTTATTACATATATTTTATATATTCATTAACCTATTGTTCATTATGTGTAATATATAATTAACGCCCTTAATAAGCGTGTGTATGTTTACACCAGTTATGTTTTCCTGTGAAATCTAGTCCCAGAAGTGGAGTTGTTGAGTTAAAGGGATGTCAGGCTATTTGAAATTTTGATACACAGCACTAAGTTACCCTTCAGAAATAATTTACCAATTTCCTATACCAACAGTGTATGAGAATGCCTTTTTCCTCACATTTGCCAACACTAATAATTACTTTTTAAATATCAGCATGACTTTACAAAATATATCTTATTTTATGTTAATTTGCATTT